>NC_000007.14:99476475-99779506 GCF_000001405.40 Homo sapiens | reverse complement strand
ATTTACCTTTGGGTCATTTGCACCTGCTTCAATCCTCTCCGAAAAATGCTAAATTCCCTGAGGGTATCTCCATGGCTCTACCCCAGCTCTTACTCCCCATGACATCTTTTGCAGCTTTGAGAGACAGAACAAAGGGGTTCTGCTTTATTTCTTTTCCTTCAAAGGCTGCACCTTATGGGTGAGTCTGATCACAGACTGGATATAACTGAGATGAGACAGTGGTGGTCAATCAAACTCAGATATTTAAGCACAAAATGAGTTTGTGGGGTTTTTTTTTTACACAAAGGCGGAATCACATGCAAAATCACTAGAAAGGGGATGATTTGATGAAATTATTAAATATTTAATTTTGCTGAATAGAATATAATATGTGCCACGTGGACCGTGAACTTTGGCCGAGCCTTTGTGCCTAACCTAGTCTGATGCTCTGCCCAGGGTCTGGGCCCTGGATGGAAAATTAGGAGCCCATGTCCACATGGCCAGCCGCAGCAGTCAGCTCTTTGGCTTACATCATCTTTCCCACATACCTGAGGCTTGTTTCTCAGATTCTAATTCTCTCAGGTGAGGGCTTTGTTGTCTAATTACTATCCAGGAATTTCATATTTTTTCCCTGTGCAAAAGCAATAATTTCCCCGCCACCTTTTCCAGGTCAACTCTTTAGTAGATGTACCCCCAAGATGCACATTCCTGGGACCTTTGTTTGCACAGTTAAAATGTCACCCCTGAAATGTCGATACAGGAAGGTTTGTTTTTAAGTTTCAGTGAAAACTCTGAGCAAGTGTTGTAATTTGCTGTGTCCGATGTGTAGAGGGGACATTTTCTCAGAACTTCCATGTTAAGCTGGAAAACTGGAAAGTGAGTTCACTTTGTCATTCTGTCACTCGTTCATTTTCTCACTCAACAACATGCCTCATACTTACCTAAATCTGCTAGACTAAAGGAGTTCCCTGGTGTCTGTAACTTTCCAATTCTGCTAGAACTCTAGAGCGAGCTCATGAAATAAATGAAAAGGATGACAAAGAGATAAAACACTGTGCATTCTCTTCTGATGCTAATTCACTTTCCCTTGGCCTCAGTTTCCCCATGTGCCCCTGGAGGTGATCATTCAGGGATTCATGAGATTTTCAAGACAACACATGAAAAAGCAAAAAGACATCAGAAAGACAAAGAGGTACTTAGTATTTATACACAAGGATAAGTCATTCAGTATCCACAACACTTGGAGAGAATTCAAGAGTGATTTTAAATTTCCCTTTTCAAATACCTCCTCTGTTTTCTCTTATTTCCTTTATGACGTCTCCAAATAAGCTTCCTCTAACTGCCAGCAAGTCTGATTTCATTGGCTTCGACTGTTTTCATCCCAATTAGAGGCAGGGTTAAGTACATTAAAAATAATAATCAAATATTATTTTGTTTCTCCTCCCAGGGCTTTTGTATGTTTGACATGGAATGTCATAAAAAGTATGGAAAAGTGTGGGGGTGAGTATTCTGGAAACTTCCATTGGATAGACTTGTTTCTATGATGAGTTTACCCCACTGCACAGAGGACAGTCTCAGCCCAAAGCCTCTTGGGATGAAGCTCTTGTCAACCTAACTACAAACAGAGAGAAGTTCTCTGAAAGAAGAAGATATTTATTTGGGTGTAGAGTATTGCAATGGGAATCTGCATGCCTTTATAAACTATGTGCAAATTCAGGGAAGTAAAGCAAGACAAAGAGGCTCCAAGGAAAATATGAGGAGGATTTCTTATCAGTTTTGAAATAATTATCCTTCGCTACAAAGATCAGTAACAAGGGTGACGCCTCACCAAGGTTGGACAGGCAGTTGCTGGGCAGGTGTCCTTGCAGAAATATTTTTTTTAATGTTGGGATGGCCTTTGTGCAAGCTTGTAGTTTTGCGGAGTCTTTTGTGATAGTTTTGTTATCAGGCACACAAGCATGAGAATCCTCTCTTCATAGCCTTCTTTGATTTATTTGTCAGGGTTTTTACACACACACACACACACACACACACACACACACACACACACAACTAGTGACATCATTTTGGTTCTAACAACATTCACACTGGTTATTGTAAAACTTTTCGAAGGTTGTCCTACCAAGGATCCCATGTGTCACCAGGTGTCAAGTTCTACAGTCTGAACTAGGCTGGGAGCATTGTGATTACTTTTCTCCAGACTTTGGTGGCCCAGGGACTCACAGCATCATGCTCTGTCCAGTGTCTGCCTATTCCCCTCTTCTTTTTTTTTTTCCTTAGGTGCCCTTTTATTACATGTGTTGTCTCAGACCCTTCTAATATGTGCTCATAAATACATCATATCATCTCCTTCCCACATCAATTCACTTTCAATTAAAAGCCAAAACTCTTTCATTTAGACTTTGGATTTAAAGTGCTTTTGAATGAAGGGTTGAGAGATAATAGAGAAATAGATTGGCAAACCATTTATACTCTGCTGTTGTTGTTTTTTAATTTTATCTGCAAGTGTGGAACTTTTCATTCTGTTTTGTTATTAAATTTAAGCCAAGACTTTTTAATAGAAGGGTATATAAGCATTTCTTTGTCTATACCTTCCTGCTGAATTTGAAGAAATGCTGAATATTCTTAACCACTGGCGGGCTGATGGACTGTGATTTTATTTTATTTTTTATTTTTAGTTTTTTAAATTATACTTTAAGTTCTGGGTTACATGCATAGAATGTGTAGTTTTGTTACATAGGTATACACGTGCCATGGTGGTTTGCTGCACCCATCAACCTGTCACCTACATTAGGTATTTCTCCTAATGCTATCTCTCCCCTAGCCCCCCACCCAACAACAGGCCCCAGTGTGTGATGTTTCCCTCCCCGTGTCCATGTGTTCTCATTGTTCAACTCCTACTTAGGAGTGAGAACATGTGGTGTTGAGTTTTCTGATCTTGTGATAGTTTGCTGAGAATGATGGTTTCCAGCTTCATCCTTGTCCCTGCAAAGGACATGAACTCATTGTTTTTTTATGGCTGCATAGTATTCCATGGGGTATACGTGGCACATTTTCTTTATCCAGTCTGTCACTGATGGACATTTGGGTTGGTTCCAAGTCTTTGGTATTGTGAATAGTTCTGCAATAAACATATGTGTGCATGTGTCTTTATCATAGAATGATTTATGCTTTGGGTATATGCCCAGTAATGGGATTGCTGGGTCAAATGGTATTTCTAGTTCTAGATCCTTGAGGAATCACCACACTGTCTTCCACAATGGTTGAACTAATTTACACTCCCACCAACAGTGTAAAAGTGTTCCTATTTCTCCACATCCTCTCCAGCATCTGTTGTTTCCTGACTTTTTAATGATCACCATACTACCTGGCATGAGATGGTATCTCATTGTGGTTTTGATTTGCATTTCTCTAATGACCAGTGATGATGAGCATTTTTTCACATGTCTGTTGGCTGCATAGATGTCTTCTTTTGAGAAGTGTCTGTTCATATCCTTTGCCCATTTTTTGATGGGGTTGTTTGCTTTTTTTCTTGTAAATTTGTTTAAGTTCTTTGTAGATTCTGGATGTTAGCCCTTCGTCAGATGGATAGATTGCAAAAATTTTCTCCCATTCTGTAGGTTGCCTGTTTGCTCTGATGATAGTTTCTTTTGCTGTGTAGAAGCTCTTTAGTTTAATCATATCCCATTTGTCAATTTTGGCTTTTGTTGCCATTGCTTTTGGTGTTATATTTATGAAGCCTTTGCCCATGCCTGTGTCCTGAATGGTATTGCCCAGGTTTTCTTCTAGGATTTTTATGGTCCTAGGTCTTACATTTAAGTCTTTAATCCATCTTGAGTTAATTTTTGTATAAGGTGTAAGGAAGGGGTCCAGTTTCAATTTTCTGCATATGGCTAGGCAGTTTCACCAACACCATTTATTAAATAGGAAATCTTTTCCCCATTGCTTTTGTGTGTCAGGTTTGTCAAACATCAGATGGTAGTAGATGCATGGTGTTATTTCTGAGGCCTCTGTTCTGTTCCATTGATCTATATTTCTGTTTTGGTACCTGTACCATGCTGTTTTGGTTACTGTAGCCTTTTAGTATAATTTGAAGTCAGGTAGCGTGATGCCTCCAGTTTTGTTCTTTTTGCTTAGGATTGTCTTGTCTATGTGGGCTCTTTTTTGGTTCCATATGAACTTTAAAGTAGTTTTTTCCAATTCTATGAGGAAAGTCAGTGGTAGCTTGATGGAAATAGCATTGAATCTATAAATTACCTTGGGCAGTATGGCCATTTTCATGATATGGAGTCTTCCTACCCATGAGCATGGAATGTTCTTCCATTTGTTTGTGTCCTCTTTTATTTCATTGAGCAGCGGTTTGTAGTTCTCCTTGAAGAGGAGAACTTCACATCCCTTGTAAGCTGGATTCCTAGATATTTTATTCTCTTTGTAGTAATTGTGAATGGGAGTTCACTCATGATTTGGCTCTCTGTTTGTCTATTATTGGTGTGTAGGAATGCTTGTGATTTTTGTAAATTGATTTTGTATCCTGAGACTTTCCTGAAGTTGCTTATCAGCTTAAGGAGTTTTGGGGCTGAGACGATGGGGTTTCCTAAATATACAATCATGTCATCTGCAAACAGAGACAATTTGACTTCCTCTTTTCCTAATTGAATATCCATTTCTTTCTCTTGCCTGATTGCCCTATTCAGAACTTCCGACACTATGTTGAATAGGAGTGGTGAGAGAGGACATCCTTGTCTTGTGCCGGTTTTCAAAGGGAATGCTTCTAGTTTTTGCCCATTCAGTATGATATTGGCTGTGGGTTTGTCATAAATAGCTCTTACTATTTTGAGATACGTTCCATTGATACCTAGTTTATTCAGAGTTTTTAGCATGAAAGGCTGTTGAATTTTGTCAAAGGCCTTTTCTGCATCTATTGAGGTAATTATGTGGTTTTTGTCATTGGTTCTGTTTATGTGATGGATTACATTTATTGATTTGGTATTTTGAACCCAGCCTTGCATCCCAGGGATGACGCTGACTTGATCCTGGTGGATAAGCTTTTTGATGTTTTGCTGGATTTGATTTGCCAGTATTTTATTGAGGATTTTCGCATCGATATTCTTTAGGGATATTGGACTAAAATTCTCTTTTTTTGTTGTGTCTCTGTCAGGCTTTGGTATCAGGAGATACTGGCCTCATAAAATGAGTTAGGGAGGATTCCCTCCTTTTCTATTGTTCAGAAAAATTTCAGAAGGAATGATAACAGCTCCTCTTTGTATCTCTGGTAGAATTCAGCTGTGAATCCATTTGGTCCTGGACTTTTTTTGGTTGGTAGCCTATTAATAATTGCCTCAATTCAAAACCTATTATTGGTCTATTCAGAGATTCAACTTCTTCCTGGTTTAGTCTTGGGAGGGGGCATGTGTCCAGGAATTTATCTATTTCTTCTAGATTTTCTAGTTTATTTGCATAGAGGTGTTTATAGTATTCTCTGATGGTAATTTGCATTTCTGTGGGATCAGTGGTGATATCCTTTTTATCATTATTTATTGCATCTATTTGATTCTTCTTTTTTCTTTATTAGTCTTGCTAGCAGTCTATCTATTTTGTTGACCTTTTTCAAAAAACCAGCTCCTGGATTCACTGATTTTTTGAAGGGTTTGTTGTGTCTCTATCTCCTTCTGTTCTGCTCTGATCTTAGTTATTTCTTGTCTCCTGCTAGCTTTTGAATTTGTTTACTCTTGCTTCTCTAGTTCTGTTAATTGTGATGTTACTGTGTCAATTTTAGATCTTTCCTGCTTTCTCTAGTGGGCATTTAATGCTATAAATTTCCCTCTACACACTGCTTTAAATGTGTCCCAGAGATTCTGGTACATTGTGCCTTTGTTCTCATTGGTTTCATAGAACATCTTTATTTCTGCCTTCACTTCCTTATTTACCCAGTAGTCATTCAGGAGCAAGTTGTTCAGTTTCCATGTAGTTGTGTGATTTTGAGTCACTTTCTTAATCATGAGTTGTAATTTGATTTCACTGTGGTCTGAGAGACAGTTTGTTGTGATTTCTTTTCTTTTACATTTGCTGAGGAGTATATTACTTCCAATTATGTGGTCAATTTTAGAATAAGTGCGATGTGGTGCTGAGAAGAATGTATATTCTGTTAATTTGGGGTGGAGATTTCTGTAGATGTCTATTAGGTCCTCTTGGTCCAGAGCTGAGTTCAAGTTCTGAATATCCTTGTTAATTTTCTGTCTTGTTGATCTGTCTAATATTGACAGTGGGGTGTTAAAATCTCCCATTATTATTGTGTGGAAATCTTAGTCTCTTTGTAGGTCTCTAAGAACTTGCTTTATGAATCTGGGTGCTCCTGTATTTGGGTGCATATATATTTAGGATATTTAGCTCTTCCTGTTGTATTGATCCCATCACCATTATGTAATGCCCATCTTTGTCTCTTTTGATCTTTGTTGGTTTAATATTCTTTTTAAAATAAAATATTTTAAACATATGAAACATTATGGAGAATGGCATGGGAAATATCCACGTATGCACCACCCAGCTTAACAAATGCTCTACTGTCATTTCTAACCATGGTCTCTTTGAAGAGCTCTTTTGTCTTTCAATGTCTCTTCCTTGTTTGGCCCACATTATCCTTCATCATATGAAGACTTGAGTGGCTCCTGTGTCAGACTCTTGCTGTGTGTCATACCTAATGAACTAGAACCTAAGATTACTGTGTATTGTACAACTAAGGGATTATGTAAAGTCAGGATCAAAGTCTGGCTTCCTGGGTTGGGCTCCAGCTGTAGAATAAGGCTGTTGATGTTTAATCAACTCTGTTTTTTTCACACAGCTTTTATGATGGTCAACAGCCTGTGCTGGCTATCACAGATCCTGACATGATCAAAACAGTGCTAGTGAAAGAATGTTATTCTGTCTTCACAAACCGGAGGGTAAGCATTCATGTGTTGAAATTAAAATACTGATTGATTAAATTTATATTTTGAAATTCTTATATATTCATAGACAGTTGCCTAAAAAATGTCCAGGAAGGTTCCACGTCCACTTCATCCTGTCCCCCCCGAATGGTAACATCTTGCAATCTTGCATAACTATAAATACAGTATATTCATGTTACTATATAGTACAGGAAATTGACATTGATACAGTTCACAGAGCTTATTCAGATTTCACCAGCTTTATGTGCCCTCATTTCTGTTCTATGCAAATTTATCACAATCATAGATTTGTGCAATGACCAGCATGATCAAAACGCAGAACCCATTTGTGTTCTATACAAATTTATCACATCATTAGTAGATTTGTGCAATGACCAGCATGATCAAGATGCAGATCCACTCTGTCTCCATGTGGCTCCCTCCTGCTATCCTACAGTCACAAGTCTTTTTCTCTGACAGGGTCCATATCAGAGCAAACTATTTTTTATTTTGAGGTGATCAATGTATTAATATTTCCTTTTCTGGATTGTACTTTTGGTGCCATGTTTGAAAGTTCTTTGCCTAGCCCTCCTTCCTATATTGCTGTTTTTTTCTAAAAGTCATAAAGTTTAATGCTTTACTAAATGTAGCTCTATTATCAATTTTGTGTTATTTTTTGTATAAGGTATGAGATTTAGATCAAGGTTCATTTTTTTTGTGGCTTATGGCTGTCCAATTCCTCCAACGCCATTTTTGGAAAGATGGGTATATTGTTAAAAATCAACTGGGCATACTTCTTTGCATCTCTCACGTACTACTGTGTCCCATTGATCACTGTGTTTATTATTCCACCAATACCACACTGTGTTGACCCTAGTAGCTGTACACTAACTCTTAACCTCGTGTAGAGTGATTCTTCCCACTTTTATTGACTTATTTTTTCAGATTTGTTTTAACTCTTCCTGGTCCTCTGCTTTTCCATAAAAATTCAGAATGAGTTTCTCAGTGTCTACAAATAAACGTGCTGTTATTTTGACAAGAATTGAATTAAATATATAGACCAGTTTATGGAAAATGTGTATCTTTACTGTTTGATCTTTCAATTCATGAACATAGTATGCCTCTCCATTTCCTTAGATTTTCTTTGATTGCTTTTAACATCTTGTAGTTTTCAGCATAGAGATCCTGTACATGTTTTGTTAGATTTACAGCTAAATTATTTCATTTTTGTTGGAATGACTGTAAATGATATTATGTTTTTCTTGTATTTTCAGATATTGATTGTTGTTACATAGAAATGTGCTTTGATTTTGTGTGTTGATCTGGTATCCTAGAACCTTGCAGAACTGACATAGTAGTTCTAGAAGTCTCTTTGTATATGCCTTGAGATTTTACACATTGTCAGTTATGTCACTTGAAAATAGAGACAATTCTTTTATTTCCTTTCCAATCTGTATGCCTTTTATTTCTTTTCTTTTGTCTATTGCACTAGGACTTCCCAGTATAATGTTGAGTAAATGTGGTGAATTTTTGAATTGTTCCTAATCTTAGGAGGGAAGCCTTCAGTTCTTTCATCATTAAGCATCATTTAGATGAAGTGGGCTGTTTTTTTGTAGATTCTCTTTATCAAATTGAGGAATTTTCTCTCCCTAGTTTGCTGAGTTTTTATCATAAATGAATGCTGGAAGTACTCATTATAAAAAAAATGGCTATGGAAGATGAAAGAAAGTTTCAAGCATGTTGGCTTGATAGGCCAGTTCCAAGTTGGCAAAAATAATTATCTCTTTTTTCTTTCTATCCATGAAATAAAAAATTAAGAGACAAGAATGTTTATGGAATTGCATTATTTCTTCAAAATATGTTCCTAGTTTTAAAGGTATTACCTACTATTTTTTTTAAAACCATCACATTGAGGCACTTCTTTTTCACGTTGCCCATGCTGCAGGAGAACATAAAGACAGCTTGTCTGAGGCAACATACAATCCACCAAAGTCACCTGCTTGTCTGTCTCCACTCCGTCTCTACACTGCAGAAGTGCTAGGTCTTGATTCTGTTTATTGTACTGGAAGAACACATTCTCTACCACGTGGATAATTTGCATGTAAAAGAAGACTGGGATATAGAGGCTGGAGACGACATCAGGGTCTCCTGAACACTGCCGCCACCCCCCCGCCCCGCCCCACACAAATACATCCCAGGACACTGGGCATCTGGGATAAATCTCTATTGAGCATCTAGCATAGGGCCCATCACCCAGTAGACAGTCACTAAATAGTTGTTGAATAAGTGTTCCTGTTTAACACATTTTCTACAACCATGGAGACCTCCACAACTGATGTAGGACAAAATGTTTCTGCTTTGAACTCTAGCCTTTTGGTCCAGTGGGATTTATGAAAAGTGCCATCTCTATAGCTGAGGATGAAGAATGGAAGAGATTACGATCATTGCTGTCTCCAACCTTCACCAGTGGAAAACTCAAGGAGGTATGAAAATAACATGAGTTTTAATAAGAAACTTAAAGAATGAATCTGGTGGGGACAGGTATAAAATAAGATCACAGTCCCTTTCCAAGGGGTAGTCCACTGAATTTGAGCTGCCTAAAAATGGTCTTTTATCTTTATGTACAGAAAACACATCACAAAATTCATTATAAAATGTCACTTACTGCTCCATGCTGGGGAAAGCCATGTCCTTCTGGGACTAGAGTCTGCACATTTAACTATGGGTGGTGTTGTGTTTTGTGCTTAGATGGTCCCTATCATTGCCCAGTATGGAGATGTGTTGGTGAGAAATCTGAGGCGGGAAGCAGAGACAGGCAAGCCTGTCACCTTGAAAGAGTAAGTAGAAGCGCAGCCATGGGGTTCTGAGCTGTCATGAACCCCTCCAGCTGCCTGCCATGGAGCTGATATTCCTGCTGTTGGGTTATTCCAGTGACCAGACAAAAGGAGGGCTGTGGTAATGCAACTTCAATGGGTCTCCCAAGATGGGGCAGCTCCGATGAGGAGGTGGGGCAGCTGGAGGAAAAGGATCTTCTCCCCTGTGCACAGGGGCCAGGGTTTACATATCCATTAAATTGTCACCTTGGATATTCTAGAAGACTAAATATATCCTTTAGGGGGAAAAAGTGTGATTGTACCAAAGTTTTAAGCATGGAGTGTATGGGATGGTGGAAGGGGAAGGCACTTGGTATCTGTTGGTTGGCAGTGAGTAGGTTGGGAGAGTTATAATGGAGAACTTAGAATAACTTTGATCATTTCATGTTTTTTTCTGAGGATATCAGTAGAATACTAAATATTAAAATTCCTACCATTTCTTTTTCCTCCAGTCTCAAAGAGAGAGGGTGGTAAAAACACTATAGGTAGGGCAAGCCTATTATTTGCTATCTACACTTATGCAGTAAAAACAGGTGTAATCTGAGTTTGTCCTGGGCAGACCAGGGATATGTGGTCACTCACTATAGAAATTTCCAAATCAAATTTTGAGAGATTTTTTTTTAACCAGGACATTATTGGTCATTATATTTTACAAAAATAATTCTGCTGTCAGGGCAACCTCAGCTCACCACAGCTGGGGATAGTGGAATTTTCCAAAGCTTGAGCAGGGAGTATAGAGAATAAGGATGATATTTCTAGGAGCTCAGAACAGGGTACTGTTGCTTTGTAAAGTGCTGAAGAGGAATCGGCTCTGGGCATAGAGTCTGCAGTCAGGCAATATCACCTGTCTTGAGCCCCTTAGGAAGAGTTAATTATTCTACTCTTGTTCTGCTGAAGCACAGTGCTTACCCATCTTGTATCATCCACAATCAATACATGCTACTGTAGTTGTCTGATAGTGGGTCTCTGTCTTCCTATGATGGGCTCCTTGATCTCAGAGGTAGGTCTAATTCAGTTCAGTGTCTCCATCACACCCAGCGTAGGGCCAGCTGCATCACTGGCACCTGATAACACCTTCTGATGGAGTGTGATAGAAGGTGATCTAGTAGATCTGAAAGTCTGTGGCTGTTTGTCTGTCTTGACTGGACATGTGGGTTTCCTGTTGCATGCATAGAGGAAGGATGGTAAAAAGGTGCTGATTTTAATTTTCCACATCTTTCTCCACTCAGCGTCTTTGGGGCCTACAGCATGGATGTGATCACTAGCACATCATTTGGAGTGAACATCGACTCTCTCAACAATCCACAAGACCCCTTTGTGGAAAACACCAAGAAGCTTTTAAGATTTGATTTTTTGGATCCATTCTTTCTCTCAATAAGTATGTGGACTACTATTTCCTTTTATTTATCTTGCTCTCTTAAAAATAACTGCTTTATTGAGATATAAATCACCATGTAATTCATCCACTTAAAATATACAGTTCAGTGATTTGTAGTACATTTGAAGATATGTGTGACCATCATCATTTTAAACTTTAAAACTTTTTTTGTCAATCTAGAGACCTCATACATTTTTAGCTATCAGCCCCCTGTCACAAACCCTGTCATCATATGCAACCACTAATCAACTTTCTGCTTCTATGGATTTGCCTATTCTGGACACTTCATAGAAATGATATTAATTCATCAGGGTTTTTTATTCTCTAGTTCATGAATTTGTACTTTAGTCTGTATCATTTTCTTTCTTCTGCTGGCTTCAGGCTTAGTTTGCCCTTCTTCGTTTACTATGTTGTGGCATGAACATAGATTACTGATTTGTGATTTTTTTGTTCCTCTAAATTTAGACATTACAGCTGTAACTTTCCCTCTGAGCACTTCCTTTGCTAAATCCCATGAGATTGTGGTCTATCACATCTTAGTTTTTGTTCACCTCAAAACAGTTTCTATTTGCCCTTTTGGTTTCTACTTTGACTCATTGGTTACTTAAATGTTTATTATTTAACTTCCACATATGTGTGAGTTTCTCAATTTTCTTTCCCTTATTGATTTTATCTTTATTCCATGATAGGTGACAGAGATATGCTGTGTTATTTCTATCTTGACTACCTACTATTTCTTGAACAGCAAGATTAATTTTGAGCTTCAGATTATGATTTGGGTTATTCTAGGAGACTGTAGTCCAATAGATAAAGGCAAAGAGATTAGGGCATTGAATTTTGTTCCTTTTATCCTTCAAAAGATGCACAAGGGGCTGCTGATCTCACTGCTGTAGCGGTGCTCCTTATGCATAGACCTGCCCTTGCTCAGCCACTGGCCTGAAAGAGGGGCAAAAGTCATAGAAGGAATGGCTTCCAGTTGAGAACCTTGATGTCTTTTACTCTTCTGGTTGGTAGAGAAAACTAGAATTGCTCCAGGTAAATTTTGCACATTCACAATGAATTTCTTTTTCTGTTTTTGTTTTGTTTTTCCTACAGCAGTCTTTCCATTCCTCATCCCAATTCTTGAAGTATTAAATATCTGTGTGTTTCCAAGAGAAGTTACAAATTTTTTAAGAAAATCTGTAAAAAGGATGAAAGAAAGTCGCCTCGAAGATACACAAAAGGTAAAATGTGGTGGTAGTTATAGGAGGATGTTTAGTTTTTCATAATTTTTTAGATAATATACATATGATCAGTGCAGTTACCTGTATGTTTTTAAAGAATGCTTTTAACATGAAGACTGCTCATGTTTAGAGCAAGAGAATTCATTTGGTAGAAATGCAGAAAGTGGGGTTTGGGGAAGGAGATATGAGAATGAGTCAGAGACAGCACATGAAATTTGATATCAGACACAACAATTAGTATGCCACGGCATAAATTTTATTGAGATAAAACTTTACCACTTTACTTCCCTTCAATAAATTGTCAGAGGATAAACATTACTGTTTGGAAATATATTTTACTGATATTATGCTTTCCCCAGATCATAAATTGGTAAAGACTCATTTCAAGTACAAACCTGTTATTTTACACATTCTCAAATGAAAGTCCCTATCAGGCCACCTGCTGAAGTGTAGCGTGTGTTAAATTTGAGCCATCTCACATGATAGCCAGATTTGTTTCAGGAAAACATCCTGCTTTCCAAGGATTTAGAAGGGTATGTTTTTCACTGGTGATTCAGGCAACATGCATCAGATTTCTGGTCTTCAAGGAGCCATATTCTCAGAAGGGAGATCAAGGACCACGCTTGTGATTTACTTCTGACTTCAGGAGCCACTTTCTGTCAGTGAAATTTCTCTTTTTGCTTCTAGCACCGAGTGGATTTCCTTCAGCTGATGATTGACTCTCAGAATTCAAAAGAAACTGAGTCCCACAAAGGTAACCAGAGTGTTTCTGAGGGCTACTTGTGGGGCACTCAGAGGGAAGGCCTTGTTCTGAAAATGTGCAGGAAGTATTCCAGGATGATGAGAATTTCTGCCACATAGCAGAACGACACATGTTTGAATGTTATAAGTGGTAGTTGGAGGCACTTTCTAGAGGCATGCAGGCATAGATAGCCATGTTCTAAGAGTAAAGGGCAACCCTAAGCAAACCTGGCATGCTAGAAAGTCAGTCTGCGGTCTGTGGATCACCTACATCAGATCAAATGCCAATTCTCAGCCTCCTTCAGATCCACTGAATAAAAATTTCTGCCTAGAAATTTATTAGGTTGCTGCAAAATTAATTGTGGGTTTTTCCATTACTTTTAATTGCAAAAAAATGCAATTAAAAGTAATGGCAAAAACCACAATAACTTTTGCAGCTACCTAATACATCTAACATCCAATCAGGAGCCACGCTGTTCCAAAAGGGGTGATTTTAACTGGCAGTACTTGTTGAAAGTGTGTTCACCAGGTTAATCTACTGCAAAGTTATTTTCCACTTTGGAATGGATTAGTAACTTGTGGGGAAAACCTCTGAGACCGTGTAAATATCCTCTTTGTCTTCAATGTTTCACCTACGAGTTTTACAACCCATGTATGTTTTTTACTGAAGTCACTATTACTATGACAGTGGCAAAATGATGACCATGGTCAATTACAAGCCACCAAGACTTGGCAACCATCTCACAAAATTCCTGAATATTTAACTATTGGTTCTAGAGAGCAGGACTGGGCTTACTCCAGCATACTGCTTTAAATATATCCATGTCTACATCCACTTTTGTCTGTATGTCTATGTATCTATCTATGTATCTATCTAGCTATGTATCTATCTATCTATCTATCATCTATCTATCTATCATCTATCCATCTATCATCTATCATTTATCCATCTATCATCTATCTACTTATATATTATCTATCTATCATCTAACTATTCATCTATCTATCCCAATATAACTTGCTGTGATAAAGGAAATAGTCTATTGTTTTACTGTTTCATATAGAAATCACTAGACACATATGGCTATTGAGCACTGGATATGTGGCTAGTGCCATTGAAGATCAATTTTAAATGGTATTTCAGTTTAATTTAATAAAATTTGATTTTAAATAGCCACTAGTGGGTAGTGGCTACCATATTGGACAGCAGAGCTCTAAACTTTGAGATTATAGTTCAATTTCACATCAGTATCATCAGGTTCATGATAACTGAATACTATGATTAGGTAGTTGAATTTACTTATAACTGCATCACAGAAGTCTTCACTGGTAAATCACAGCTCTGTCGACCTTTCTCACACTCCTTTCATATTGGTTTTGGTTGTGAATTACATGGTTGGAGCAGGCATTATATTTATTTCTATGTTCCAGGTCTCTAAAGGTCCTAATCCAGTCCTGATCAAACAGACCAGTGATGGACCATCCTGAGCTTCTCTCAGGAGAAAAATCAAGAGGGGCCCAACTTGTAATCATAGGAGCTTATGCTATTTTAATGCCATCCATCAGACTACAATCAATTACCACTCATCTAGCTTTTTGTCCATCTCTCATTCTTGTACATCCTGAGATAGTCAATTCTGAGAACTGTAGCCTAGATCTATCACCTGATGCCTCTCAAAGATATAATCCGTGCTTCTCAAGCTAGGCTATGCACACAAATCACTGCATCTTGTGAAAGTTCAGATTTTGAATCAGTAGTTCAAGGGTGGGGTTTGAGATTTTGCATTTCTAATGAGCTCTCAGATGCTTCTGACCCATGGACCACACTTTGAATACCAAGAAGTGGTCTGTAGACCAATATTGGTCCCTTAAGTTCCCTCAAACATATCTTCGGGAAACGTCCTTTGATTTTCCCTACATTTAACCATTAGTGTTGCAAATTCTCTCAAAGTTTGTCAAGATATATTGTAGCTAAAATAAATTACATTTTTCTTGGGGGAGAGTACTACCTCATATTAACTTACAATAAAGTACTTTTAGGATCATTCAAGGAACACACCCATAACACTGAGTATGTTATGCGGAAATGCTCTCTCTGGAAATTACACAGCTGTGCAGGTGGCGGGGGTGGCATGAGGAGGAGTGGATGGCCCACATTCTCGAAGACCTTGGGGAAAACTGGATTAAAATGATTTGCCTTATTCTGGTTCTGTAAGATACACATCAGAATGAAACCACCCCCAGTGTACCTCTGAATTGCTTTTCTATTCTTTTCCCTTAGGGATTTGAGGGCTTCACTTAGATTTCTCTTCATCTAAACTGTGATGCCCTACATTGATCTGATTTACCTAAAATGTCTTTCCTCTCCTTTCAGCTCTGTCCGATCTGGAGCTCGTGGCCCAATCAATTATCTTTATTTTTGCTGGCTATGAAACCACGAGCAGTGTTCTCTCCTTCATTATGTATGAACTGGCCACTCACCCTGATGTCCAGCAGAAACTGCAGGAGGAAATTGATGCAGTTTTACCCAATAAGGTGAGTGGATGGTACATGGAGAAGGAGGGAGGAGGTGAAACCTTAGCAAAAATGCCTCCTCACCACTTCCCAGGAGAATTTTTATAAAAAGCATAATCACTGATTCTTTCACTGACTCTATGTAGGAAGGCTCTGAAAAGAAAAAGAAAGAAACATAGCAAATGGTTGCTACTGGCAGAAGCGTAAGATCTTTGTAAAACGTGCTGGCTCTGGTTCATCTGCTTTCTATTACTACAATAATGCTAAGTAAAAAACCTCCAAAAACCTCAGTGGCATCTAACAATAAGCATTTGTTGCTCACACTCATTTCACATTGGTTTTGGTTGTGAATTACATGTTTGCAGCAGGCACCATAGTGGTGTGTGATGTCCCCTTAGCTGTATCCACATATGGACACAGGAATTTGCTCTTTTTATCTCTTTTTATTTTCTTGGTTACAGACATGTGACTTTTTTTTTTGAAAGGTAACAATCACTTTCTCATATGTTATTTGATGCTAGTGGTCATAGCCTATTAGTCACATTTGTTTCAATGAGAAAGAAAAACCAGTACACGGTTATGCTAAGGATTTCAGTCCCTGGGGTGAGAGCCGTCTCGAATGTCTCCCCACTTCATAACTCCTCCACACATCATAGTTGGATAGTGAGCTCTGCTGATATTGGCAGGACTTGCTCTGGTCTGGCTGTAGTCTGACGGAGCCTGGCCCTGGGTGTGCTGTGCAGGCTGACTCAGCTCTCCCCACACCTATCTCATGTTCCAGTCAGGCAGTAACTGGTGAAGAAGCCAAGCTAGGAACCAGGATATCTGGCTCCTGAGCTAAAGTCTTAAAACACTATCATATTGCCTTCCAAATATAACACCAAATACTAGGTGCATATCACCCACACTGTTTTCAGACCTCTGCCAAAATTGGGATTCTTTGTGGTATGAAGAGACACGGCTTTGGGGCTGGCCCGGCTGTGGCAGTGAGGTGAACACAAAGGGATGTTCTTCAGAGATTACAGTCCAGCCCTGAAGCAACAACTAGGAGACTGTTTCAGCAAGTGAGGACAGGGCTGTGTGGGGTTCTATCCTCTTTATAACTTCCACTAGCACTGAAATCGTGTTCTCTGGTTACATCCAACCAGAACCTTCTTTGTCATTTTTGGGATAGAAAGGGACTAGTTTATCCTCAAATTATTTATGGAGATTTTATATAATATAGTGTTTCTCTCCACATTTTCTGTATATAACAAAAGTCCTCCTTTTAGTGTGTGTATACACATATATATACACATATATATGTGTGTGTGTATGTGTGTGTGTATATATATATAGACATATATACACGGTTATGCTAAGGATTTCAGTCCCTGGGGTGAGAGCCTTCCCGAATGCTTCCCACCTTCATAACTCCTCCACACATCTCAGTGGGCCACTGAGCACAGCAATGGGCATGACAGTTATTAAAACACTTTATAAATGCTTCGATCCTTTACCAGTATGAGTTAGTCTCTGGAGCTCCTAATACTTCATTAGTACTGCATGGACTGAGTTAAAAGTTAATTCAAAATCTCAATTTATCCAAATCTGTTTCGTTCTTTCCAGGCACCACCCACCTATGATACTGTGCTACAGATGGAGTATCTTGACATGGTGGTGAATGAAACGCTCAGATTATTCCCAATTGCTATGAGACTTGAGAGGGTCTGCAAAAAAGATGTTGAGATCAATGGGATGTTCATTCCCAAAGGGGTGGTGGTGATGATTCCAAGCTATGCTCTTCACCGTGACCCAAAGTACTGGACAGAGCCTGAGAAGTTCCTCCCTGAAAGGTACAAGGCCCCTGGGAAGGGAGCCCTCCCTGAACCAGCCTGGTTCAAGCATATTCTGCCTCTCTTAATCTACAGGACAGTCATGTGGTTGTATAATTATTTGCTTGTATTTTTATATTTAGAGATTTTTTTAATCATCAAATTGATTATTGTCACACTTTACAAACCATAGACTAGAAAAAAGAAAACTACAGTCATCCACAATTCCAACAACTTACGATGAAGGTCATCAGTTATGTCCTTATGGGTCATCAGTGTCCAAAATGTAAGGACTCTTTTAAAAACACATGATCACAATGCTATTATTATGTCCCCCAAATGAATATTTTTTTCATAAATATAATCAAATATTTAGGAATAACATTTTAATAAAAAACATGCATCTAATCTTCAAAGAATTTTATAGCTTACTGGAACAGATAGACAAAGAAAGCAGTGATGATACTGCATTACATCGGTACAGTAGCATCATATGCCTGTGTAAATTATCTGACTTCAACTATTCTATGGAGGTGTGGGGGAGAAAGAGGGAGAGATGGAGAGAAGAAGAAGGAGGAGAAGGAGGGAGAAGACAAGGTAAGGAGGAGAAGGAGGAGAATTAGAAAAACAAGAGAGGAGATGAGAAGGAAAGTGCAAAATAACAATTTTGAAATAGTACAAGACAATTTCCCCTTCTCCTTCCTCATGACCAATGTAAGTGTGACTTGAGGCAGGAACCTACTTTTCCATCAGTCAGTCCCATCACTTATGTGCCTTTTATAGTGTGGACACATCACCACCCTGAATATAATTTCAGTGTTTAGAAATAAGTATTCTTTGCAACACTATTTATCTCATCTCAACAAGACTGAAAGCTCCTATAGTGTCAGGAGAGTAGAAAGGATCTGTAGCTTACAATTCTCATAGCAAAATAAGCATAGCAGGATTTCAATGACCAGCCCACAAAAGTATCCTGTGTACTACTAGTTGAGGGGTGGCCCCTAAGTAAGAAACCCTAACATGTAACTCTTAGGGGTATTATGTCATTAACTTTTTAAAAATCTACCAACGTGGAACCAGATTCAGCAAGAAGAACAAGGACAACATAGATCCTTACATATACACACCCTTTGGAAGTGGACCCAGAAACTGCATTGGCATGAGGTTTGCTCTCATGAACATGAAACTTGCTCTAATCAGAGTCCTTCAGAACTTCTCCTTCAAACCTTGTAAAGAAACACAGGTTAGTCAATTTTCTATAAAAATAATGTTGTATTAATAATTCTTTTAACTGAGTGGTCTGTATTTTTTAAAAAGAATATGCTTGTTTAATCTTTTACTAATTTGTTCTCTGGGCCAAAGAATCAATTAGGCCCATCTGTGATCTTTAAGGGTGCTTCAGTTCTGGAGTTCAAAAGCTGTAGCATCAAAAACATCATGTAAAGCCCATGTAGATTAGCATGGCATAATTATCTGCAGTCTCCTTGAACTTGAGCAAAGTTTACATTCAGTTTCAAGTCGATTGGAAAGATGGGGAAGTATTTTGCACAGTCATGAAGTGTAATGATTACCTTGTTGTGACTTTTGAATGCTGCTCTTCCCAACCAGAACTTGGAGAAGCTTTCTCATGAGAGTGGCTCCCAACCACTAGCTGTACATTGGAATCACCAGGGAGCTTTAAAAATTCATGATGTCTGGGATATCACAGAAATTCTAAACTAATTTGCCCAGAGTGTGGCTTTAAAAGCTTCCCCATTGCTTCTCATGTGAAGCCAAGGTTGAGAATGACTAATTTAAGGCATTTCTGGTGGATATAAAGGACTACCACAGTCCAAGGCCATCCTGACTGACCTCACCTTCCAGGTGCCTAGCTCCATCCAGCTGGGCTCCTTTTCAACCCAATTATAACTCTATTAATGTTGTTCCCAGCCAGGCATGGTGGCTCATGCCTGTAATCCCAGCACTTTGGGAGGCCGAAGCAGGCGGATCATGAGGTCAGGAGATCGAGACCATCCTGGCTAACACGGTGAAACCCCGTCTCTACTAAAAATACAAAAAATTACCCTGGAGAGGTGGCAGGCACCTGTAGTCCCAGCTACTCTGGAGGCTGAGGCAGGAGAATGGCATGAACCCCAGGGAGCGGAGCCTGCAGTGAGCCGAGATTGGGCCACTGCACTCCAGCCTGGGTGACAGCGAGACTCTGTCTCAAAAAAAAAAAAATGTTGTTCCCTTTCTCCTCATTTTGTTCTTATCTTTCAAGTCCTAGTTCAATCCCCAAGCCCCTCCAAAGTGTCTTCTCCTCCTAGTCCAGGGCCCATTTACTTCTCTGCTCTGTTATTGGATACTGGAGGCTATTATCATAAATTTGACAATTTGCCATTAAATCATTGAGTTTTATTCTCTATATTTTCTTTGTATCTAAAATGTCTTCCCCCCTCCATTAACAATATCCTCTCATTTTATTCCTTTTTAAAATATCCCAGTGGTGCCTTGCAAGGGACTGTATCTAATGCAAGCATTTGGTAAATGTTTAAGGAGTGATGTGCAGTTGATGGCTTGCATACATATATTAAGCTATTTAATGTGAACCTTTAAACAAATGCCATTCGTGCATATGCATGTGTGTGTGTGTGTGTGCACATGTGGGCATGCATGTCTGTCTGCAGTGAAAATATATTCAGGGTTTTTGAAAATTTTTAAATAATAAGGTATTATATTTATAGAAAGATTTGAAATATTTTCTCTGAAGAAGTTAAAGAACAGACGTCATTGATTCATATTAAACAATACCCTATAAATCTTATTTCTAGGTCTCATGTATTTATTATTCAATTCCACCCCTTAAGTAGGCTTTCTATATAGGAGAGGAAGAAGACAGAAATAGTTTCCATATTATTTCCATATTCCATATTATTTGTGGCTTTAGGCCAGCAGTGTAGCTGTATTATATGTGCCCAGACAGGGGACTCAGCCCTGAATAAAAGTGGTCCTCTGGCACACCTGGGATGGGGAAGGTACTCCTTGGTAAGCTCCCAACCTGGCACTTCTTGATCTCCCTGGCAATTTTCTTGCCCATTACTCCATGGAGATCAGAATATCACTCTGTTGTGTCCCCTCAACACGGAAGGAGTGTCTCAATAAGAATGGGGCTAAAAGTTGAGTCCAAACACTGTAGGAATTGAGAGGTTCCCCACTTGCACTACCCTTGGAAGCCAAGAGAAGATGTTAAAAAATAAAATG
The DNA here is from genome assembly GCF_000001405.40 of Homo sapiens. Lineage (NCBI taxonomy): Eukaryota > Metazoa > Chordata > Mammalia > Primates > Hominidae > Homo > Homo sapiens. Next base: position 99,758,821 of record NC_000007.14, on the reverse strand, counting down.
GTAATGCTTCCTGAAGGTGTCTTCCCATCTTTACACTGGATGGGTTCAATTGGGAGGAATTACTGGACTCTGGAAGTTGAAGACTGTCCATATAATTAAAATGTACAATAACTACCCAGGTTTACCTTGCAAGTTTCAACATACACAAAATTAACTTTATATGACTCTTCAAAAACAGTTTGCCATCATACCTAATAATCTGGTTTAAATTTTAAAAACTCATCCATTTTACTTAAAATTTAAATCAAAAAAGAACACAGGTTTCCATGAATTTGTCTCAGGCCTGGCACAGAATAGTACTCCATAAATATTTTGTTAAATGATAGATGATGAATGCTCTCACTGTCCAATCTTCACACATCTTATAGACTAAGTATAAAGAATCCAAGATTTATAGTGCTGAAAGTAGTTTTTATATGTTTACAAAGCATTATTGTCATTACTGCATTTTTTTTGCCCATTACTCCATAGAGATCAGAATATCACTCTGTTGTGTCCCCTCAACACTGAAGGAGTGTCTCACTCACTTTGATGCTATACTTTCTACTTTTGTTTATTTAATGCTTCTCAATATGCTTGTTTAACTGTTGCAGATCCCCCTGAAATTAAGCTTAGGAGGACTTCTTCAACCAGAAAAACCCGTTGTTCTAAAGGTTGAGTCAAGGGATGGCACCGTAAGTGGAGCCTGAATTTTCCTAAGGACTTCTGCTTTGCTCTTCAAGAAATCTGTGCCTGAGAACACCAGAGACCTCAAATTACTTTGTGAATAGAACTCTGAAATGAAGATGGGCTTCATCCAATGGACTGCATAAATAACCGGGGATTCTGTACATGCATTGAGCTCTCTCATTGTCTGTGTAGAGTGTTATACTTGGGAATATAAAGGAGGTGACCAAATCAGTGTGAGGAGGTAGATTTGGCTCCTCTGCTTCTCACGGGACTATTTCCACCACCCCCAGTTAGCACCATTAACTCCTCCTGAGCTCTGATAAGAGAATCAACATTTCTCAATAATTTCCTCCACAAATTATTAATGAAAATAAGAATTATTTTGATGGCTCTAACAATGACATTTATATCACATGTTTTCTCTGGAGTATTCTATAAGTTTTATGTTAAATCAATAAAGACCACTTTACAAAAGTATTATCAGATGCTTTCCTGCACATTAAGGAGAAATCTATAGAACTGAATGAGAACCAACAAGTAAATATTTTTGGTCATTGTAATCACTGTTGGCGTGGGGCCTTTGTCAGAACTAGAATTTGATTATTAACATAGGTGAAAGTTAATCCACTGTGACTTTGCCCATTGTTTAGAAAGAATATTCATAGTTTAATTATGCCTTTTTTGATCAGGCACAGTGGCTCACGCCTGTAATCCTAGCAGTTTGGGAGGCTGAGCCGGGTGGATCGCCTGAGGTCAGGAGTTCAAGACAAGCCTGGCCTACATGGTTGAAACCCCATCTCTACTAAAAATACACAAATTAGCTAGGCATGGTGGACTCGCCTGTAATCTCACTACACAGGAGGCTGAGGCAGGAGAATCACTTGAACCTGGGAGGCGGATGTTGAAGTGAGCTGAGATTGCACCACTGCACTCCAGTCTGGGTGAGAGTGAGACTCAGTCTTAAAAAAATATGCCTTTTTGAAGCACGTACATTTTGTAACAAAGAACTGAAGCTCTTATTATATTATTAGTTTTGATTTAATGTTTTCAGCCCATCTCCTTTCATATTTCTGGGAGACAGAAAACATGTTTCCCTACACCTCTTGCATTCCATCCTCAACACCCAACTGTCTCGATGCAATGAACACTTAATAAAAAACAGTCGATTGGTCAATTGATTGAGCAATAAGCCTAAAAGCACTCATTCCTTTTCTTTTCCAAATTCTTCCTTTATTTTCCCTTCCTGAATAATTTAGTCCTAAAGCCATTAGGTGGGTGGCAGCCAGATGGTGGCCACACATTAAGGTAGAGAAGAGAGAGTCATGGTGGCTCCAAGTCAGAGACCAAGGAGGTTCATGTGGAGAGACATCCTGGCCTGGGTGTGGGAGTCCAAGCAAGCAGAGAAGGGGTCGACGCAGAGGGGTGGCTTGCAAGAGCAGCCAGAGCCTAAATAGGGTATGGAGAACCCACATGAGGCGAGGAGGGCATCCATGAGTGGGAGGGGTTGGGTGAGGTTTGGCTACATAAAGGGGATTGATCAAATAAGTAAATGTATTAAGGATGATAGAAGCCAGGCTTCTCACCTTTGCAGAAGGGAGTCATGGATTCAGAAAGGGAGAAAACTAGCATGAATCCTATGAAATTAGATTGGAATGGATGTAACCGTGTATATTCATACCCTTGTAGATAGATAGATGGGTAGATAGATGATAGATAGGTAACAGATAGATGACAGATAATGAGATAGATAGATGTAAATGTATGTCTGTATTTGTGTGTGTGTACAAAAAACATATATTCCCTACTTCTCTCCACTGATAGGGCTAGGTAACAATGACATTTCAATAGCAATGAACACACTTAGTGCCCCGATCTTGGCTTATGAATACCATTTTCCACTGAAGGGAACCAGAGCTCTTTAGAGAAATGGCTGATGCCAGGGCAAGAATTAAGAATGTTCAAGATAAGTTTAGGACACATTTTGTGCCAGGAAGCAAGAAAATTTTCAAATAATTTCCAAGTAATCTTTGGAAATGATACTTGAAAATGACTTCCAAATGACATTTCCAAATGACTTGCAAACGATTTCCAAATGATATTTGGAAAAACCTAAAGACTCCATCAAAGAACTATTGGAACTGATAAACACATTCAGTAAAGTTGCAGGATACAAAATCAGCATACAAAAATCAGTAGCATTTCTATATGCCAATAGTGAACAATCTGGCAAAAATAAAAAAGTAATCCCATTTACAATAGCCACAAATAAAACTAAATACCTAGAAATTAACTTAATCAAAGAAGAGAAAGGTCTCTACAATGAATACTGTAAAACATTGATGAAAGGAATTGAAGACACAAAAAAGGATATTTCATGTTTATATATTGTGAGAATCAACATTGTTAAAAATGTCCACACTACTCAAAGCAATGTACAGATTCAATGCAATCCCTCAAAATACCAATGACATTCTTCAAATAAATAGAAAAAAATCCCATAATTTGTATGGAACCACAAAAGACCCATAATAGCCAAAGCTATCTTCAGCAAAAAGAACAAAACTGGAGGAATCATGTTACCTGACTTCAAATTATACTACAGAGGTACAGTAACCAAAACAGCATGGTTCTTGTATAAAAACAGACACATAGACCAATGAAATAGAAAAGAGAACCCAGAAACAAATGCAAACACCTACAGTGAACTCATTTTTGACACTGCTACCAAGAACATACCCTGGGGAACAGAACATCTCTTCAATAAATGGTGCTGGGAAAGCTGGATATCAATATGCAGAAGAATGAAACTAGACACCTATATCTCACCAGACACAAAAATCAAATCAAGGTGGATTAAAGGCTGAAATCTGGCTGAGCAGGGTGACTCATGACTGTAATCTCAGTACTTTGCAGAACTTTGAGAGGTCAAGGTGGGCAGATCACTTGAGGTCAGGAGTTCGAGACCAGCCTGGCCAACATAGTGAAACCCCATCTCTACCAAAAAATACACAAGTTAGCTGGGCATGGTGGTGCATTCCTGTAGTCCCAGCTAGTCCAGAAGCTAAGGTGGGAGAATCATTTGGACCTGGGAGGTGGAGGCTGCAGTGGGCCGAGATCATTCCAATGCACCTCATCCTGGGCAACAGAGTGAGACAGACTGAAGTCTAAGACCTCAAGCTATGAAGCTGCTACAAGAAAACATTGTGGAAACTCTTCAGGACATTGGTCTGGGCAAAAATTTCTGAAGTAATACCCCACAAGCACAGGCAACCAAAGCAAAAATGGACAAATGGAATCACATCAAGTTAAAAAGCTTCCGTGCCGCAAAAAAAGTAATCAACAAAGTGAAGACACAAACCACAGAATGGGAGAAAATACTTTCAAACTAACATTCTGACAACAGATTAATAGCCAGAATATATAAAGAGCTCAAACAACTCTGTAGGAAACAATCTAATAATCCAATCAAAAAATGGGCAAAAGATTTGAATAGATATTTCTCTCTCTCTTTTTTTTAATTTTGAGACGGAGTCTCTCTCTGTCGCCCAGGCTGGAGTGCAGTGGCACTATCTCGGCTCACTGTAAGCTCCTCCTCCTGGGTTCATGTCATTCTCCTGCCTCAGCCTCCCGAGTAGCTGGGACTACAGGTGCCCGCCACCATGCCTGGCTAATTTTTTTGTATTTTTAGTAGAGACGGGGTTTCACTGTGTTAGCCAGGATGGTCTCGATCTCCTGACCTCGTGATCCACCCGCCTTGGCCTCCCAAAGTGCTAGGATTACAGGCGTGAGCCACCGCGCCCGGCCTGAATAGACATTTCTCAAAAGAAGACAGACAAATGCCACATAGGCATATGATAAGGTGCTCAACATCATTGATCATTAGAGAAATGAAATAAAAAACTATAGTGAGATAGCATCTCACCCCAGCTAAAATGGCTTTTATCCAAAAGACAGGCAATAATAAATGCCAGCAAGAATGTGGAGAAAAGGAAACCCTTGTACACTGTTGGTGTAAATTAGTATAACCACTATAGAGAACAGTTTGGAGGTTCCTCAAAAAATTAAAAGAAAGCTACCATAAGATCCAGAAATCACAGTGCTTCGGTATATACCTGAAAGAACGGATATCCGTATACTGAAGAGATATCTTCACGCTCATGTTCACAATAGCCACTACTCACAAATGCTAAGATGTGGAAGCAACCTAAGTGTCCATCAACAGATGAATGGATAAAGAAAGTGCTCCACTTATACACAATGGAGTACAATTCAGATACGAAAAAAGCATGAGATCTTGTTATCTGTAATAACATGGATGGAACTGGAGGTCATCATGTTAAGTGAAATAAGCCAGGCACAGAAAGACAGACATTGCATGTTCTCACTTATTTGCAGGATCTACAAATCAAAACAATTGAGCTAATGTCTGGGTCTTAGTCAATTTTGTACCCTAAGTACTGTGAGCACAGCTTTTAAAATACATGATGAATGCTTTAATACAGGAATGAATAGATAAGAGGCACAGGGTGCCTCTGGGTGTTCTTCTGATACATAGTATCTTCCTTGACACATTCAGTACAACTCTCAGCAGGTAAGTCTCTTCATGTTATGTTACCTTCTGAGGAATTAGGTGGCAGAACATGCCTTCTACTATTTTCCTTTGCAGAACAAGACCAGTTGCATTAGTTGGGACACAGTGCTGGCTACATTTGAGTCCCAAGCAACGATTAGTCTATTGCTGAGAGTAATTAGTCTATTTCTACAGACTTAGAGGGGATGACACACAGGGGCCCAGCAATCTCACCCAAGTCAACTCTGCCAACCTTTCTGGTCACCCACCATGTGTACAGTACCTTGCTAGGGTCCAGGGTCATGAAAGTAAGTAATACCAGACTGTGCCCTTGAGGAGCTCACCTCTGCTAAGGGAAACGGGCACAGAAACCCACAATGGTGCTAGAGAGGAAAGAGGACAATAGGACTTTGTGAGGGGATAGGAGGCACCCAGAGGAAGCAATGGTTACATCTGTGTGAGGAGGTTGGTAAGGTAAGACTTTAACAGAAGGGGTCTGTCTGTCTGGGCTTGGAAGGATGTGTAGGAGTCATCGAGGGGGCACAGGTACACTCCAGGCAGAGGGAATTGCATGGGTAAAGATCTGTAGGTATGGCTTGTGGGGATGGATTTCAAGTATTCTGGAATAAGGACAGCCATGGAAACAAGGACAGGTGAGAGGAGATTTAACAGATTTCATGCCAACATGGCACATGTATACATATGTAACAAACCTGCACATTTTGCACATGTACCCTAAAACTTAAAGTATAATAATAATAAAATTAAAAAAAAATAGAGTTCATACCAATGGCCCCACTTCAGTTTCTGATAAGAACTCAGATTCCTTGGACTCCCTGATAACACTGATTAAGTTGTTTATGATTCCTCATAGAACATGAACTCAAAGGAGGTCATCAAAGGGGTGTGTGTGATTCTTTGCTACTGGCTGCAGCTGCAGCCCCGCCTCCTTCTCCAGCACATAAACATTTCAGCAGCTTGTCCTAAGACTGCTGTGCAGGGCAGGGAAGCTCCAGGCAGACAGCCCAGCAAACAGCAGCACACAGCTGAAAGTAAGACTCAGAGAAGACAGTTGAGGAAGGAAAGTGGCAACGGACCTCATCCCAAATTTGGCGGTGGAAACCTGGCTTCTCCTTGCTGTCAGCCTGGTGCTCCACTATCTGTCAGTAACTGTCCAGATTCCTCTCCTCTGTTAACTTGGACTTGGGGTGCTCTCAGGCCCCTGCTCCCTTATCTGTTTTGAAGATCAAAAGAGATGTTCAAGGAGGAGTAGATTAATTGTTGGATGCTACAAACACATAAAGGTTATTATTGATCTTATGCAGATTTATGAATAAATAAATAAGCATTTGTCCCAGCTACCTTCTCATTTTGGTAACTAGGAGGGTTTAGGGACAGCATTTGGTAGTGGGAATGATCTGATTAGGTTAGATTTGACCTATACTAATCAACAAAAACCCAGCAAAGGCAGATTACAAACTGCTGAACACGATGGGGAGTGTGATCCTCATCCCCTTCCCAGGTTCTCAGGATTCTGGGGACAGGAGGGAGCAGCTTGGGTTTTTGTCTCATTACCTTCATTTTCTGGGTTCTCTGTCTGCTGGAAGAGATGTGTAGAAGTTTGTCCCCTGTGGACCTGGTGGTTCCTGCTCCCCCAACTTCCACCCCAGGATATCATTTACATAACGCACCGGGGAACACCAAGACTTCACGGGAAGCTGTCCCCCGGCTCTTCCCTCTTTCCTGTGCCATGTCCCAAAACATCCCCTCCCACCTATGACTCACTCCTCCACCCTGTCATACACAGAACTATTTACCTTGCAATGATTAATCTCCAGAGCAAAGGAGACTTGGAGGAAGTTTTGAAGATTTATTCTTTGCTTTAATCTTTTTCCTCCCGTCTCTGGGAGGCTAGCATTAATATAGAGCTTTGTTTCTCACCTAATGGGAATCTGCTAGCAGCCTGAAAAGGCAGGAGCTGTGAAAGCCAATTTGGATTTTACACATTTTTTCCCCTTTGTGTTACAGTAAAGGAGGATGAACCCTCTCACTGGTGGGATTCCTGGCATCCTAGAGCAGGTGGAGAGAAGAGTTACTTCCCACTGTGGGTAGTGGAGGCTCCACCTGTTCCATTAACTTCTACCTCAATTTGACTTTTATTAAGAGCAGGGAACCACAATGACATGAAAATAGACACTATAAAACTAATTTTAATTCTTTCACAGAAAGCTTAGGAATTCAGTGAATAGTGGCAACATAGTTTCCATTTTCTAACATTTTAAAATAAATTGATATGGTTTAAATTCATTCATTTTTAAACCAGAATTTTTTGGAGATAGACTATTTCCAGCATGTTCCTTCTGGATGATAAAAGAGGGCTGTTAGTTCAGTATTTGTGACAATAAATGTGTGTAAAATAACATCACCTTTCCAGAATAATATCAGGAATATGAGTCTAATACATGAATGTATATCTCTAAGACAAGACTGCATATGTCTTTTTAAATATACATGCCTGACAGTTTATTGTAATACCTCCTTTTTGAATATACCTGCTTAGCAGGCTACCTTAAACTCTCAGGCAGGGGAGTAAGCAATACTGTGAGCTAGTGATGATAGCAAAGGCATCCAGATAGGATCTGCATGAAGTGAGAAAATATTCCTCAGCTCTCAGGGTAGAACTCCAAAGAGATATTCATGGGTCCTGGCCCCACAGTGGAGGTCACTCAAAGGGCAAACAGATTGGCATCTCATCTGCTTCAAGCCTGGATACAGGGACATCAAATGTGTCACTCTGTGTGTGGTCTGCCATGTTGTGGGGAGGCCACTACAGACTCGGGCAGCTGGGCAGACAATACCTTAGCCTTAGACGATGCTAGTGTAGCCCAGGAATCAGAAACTATAGTGTAGACCGTGCCCTCCTTAGGCCAACACAATTACATGCAATAGATGACGGGCTTTTCTGTTAGCCTCTTCATTGGAACTGAAAGTGGCATTACTCTACCAAACAGAGGAGAGCTGGAAAGAAACTAAACAGTTTGCCCAGCACAGCCTCTGCCTTGACATGGAACCATGTGAGTCTAGACACTCACCTAGATCTTTCCCTGGGGGCCAATGCTGCTGACACATTAACTCATTAGTTTGTCCTGGCCTGAGAGATCATGTAACATGTAGAAGGTTTAGAAGCAGAGATTAGTGTCATTAATTTGCCATGGCTGTGACAACAAAGGAAGAAACTGGGGTGGGAAACCCCAAGGCCACCCTGGTTTTGGTAGATGGTGCACACACTTCCACTAACTATTCTGGGGCAAGGATCCAAATGCACTATATGCTGCCTCTGCTGGGATCTCCAAACACGACCCTCCATGCCATTTCTCAGTTGTATTTTACCACATATTATCAGAGTCACTGGATTTGTACAGAATGTTTGGAACCTATACTGCCTTAAGTGCTACCTGTTATAGAAGAGAAAACAAGGTCTTAATTCAACTATCTGGAACATTTTATGGTTACTTATGTAAAATACTGCATCTTTTGCTATCAACAGGAAGGTACATGGACATTAGAAGGCCCCTGCCTTTCAGCTGAAAGCACATATGAGGCATATGGATCCATTTATATACACCATACTTTTCAGCTGCATTTTCCTAATTTGCCTCTCTGGGGCCAACCTTGTGGGACTAGCAGATTCACGGTTGAATTGATGGCTGGTGATGTCTGCCATCAGCCTTTCTTCTTCCTCTAGTCCTCCGCTCCTCAGTAACATCAGACTGGGAAGGTCTTCAGACATCCAGAACCCCCAGTTGGGGGAGTCCATACATGACCCATCAAAGATGAGTTGCAAGCAGGCCTGCCATAAAGAGCAGCAGCCTTAATGGGTTTTCCTACAGAGATAGTCAATGTACAGAGGCAATAAACTGACTGCTTTGTGATTGATCACCTTGAAAAAATGAGCATGTCTGGATATATTAGTCATTTCTTGCATTGCTGTAAAGAAATACCTGAGGCTGGGTAATTTATAAAGAAAAGAGATTTAATTGGCTCATAGTTCTGCAGGCTCTACAGGAAGCATAGCGACTTCTGCCTCTAGGGAGGCCTCAGGAAATTTACAATCATGGCAGAAGGTGAAGGAGGAGCAGGCGGATCTTACATGGCTGTAGTAGAAGCAAGAGAGGGTGGGGAGGAGGAGCCACACACTTATAAACCACCAGATCTCATAAAAACTCATTGTCACGAGGACAACAGCGAAGGCAGGATGGTGTGAAACCATGAGAAACTGCCCCTAGGATCCAATCACCTCCTATCAGGCCCCACCTCCAGCATTTGGGGTTACATTTCAACATGAGATTTGGGTAGGGGCACAGATTCAGACCATATCACTGGCACTGTGCTTATCAGATGAATATCACCAGTTGGAAGGCTAGATTCCACAAGAGGAGGAATGTCCTGGAAATTGGTTTCTTAAGTTGTGATTCTTCTGCACACTGTCATTCAGGGCAATATGAGTCAATCATTCTCCCCCATAGCTGAAATCAACCAGATCATCTGACCACAGAGACTGAGGTGTAGCTGAAAGGTGCTCGCATTTCTACGAGGCCAGTAGAAGCCTGGAGCACAGTTGTCAATCTGTAGAAATAAGGACTCTGACTCCTCCAAGACCTCTCTGTGAATGACAGTTTAAGAAGGGCCAGATCCTAAAACAGGGTCAGAGCTTAGCAGAAAGGGAAAGCATAAAAGCCTTTGAGCAATTCTAAAGACAGGGCCACAATAGGCTCTCAGTGACCCTCTGTGACTGAGTGGATGCAGCGATGCAAAATCTAACCATTACTGCTGAAGACAAAAAAAAAAAGTCACCCTTTCTACCTAGGATGAGAAGCCCTAAATCAGTGGGGTCCACTTACTAAATAGACATAAAGGAATGAAGTGCCCTGGAAGAATTCCTGCCTGAACCTCTCAGGAGCACTCATGTTTGAGGACACTTATCAAGTATTCACTCCAGGATTGGGACCATGAAAACTTCAGCTGCTTTTAGCTAATCACTGTGACTTTTGGGGTGTCACAGTGCAGGCAGGAAAGGACCTGATGAACAAACATAATCATTGCTGTCGGAGTTACTGTTATTTATTGCCTTAATGTTACCTCCTTCTCCTGAGCATTACATTTCCTCAGTCAGTAACTCACCATCCCCTATATCTATAAAGTCACAATCCTTGAGACATGATTTCTGTTTCACTTTGTAGATATGAAACCCATTCACATGGACTTTTTAAAAATCTTGGCATTCCAGGTCCCAGACCTCTGCTTTTTTTGGGAACTACTTTGTCCTACCATCAAGTGAGTGTTTTTGAGCTCACTCTTTGGCTTCTTATGATTGCAAACAGCAGCTTAGTTCCATCAGTAAAAATGTTTCTCTGCAAAAGGAAGGTCTGAGGTTTTACCCTTTCAGAAACAGTGTGTAGGCATCACCCAGAGCATGGCAATGTTTACACAGGGGCTCTCTTGCTAACTCTCAGGAACCTCAGATTTGCCTAATTTGAACAGCCCAAATCTCAGGTAGATCAGCAACCTGATGTTCAAAACTTGATATGCAGACTTTGTGAACACCATAAAGAAGATTTTCTTTTTGCTCCGTGTAGGTTCCCAGGAAAGTACAGTCATTGTTAGTATTAAAAGTCGGAACAGGATCCCTTGATTGTGGCTTGTTATCTGTGTACATGAGAGTCAAACTTTCTTCTCTGTAGCAAGAGCTCATGAGTAGCCTTTTCCCCCTTCCTCCTGGACAGCTTTGAAACTCAGTTTATTAGGGAGATCAAGTATTTACCATTGGGTCATTTGCACCTGCTTGAATCATCTCCAACAAATGCTAAATTCCCTAAGGGTTTTTCCATGGCTCTACCTTAGCTCTTACTCCCCATGACGTCTTTTGCAGCTTTGAGACACACAAAAAAGGGGTTCTGCTTTACTTCTTTTTATTCAAAGGCTGCACTTTATTAGTGAGTCTGAGGAAGGAGTGGATGTAACTGAGATGAGATAGTGGTTGTCTATCAAACTTGGATCTTTTTTTTTATATAATACTTTCAGTTCTAGGGTACATGTGCACAACGTGCAGGTTTGTTACATATGTATACATGTGCCATGTTGGTGTGCTGCACCCATTAACTCATCATTTACAAGGTATATCTCCTAATGCTATGCCTCCCACCGCCCCCAACCCCACATCAGGCCCCGGTGTGTGATACTCCCTTTCCTGTGTCCAAGTGTTCTCATTGTTCAATTCCCACCTATGAGTGAGAACATGAGGTGTTTGGTTTTTTGTCCTTGTGATAGTTTGCTGAGAATGATGGTTTCCAGCTTCATCCATGTCCCTACAAAGGACATGAATTCATCCTTTTTTATGGCTGCATAGTATTCCATGGTGTATATGTGCCATATTTTCTTAATCCAGTCTATCATTGACAGACATTTGGCTTGGTTCCAAGTCTTTGCTATTTTGAATAGTGCCACAATAAACATACGGGTACACGTGTCTTTATAGCAGCATGATTTATAATCCTTTGGGTATATACCCAGTAATGGGATGGCTGGGTCAAATGGTATTTCTAGTTCTAGATCCCTGAGGAATCGCCACACTGACTTCCACAGTGGTTGAACTAGTTTACAGTCCCACCAACAGTGTAAAAGTGTTCCTATTTCTCCACATCCTCTCCAGCACCCGTTGTTTCCTGACTTTTCAATGATCGCCGTTCTAACTGGTGTGAGATGGTATCTCATTGTGGTTTTGATTTGCATTTCTCTGATGGCCAGTGATGATGAGCATTTTTTCATGTGTCTGTTGGCTGCATAAATGTCTTCTTTTGAGAAGTGTCTGTTCATATCCTTTGCCCACTTTTTGATGAGATTGCTTGTTTTTTTCTTATAAATTTGTTTGAGTTCTTTGTAGATTCTGGATATTAACCCTTTGTCAGATGAGTAGATTGCAAAAATTTTTTCCCATTCTGCAGGCTACCTTTTCACTCTAATGGTAGTTTCTTTTGCTGTGCAGAAGCTCTTTAGTTTCATTAGATCCCATTTGTCAATTTTGGCTTTTGTTGCCATTGCTTTTGGTGTTTTAGACATGACGTCCTTGCCCATGCCTATGTCCTGAATGGTATTGCCTAGGTTTTCTTCTAGGGTTTTTATGGTTTTAGGTCTTACATTTAAGTCTTTATTCCATCTTGAATTAATTTTTGTATAAGGTGTAACGAAGGGATCCAGTTTCAGCTTTCTACATATGGCTAGCCAGTTTTCCCAGCACCATTTATTAAATAGGGAATCCTTTCCCCATTGCTTGTTTTTGTCAGGTTTGTCAAAGATCAGATGGTTGTAGATGTGTGGTGTTTGTTCTGAGGCCTCTGTTCTGTTCCATTGGTCCATATCCCTGTTTTGGTACTAGTACCATGCTCTTTTGGTTACTGTAGCCTTGTAGTATAGTTTGAAGTCAGGTAGCGTGATTCCTCCAGCTTTGCTCTTTTTGCTTAGGATTGTCTTGGGAATGTGGGCTCTTTTTTGGTTCCATATGAAATTTAAAGTAGTTTTTTTTCCAATTCTATGAAGAAAGTCATTGGTAACTTGATGGGGATGGCATTGAATCTATAAATTACCTTGGGAAGTATGGCCATTTTCACGATATTGATTCTTCCTATCCATGAGCATGGAACATTCTTCCATTTGTTTGTGTCCTCTTTGATTTTGTTGAGCAGTGGTTTGTAGTTCTCCTTGAAGAAGTCCTTCACCTCCCTTTAATTTGGATTACTAGATATTTTATTCTCTTAGTAACAATTGCAAATGGGAGTTCACTCATGATTTGGCTCTCTTTCTGTTATTGGTGTATAGGAATGCTTGTGATTTTTGCGCATTAATTTTGTATCCTGAGACTTTGCTGAAGTTGCTTATCAGCTTAAAAGGATTTTGGGCTGAGACGATGGGGTTTTCTAAATATACAATCATGGCATCTGCAAACAGGAACAATTTGACTTCCTCTTTTCCTAATTGAATACCCTTTATTTCTTTTTCTTGCCTGATTGCCCTGGCCAGAACTTCCAATACTATGTTGAATAAGAGTCATGAGTGAGGGCATCGTTGTCTTGTGCTGGTTTCAAAGTTTTTGCCCATTCAGTATGATTTTGGCTGTGGTTTTGCCATAAATAGCTCTTATTATTTTGAGATACGTTCCACCAATACCTACTTTATTGAGAGTTTTTAGCAGGAAGGGCTGTTGAATTTTGTCGAAGGCCTTTTCTACATCTATTGAGACAATTATGTGGTTTTTTAATCGTTGATTCTGTTTATGTGATGGATTACATTTATTAATTTGCATATGTTGAACCAGCCTTGCATCCCAGGGATGAAGCCCACTTGATTGTAGTGGATAAGCTTTTTGATGTGCTGCTGGATTCAGTTTGCCAGTATTTTATTGAGGATTTTGGCATCAATGTTCATCAGGGATATTGGTCTAAAATTCTCTTTTTTTGTTGTGTCTCTGCCAGGCTTTGGTATCAGGATGATGCAGGCCTCAGAAACTGAGTTAGGGAGGATTCCCTCATTTTCTATTGATTGGAATAGTTTCAGAAAGAATGGTACCAGCTACTCTTTGTACCTCTGGTAGAATTCAGCTGTGAATCCATCTGGTCCTGGACTTTTTGGTTGGTAGGCTATTAATTATTGCCTCAATTTTAGGGCCTGTTATTGGTCTATTCAGACATTCAACTTCTTCCCGGTTTGGTCTTGGGAGGGTTTATGTGTCCAGGAATTTATCCATTTCTTCTAGATTTTCTAGTTTATTTGTGTAGAGGTGTTTATAGTATTGTCTGATGGTAGTTTGTATTTCTGTGAGATCGGTGGTGATATCCCCTTTATCATTTTTTATTGCATCTATTTAATTCTTCTCTCTTTTCTTCTTTATTATTCTGGCTGGCGGTCTGTCAATTTTTTTGATCTTTTCAAAAAACCAGCTCCTGGGTTTCACTGATTATTTGAAGGGTTTTTTGTGTCTCTATTTCTTTCAGTTCTCCTGTGATCTTAGTTATTTCTTGCCTTCTGCTAGCTTTTGAATGTGTTTGCTCTTCCTTCTCTAGTTCTTTGAATTGTGATGTTACAGTGTTGATTTTAGATCTTTCCTGCTTTCTCTTGTGGTCATTTAGTGCTATAAATTTCCCTCTACACATTGGTTTACATGTGTCTCAGAGATTCTGGTATGTTGTGTCTTTGTTCTCATTCATTTCAAGAACATCTTTACTTCTGCCTTCATTTTGTTATTTGCCCAGTAGTCATTCAGGAGCAGGTTGTTCAGTCTTCATGTAGTTGTGTGGTTTTGAGTGAGTTTCTTAATCCTGAGTTCTAATTTGATTGCACTGTTGTCTGAGAGACAGTTTGTTGTGATTTCCATTCTTTTACATTTACTGAGCATGCTTTATGTCCCATTATGTGGTCAATTTTAGAATAAGTGTGATGTGATGCTGAGAAGAATGTATATTCTGTTGATTTGGGGTGTGGAGTTCTGTAGATGTCTATTCAGTCCACTGGGTGCAGAGCTGAGTGGACATGAACATTTTATCAAAGAAGAAACACAGCTATCAAAAATCCAGAAATATTGAACCTTGTTAATAATAAAGTGGCTGGCCTCTGGTTCATTCCTGTAATCTCAGTCCTTTGAAAGGCTGAGAAAGGAGGATCACTTGAGGCCACAAGTTCAAGACCATCCTAGACAAGTCAGTTCAAGACCAGACTTCATGTCTACAAAACATCAAAAAATTAGCCAGGCATGGTGATGCATGCCTGTCATCCCAGCTACTCAGGAGGCTGAGGCAGGAGGATTGCTTGAGCCTGGGAGATTGAAGTGGCAGTGAGCCATGATTGTGCCATTGCACTCCAGCCTGGGCAATGCATCAAGACTCTGTCTAAACAATAATAATAATAATAGTAATAGTAATAATAATAATAATAAAGAAAACGGTTGGGACGCCATTCCTTACTTATTCAATACACAAAGTTAAAAGCAATTTCTACTTTCTCTATTTTTTTATTACTAAAAAAAGCTGAACCATTCTCACAGCCTGAAATGCTTCTCACCTTCCCCTCTTCTATACAAACACTTCTCTGTTGATGATAATGCAGACAGTCTCTCCTTTAGGAATACTTCACACCAGGTAGTTCCAGATCCCCTTATCTCTGCCTTCCCAGAGCTCCTGGTGTCTCCCCAGTTCCCTCTGTGTGGTGAAGTACCCCCACCTTGGGTCTCAGCATGACTCGTTCTTTGAAGGTCTTGTTCACATTTTCCCTTATGGTTCTGTTCCCCTGTGTTGTGTCACAGCACTGGGCAGAGTGGACAACCCATTCACACCGATAGAGAGGGCCCCATGGTTCTGGAGATAACCATGTAACTGATCAGAATAGGGCATTGAGGGCTGGGTGTCAGGCATGGGCTGCACTTGGGTGGGCAGGCCCCCTGGAAAGTCACAGGATTTGGCAAGCTTCCTAGTAACATCTCTCCCTGGGGTCCTCTTGGAACTTCATGCCCGATGCTGGATGCTGGTTTATTCTCGAGAGATGGTTCATTCCAATAATCAATGAAACTCATGTCCCAACTAAAGTTCATAAACTCCAGTTTGTAAACTGAGATAATCTCAGCTGAATGAACTTGCTGACCCTCTGCTTTCCCCCAGCCTCTCAGTGCCCTTGAAATCATGTCAGTTCAAGCAGCCCCATGAGGCATTACAATGTTTAGTTATTTCAGTGTTTATTAAACCTTGCCCTATGCTGACCCCAGGTGAATCACAAGCTGGACTTCTGACAAGGACAAGCTATGATATTCTTTTCAATTACAGAAAAAGTAAGTTAACTGATAGGATTTTTTAAAGATGTTACTAGTTTTGGAAAGGTAATTTGTGCACATGGTAAACAAGAAGGTATAAGAGGATAATGCTTTTATACTGCTGAGAATAATGTTTTCTCTAATTTTTTTTGGTAGATGCTTTCATCAGATTAATAAAATTCACTGCTGTTAGTTGTTGAAGGTTTTTTATATCATGAATGGGAGTTGAATATTATCATGTATTATTAATATATTATTATTGAACTAGCAAAGGCTCTTCCTAAAACAATTGAGATGATCTTATAATCATTCTCCTTTAATCTGTTGATGAGATCATTGGTATTTATACTTTTTCTCTGTTAACTATTCTTGAGTCTCAGGTTTAAATTCAACTTGGTCATGGTGTATCATCTTTGAACACTCCTGTCTCTGGCTTGCTACTATTGTGTTCAGCATTTTTGCACTGATGCCGATGAATGAGACTGGCATGTCATCTTCCTTTGCGGTCCTGATTTTTTTCAGATTTGGATCATGTGGCCCTCATTGAATGAGTTGGGTGTGATGCCTTCTTTTTCATGTAACTGGATTGATGGGACACTTTGGAGTCTCTCCAGATGGCCCTCAATGGTCCCTGCCTCCTCATTGTTAGGCTCCTAGGCAACCCTTTCTCATTTCTGGTAGGCCCAGGAACCTGTGGGTTTTATGTTTGTTTGTTTGTTTGTTTGTTTGTTTTTTGAGTTGGAGTCCTGCTTTGTCTCCCAGGCTGGGGTTGGAGTGCAATGGCCTGATCTCGGCCCACTGCAACCTCCACCTCCTGGGTTCAAGTGATTCTCCTGCCTCAGCCTTCTGTGTAGCTGGGATTACAGGCATCCACCACCACTCCTGGCTAATTTTTGTATTTTTAGTAGAGACGGGGTTTTACAATATAGGCCATTGTGATCTCTTGGACAGGCTAGTCTCAAATTCCTGACCTCATGATCTGCCTGCCTCAGCCTCCCAAAGTGCTGAGATTACAGTTTTGTGCCTCCACACACAGTGAATCTGTGGTTTTTAAAAGCTCCTCATGCATGTGAATTCTGTGAGCATCCCGGGATGACAGCCACTGTGTGTCCAGCTGTTAAAACTGTGAGAAAGCACCAGCGGGACCCTCTCCAGCATTTGCTTGCTGTGGTCATGAAAGAGGCTTGTTGGGGAGATGATGCCCTGGTTGACTCCTGAAGGATGGTTAGGAATGCACCAGATGGAAGCTGGGTTGGACCCAGTCTATGCTAAAGAACAGCTTGTGTGGACACAAGGAGACACGAACACATCATTTTTGCAGAGCCTGGGGAGTAGCCAATCGCACCATTTGCTTAAAACACCGTGTACAGTTGGAGAAGTGGACTGAGACAGGCTGAAGAAGCTAACAGTGGCCAGATGAGAAAGGGTCTTGTGTTACTTCCTAGATATACTTAGATTTTATCCTGTGAGTGATAGGAACAGTTGCAGGGACTGAAGCCAAGGAAGCATGCTTTAAGATTCCATGTTTTTTGAGATGCTGTCTGGTGGCTGAGTAGGGAATTCCCTGGATAAGTACTGCCCAGGGTAGGCAAAAGAAGCTAGGAGGTTACTGAAATAAGGAGTATGAGAAATGGTGTAGGTTTTGCTGATGTTTTGTAACACATCTCATGACAATCTTCATTTCCTTCACCAATTTCCTGTTTCATTAATTCCCTTCCACGTGCTCTTCTGAAATTTGCCTCATATTCTTTGATTTCTCTTTTACATGTTGGTTTCATCACCTTTTACTTTTTGCTTTCCTGGAAACACAAATGATTCTGATTGTGACATGTCAGAATTATTTGCAACATTCCCCTTTCTGCTGAAACATGAGCTCACTGAATACACAATTTAGTAAAGTGTAGGATGCACATGTTGTTTTCATGGTCATAACCAGCTCTGTAGCATTTTATAACTACACTGGCAGTGTGCTGGGAGGTGTAGAGAGAAATATTTATCTCATGTGTGGCTGACACAACCTGCCAAGTTGTTTTAGGAGCCTTCTTGGAATCCCAGCAAGAACACCACTGATGCAATTTGAAATCACAATGTCCTGCTCCATGCCCTGGCTTCATGGCTTAGTCACGTCTGAAGTCTATTTCTAACTATCTGTTTCCACATCTATAAAGCATGAGTTAAATCATCCTAATACTACTCATCTTACAAAGTTTTCTTGCTGATATTAGGAGAGTTGGGAAAGAACTGTATAAATTATGAAGTGCCATGGAGATGTTGGTGGTTACTTTATCAAGAAATAGACACTCCAGAATAGAGTAGAAAGAAAACAGTTATGATTAAGTCCTCCTCCTCTTCTTTTTTTTTAATTTACAAAGAAAGGTTTAATTGAGTCACAGTTCCATATGGTTGGGGAGGCTCAGAAAACTTGCAATCATGGCAGTTGGCAAAGTGGAAGAAGGCACCTTCTTCACAAGGTGGCAGGAGAGAGAGAGCTCCTCTTCTTTTTTGTTGTAAAGTCTACAGAAGTGCATATACTTCAGGGCAAGGGCAGGCAGGGAGAAGAAAGGACATTGCTTCACCCCAGTCCTCACTGACAAGTTTGCTTTGGGACTTCATTTTGTCCCAGCATATGGGACAGAGCTCTGGCCACTACCCATTCAGAAGGCCTGAGCTGCATTGCTAGTTCCCCACTAACTCTGTGTGTCCTTGGGCAAGGCTGGGCTTATGTCAAAAGATTATGACCCTGGGCTCTCCAGCTACAGAATCTACATATGAATCCTGGCTCTGCTAGAGCAATTAGTGACGTAACCTTGGATGGGTCAGTTAACCTTCCTGTGGCTTAGTTTGCTCATCTGTAAAATAGGGATCATAACAACATCAATACCATGGGTTGTTAGACAGATTGAATCAGTTAATGCAGGGTAAATACTTAGCATGACACGTATTCACTATCATTTCCTTGAGTAAAAGCTGAGTGTGAGTGGGTGTGAGAATGTGTGAAACCCTTTCACTGCAATCTCAGTTAAGAAACCCATCCATAATTTAAAGTTCAGGGCCTAAATGGGTGGTTATCTTCTCCCAGTTGCATCCTATCCCACCTTTGCTCTTCTCCTGCCTGTAGGAGCTGTTGGTCTTTGATTGGGCTGGAAGACCTGGTGGACCCTAAGTGATCTATAAGAGAATGAGAATAGAGGACAGGGAATGTCTTCAAAACTCCTAGAGGGACACAGAGGCTGAGAGGCAGGCAGTCCTGCAGGGGTCTTCTGATTGGGACAAGGAGGACCTTGGTCTTCATAGGCCAATTCTGGTCAATTTCCCCCATGGACAGATGAGGAAACAGATCCAGGAATATCCAAGGTCTCACACTTCCCATCTGTCAAGTCTTGTTGATTCTGTTGTATTCATGTCTTTCAAAGAGAGAGAGAGTTTAAGGAAAGAAAGAAGGATCAACTGTGTCTGATATCACTGGGAGCTTAAGTAAAGGGTTCTTTTACTTCATAGCATTTTTCCCAATTTGTAATTCAGTATTATTTTTGTCACTGTTTAGTATCTCTTTGTCCTATTAGAGAGATAGCTTCATCAGGACAAGGATTTTGATTCTTTAATATTTAGTGCTTGCCACATGCCCTGAACACAGCAGGCATACAGACTAACCAACATACAGTGGCATCGAAGTGAGACACCTACCTCCTCCAGTGCCTAGAGTACATGTCCATGGACCTGTCACTCTCCTCAACACCACCCCTAAGCATGAGGCCCGAAAGCATTGCTAATCCCCTCCTCCAGCCACCAAAACTTAAAGGCCAGGTGTGGTGGCTCCTATCTGAAATCTCAGAACTTTAGGAGACAGCAGCAGGAGGATCACTTGAGGCCAGGAATTTGAGACGAGCCTGGGCAACATAGCTAGACACCATCTGTACTAAAAATTAGCTGGGCATGGTGGTATACCTGTAGTACCAGCTACTAAGGAGGCTGAGGTAGGAGGATCACTTGAACCCAGGAGGTGGAAGCTACAGTGAGCTATAACCACAGCACTGAACTCCAGCCTGAGCAACAGAGTGAGACCCTGCCTCAAAACAATTTCAAAAATAAATAAATAAAAACAAAACTTAGATACCACGTGGTCACCCCAACATGCAAAATCAAGTTTTCCCCTACTGAGAAGAATGGGGA
Organism: Homo sapiens; assembly: GCF_000001405.40. Lineage (NCBI taxonomy): Eukaryota > Metazoa > Chordata > Mammalia > Primates > Hominidae > Homo > Homo sapiens. Next base: position 99,738,563 of record NC_000007.14, on the reverse strand, counting down.
CTTGAGAGCTGAGTTACAGAGAGATAATCTGTCTTTTTTTTTTTTTTTTTTTTTTTTGGTTTACATCCTCAAGATCATGACCTGTGAAATTTGAATCTAATACACAAATCATTCCAGAGCAATGTTGCTTCTGCCTACCACGAGTAATTCACTTGGCCACTGGAAGTCAGAACAAGCTTCCCAGAAGAGAGGTACCACTTGGACTACCAATATAAAAGGATGAAAATATCGGAGTGAAGGTGTTCCTTGCATCACTGAGTCCCTGGACAGCCTGTCCACTCATGCTGATATCTGAGCCTAATGCTTCTCTGAATGTTGAGATTTAACTTTGATCCAATGAAACCAGACCAAGAAAGAAGAAACGTCTTTCATTGTTGATAAGGACATGATTTTTCTCACAATTTTATGATTATTTTTCCTTAGCTGTCCTATAATTATCTGCTTATTTGTCTCTTCTCCATGTGCTTAGGGTACAAAGTTGACCAAGACCAAGAATAATGTCTGGGAGCACAATACTGACAGCACAGCTTTAAAAACATGATGAATGCTTTAATACAGGAAATGAGTAGGGGAGAGGCAAGTGTTGCTTGGGTGTTCTTCCAATGCATAGTATCTTCCTTGACACAGTCAGTGCAGCTCTCAGTAGGCAAGTCCCTACATGTTAGAAGATGTTACTTTCTGTGGAATTAAGTGGCAGAACATGCCTTCAATTATTTTCCTTTGCAGAACAACACCAATTTCATTAGTTAGGACAGAGTGCTGGCTGCATTTGAATTCCAAGCAACGATTAGTCTATCACTGTTGGTATAGATTCCAACCAGTCACACCACCTCCTGAAGTTTGTAGGGCAGGTAAATCTTCATCTTAGAATAAAAATCATCTTAGCCAAGTAAGTGTTTTAGAGGAAAGAAGAAAACATAATCGTTTCCATAAGAGTTTTGTTTCTAAAAAAATAAGAAAGGCTCTTTGTTTAGGTGAGCTAATGAAGTTGTTGATAGTTATCAGATGACACTGGAATCTTTACTTGTCAGAATGTGTTCTGTGCACCTCTCGGTGTGGCAACATAGAGAGGGAGATCCTCCAGCAATGCCATTGATATGGTCAGAAACTGCATCTTTCTTTCTCCCTGCTGAGATGGAGTCCTTTGTTCTAGAAAACCCAGGGGGTGCCACTGGGAGTAACCCTTGAGACAGGAACACGAATCTCAACCAATTTCTGGTTGCAGCCTTGAGTCTTACTATTTGCCATAGTGATGCTTAGCAAGGAATGGCAGGTGCACCAGAGCAGCAGAGGACCTAATATCTCCCTTCCTGTTAACTTTTTATAATATTTTATTGTGATCAGTATCAGTTGGGAAGCTACTTGCAGTCACTGAGCCTCAGTTTCTACATCTGTAAACTGGGGATAGTAGCATGGCCCTATTTAATGTGCTCAGCGAAGCCACTGAAAGGAGACAGAAATGTACCAGAATTCCCTGGACTTTTATCCTACTTCTCCTGGGGATTGTCACCCACCTACCCGTGTCTGTCCTTTGTTGCTTTGACGCTGTCACTTCTTTTCTTAGGTACCTCTCTGTAGGGCTCCATTATTCCAGGGATTCCAGAGTTACAGCACATGCATACCTCCATCCAAGCATGTTTATTTGTCTCCTGCTTCACTAGGCTGTCCCCAAGGAACATGTGGCTCCCGGCACATACCTGGCACAACACTGCACATGACATTCACCCACTTGGCCTTGAATCTGACAAGGAATCTGGCATGATGTTCACCTGCTGAGGCCAGGTGCCGAGCAGCCCTGGAGGCTTAGGGGCCAGAGGGATGGGAAAAGGTGTCTTTCTGGGGTGAGTATCAGTTTCTGCAGGAGTGCTGAACCTGAGAAAGAATAAAGAGAGAAGGAAGTGAACAAGCACAGCTTAAACATCATCTGTTTCTACTGAGTTTTAACAACTCTGAGATTTTGTTTGTCATGGAATCCATTTCTCAGGCCAAGCAGACACAGAACTTGGGTGTGAGTGATGATAATGAGCTGATATAATTTTCACACCCTCATCACTGAGATCTCTCCCATCAGGAATGGGTCACAGGGCTCACAGGTGGCAGCAACTGTTATTACAGGCCTCATCTCTACCAGCTCCTGGCACCTGCTCTCCTCCCATTAGAAAATCCTCCACTTGTCAAAAAGGAAGCCATTTGCTTTGAATTCCAATTCCACCCTCAAGAGGCTGGGACCACCTCATTGGAGTCCTTGATGCTGTGTGACCTGCAGTGACCACTGCCCCATTGTTGCTGGCTGAGGTGGTTTGGGTCAACCTGGCCATCTGGGCAGCTGTTCTCTTCTCTTCTTTCTCCCCTACTGTTTCCAGACATGCAGTATTTCCAGAGAGAAGGGGCCACTCTTTGGCAAAGAACCTGTCTAACTTTCTATCTACGGCAGGACTTTTGAAAGCTACAGAGGAAGAAGCACAAATTGATGCTATTCCACTAAGCCATCAGCTCCATCTCATCCATGCCATGTCTCTTTTTTAGGGGTCCTCTTGCCAACAGAATCACAGAGGACAAATCTGAAAGTGCAGAGACAGCAGCTGAGGCACAGCCAAGAGCTCTGGCTGTATTAATGACCTAAGAAGATGGAGTGGTCACCAGAAAGTCAGAGGAAGTGACACACAGGGGCCCAGCAATCTCAGCCAAGTCAACTCCACCAGCCTTTCTGGTCCCCACTGTGTGTACAGCACCCTGATAGGGACCAGAGCCATGAGAGTGAGTAAGACCAGACTATGCCCTTGAGGAGCTCACCTCTGCTAAGGGAAACAGGCCTGGAAACACACAATGGTGGTAAAGAGGAAAGAAGACAATAGAACTGCATGAAGGGGATGGAAAGTGCCCAGGGGAGGAAATGGTTACTTCTGTGTGAGGGGGTTGGTGAGGAAAGACTCTAAGAGAAGGCTCTGTCTGGCTGGGTATGAAAGGATGTGTAGGAGTCTTCTAGGGGGCACAGGCACACTCCAGGCATAGGTAAAGATCTGTAGGCATGGCTTGTTGGGATGAGTTTCAAGTATTCTGGAATGAGGACAGCCATAGAGACAAGAGGAGAGTTAATAGATTTTATGCCAATGGCTCCACTTGAGTTTGTGATAAGAACCCAGAACCCTTGGACTCCCCAGTAACATTGATTGAGTTGTGTATGATTCTACATAGAATATTAACTCAATGGAGGTCAGTGAGTGGTGTGTGTGTGATTATTTGCCAACTGCCGAGGTGGAGAAGCCTCTTCCGACTGCAGGCAGAGCACGGGGGCCCTGCTACTGGCTGCAGCTCCAGCCCTGCCTCCTTCTCCAGCATATAAACAATCCAACAGCCTCACTGAATCACTGCTGTGCAGGGCAGGAAAGCTCCACACACACAGCCCAGCAAACAGCAGCACGCTGCTGAAAAAAAGACTCAGAGGAGAGAGATAAGGAAGGAAAGTAGTGATGGATCTCATCCCAAACTTGGCCGTGGAAACCTGGCTTCTCCTGGCTGTCAGCCTGATACTCCTCTATCTGTGAGTAACTGTTCAGGCTCCTCTTCTCTGTTTCCTTGGACTTGGGGTGCTAATCAGGCCTCTCTTTCCCTTATCTGTTTTGAATAGCAAAAAGGATGTTCAGGCTGGCCGTGGTGGCTCACACCTGTCATCCCAGAACTTTGGGATGCTGAGCAGGTGGACTGCCTGAGGTCAGGAGTTCAAGACCAGCCTGGCTAATATGGTGAAACCCCATCTCTACTAAAATTACAAAAATTAGCTGGGCATGGTAGTGCATAACTGTAGTCCCAGCTACTTGGGTGGCTGAGGCAGGAGAATTGCTTGAACCTGGGAGGCGGAGGTTGCAGTGAACTGAGATCATGCCACTGCACTCCAGCCTGGGTAACAGAGTGAGATTCCATCTCAAAAAAAAAAAAAGAGAAAAAAAAGAAAAAAAAAGATTTTCAAGGAGAAGTAGCTTAAGTGTTGGATGCTACAAACATATAGAGGTTATGATGGATGTTTTGCAGATCTATAAAGGAATAAATAAGCATCTCCCCCATTCATCTTTAGTGGAAAGAAGGGTTTAGGGACAGCATTGATTGAGGATAATCTAATAGACAATGGTTTGTACCCAGCTTACCAAACCAGAATTTGGATTTTACATTTTTCCCTTTAAGTTGCAGGAGAAGAGGGTGAATCTTCTCACCAGTGAGATCCTGGCATCCTAGAGCAGGTGGAGAGAAGAGTCACTCCCTACTGTGTGTACTGGAGGCTTCCCGCCTGTCACATTTTACTTCTAACTCAATTTCACAGTTATTAAGAGTAAGGAATCATGGTCACATGGAAACAGAAAATACAAACCTCGTTTTAATTCTTTCACAGAAAAGTTAGCAATTCAGTGAGTTGTGGTAACATAGTTTCCATCTACTGGCAATTTAACATGAATTGGTGTGGCTTAAATTCATCCTTTTTAAAGCCAGATTTTTTTGGAGATAGACTATTTCCAGCATGTTCCTTCTGAGTGATAAAAGAGGGCTATTAGTTCAGTATTTGTGACAATAAATGTGTATAAGATAACCTCACCTTTCCAGAATAATGTCAGGAATATGAGTCTAATGTACAAATATATATCTCTAGGACAAGACTGCATATGTCTTTTTAAAAATACTTTCCCAAGAGTTTATTTTAATACCCCCATTTCAAATACACCTGCTTAGCAGGTTATCCTAAACTCTCAGGGCTAGAAAGTAAGCAAGACTGTGAGCCAGTGATGATAGCAAAAGCATCCAGGTAGGATCAAGATGAAGTGAGAAAATATTCCTTACCCCTCAGGGTAGAACTCCAAATAGATATTCATGGGTCCTGGCCCCCTAGTGGAGGTCACTTGAAGGACAAACATGTTGGCATCTCATCTGCTTGAAGCCTGGACACAAGGGCACCATCAGTGTCACTCTGTGTGTGGCTGGCCATGTTGTGGGGCTGTCACTACAGATTCTGGCAGTCAGGCAGACAATACCTTAGCCTTAGACGATGCCGGTACAGCCCAGGATTCAGAAGCTATAGTGTAGACCATGCCCTTCTTAGGCCTATACAATTACATGCAATAGATGATGGATTTTTCTGTTAGCCTCTTCATTGTAACAAAAAGCAGCATTACTCTACCAAACAGAGGGGAGCTGGAAAGAAACTAAACAGTTTGCCAAGCACAGCCTCTGCCTTGACGTGGAATCATGTGAATCTAGACACTCACCTAGATCTTTCCTCGGGGGCCAATGCTGCTCACACATTAACTCAATAGTTTGTCCTGGCCTGAGAGATCATGTAACATGTAGAAAGTTTAGAAGCAGAGATTAGTGCCATTGATTTTCCATGGCTGTGACAACAAAGGAAGGAACAGGAGTGGGAAAACCCAAGGCCACCCTGGTTGTGGTAGATGGTGCACACACTTCCACTAACTATTCTGGGGCAAGGATCCAAATGCACTATTGGGCCTGGCTATGCTGTCTCTGCTGGGTTCTCCAAACACGAGCCTCCATGCTGTTTCTTAGTTGTATTTTACCACATATTATCAGAGTCACTGGATTTGTACAGAATGTTTGGAACCTATACTGCCTTAATGGCTACCCTTTAAAGAAGAGAAAACAAGGTCTTAATTCAACTATCTGGAACATTTTATGGTTACTTATGTGGAATACTCCATCTTTTGCTATCAACAGGAAGGTACCTGGCCATTAGAAGGTGCCTGCCTTTCAGCTGAAAGCACATATGAGGCATATGGATCCATTTATACACACCGTACTTTTGAACCACATTTTCCTAATTTGCCTGTCTGGGGCCAAGCTTGTGGGACTAGCAGATTCATGGTTGAATTGATGGCTGGCTACCTCTTCCATCAACTTTTCTGCTTCATCCAGTCTTCCACCCCTCAGTAACCTCAAACTGGGAAGGTCTTCAGATATCCAGAATCCCCAGTTGGGGAAGTCCATACATGGCCCATCAAAGATGGGTTGCAAGCAGGCCTGCTATAGGGAGCAGCAGCCTTGATGGGTTTTCCTACAGAGACAGTTGATGTGCAGACGCAATAAACTGACTGCTTTGTAATTGATCACCTTGAAAAAAAATGAGCATGTCTGGCTGTATTAGTCTTTTCTTCCATTGCTATAAAAAAAAATCTCAGGGTGGGTAATTTAGAAAGGAAAGAGATTTAATTGGCTCATGGTTCTGCAGGCTCTACAGGAAGCATAGCGACTTCTGCCGCTAGGGTGCCCTCAGGAAATTTACAATCATGGCAGAAGGTGAAAAAGAAGCAGGCAGATCTTACATGACTGGAGCAGAAGCAAGAGAGGGTGGGGAGGAGGTGCCACACACTTATAAACCACCAGATCTCATAAAAACTCATTGTCAAGAGGACAGCACCCAAGGGGGATGGTGTGAAACCATGAGAAACTGCCTCTAAGATACAACCACCATCTATCAGGCCCCACTTCCAGAATTGGGGATTACATTTCAACATGAGATTTGGGTAGGGGCACAGATTCAGATCATATCACTGGCACTGTGCTTATCAGGTGGATATCACCAGTTGGAAGGCTAGATTCCACAAGAGGAGGAATGTCCTTGTTCTTAGTTGTGATTCTTCTGCACAGTGTCATTCAGGAAAATATGAGTCAATCATCCTCCCCAATAGCTCAAATCAATCAGATCCTCTGACCACAGAGACTGAGGTGTAGCTAAAAGGTGCTCGCACTTCTACGAGGCCAATGGAAGCCTGGAGCACAGTTGTCAATCTGTAGAAATAAGGACTCTGTGACTCCTCCAAGACCTCTCTGTGAATGACAGTTTAAGAAGGGCCAGATCCTAAAACAGGGTCAGAGCTTAGAGTGAAGGGAAAGCTTAAAAGCCTCTGAGCAAATTCTAAAGACAGGGTCACCATAGGCTCTCAGTGACCCCCTGTGACTGAGTGGATGCAGTGATGCAAAATCTCATCATCACTGCAGAAGACAAAAGAAAAATTGTCACTCTTTCTACCTAGGATGAGAATCCCAAAATCAGGGAAGAGTCCACTTACTAAAAAGACATGAGGGAATGAAGTGCCTGGAAGAATTCGTTCCTGAACCTCTCAGGATCATTCACATTTGAGAACATTTATCAAATATTCATCCCAGACTGGGGCCATGAAGACTTCAGCTGCTTTTAGCTAATCATTGTAACTTTTTGGTGTCTCATGGTGGAAGCATGAAAGGACCTGATGAACAAATATAATCATTGCCGTCAGAGTTACTGTTATTTTTTATTGCCTTAATGTTACCTCCTTTGCCTGATCATTCCAGTTCCTCAGTCAGTGACTCACCAGCCCCTATATCTATAAAGTCACAATCCCTGAGACCTGATTTTTGTTTCACTTTGTAGATATGGAACCCGTACACATGGACTTTTTAAGAAGCTTGGAATTCCAGGGCCCACACCTCTGCCTTTTTTGGGAAATGCTTTGTCCTTCCGTAAGGTGAGTGTTTTTGAGCTTCCTCTTTTGCTTCTTATGATTGCAAAGAGCAACTTAGTTCCATCAGTAAAAATGCTTCTCCTCAAGAGGAAGGTCTGAGATTTTATACTTTCAGAAATAGCGTGTAGGCATCACCCAGAGCGTGGCAAAGTTTACCCTGGGGCTCTCTTGCTAACTCTCAGGAACCTCAAGTTTGCCTCAGTTGGACAGCCCAAATGTCAAGTAGATCCAGCAATCTGATGTTCACAACTTGATGTGCAGACTTTGTGAGCACCATAAAGAGCATTTCCTTTTTGCTCCAGGCAGGTTCCCAGGAAGGTACAGCCATACTTAGTTAGTATTAAAAGTAGGAACAGGAGCCCCTGATTGTGGCTTGTTATCTGTGGACATGAGAGTAAAACTTTCCTCTCTGTAGCAAGAGCTCATGAATAGGCTTTTTTCCCTTCCTCCTGCACAGCTTGGAAACTCAGTTTATTAGGGAGATCAAGTATTTACCATTGGGTCATTTGCACCTGCTTGAAGCCTCTTCAAAAAATGCCAAATTTTGTTGGGGAATTTCCATGGCTTTAACCCAGGTCTTACTCCCCATGACATCTGTTGCCACTTTGAGACACAGAACAAAAGTGTTCTGCTTTACTTCTTTTCCTTTGAAGGCTGCGTCTTGTGGGTGAGTCTGAGCAGGGAGTGGATGTAACTGAGATGAGATAGTGGTTGTCTATTAACCTCAGATATTTAAGCACAATATGAATTCATGGGTTTATTTTTTACACAAAGGCAGAATCACATGCAAAATCACTAGAAAGGGGATGATTTGACAAAATTATTGAATATTTAATTTCACTAAATAGAATGTCATATGTGCCTCATGGACTGGGGACTTTGGTCGAGCCTTTGTGCCTAACCTTATCTGATGCTGTGTTCAGGGCCTGGTCCCTGGATGGAAAATTATGAGCTTATTTCCACAGGGCCAGCAGCAGCAGGAGTCAGCTCTCTGGCTTAGACAATCTGACCTGCATACCTGAGGCTTGTTTCTCAGATTCTAGTTCTCCTAAGTGAGGGCTTTGTTGTCTAATTACTGCCCAGGAATTTCATATTTTTTCCCTCTGCAAAAGCAATAATTTCCCTACTTTCACATGCGTCCGTGTGAGGAGACCACCAAACAGGCTTTGTGTGAGCAATAAATGTTTTTAATCACTTGGGTGCAGGCCAACTGAGTCTGAAAAAGGAGTCAGCAAGGGGAGATAGGGGTGGGGCAGTTTTATAGGAGTGGGGTAAGCAGTGGAAAGTTACAGTTAAAGGTGGTTATCCATTGTCAGCAGTGGAGGGGGCCACAAGGTGCATGGTGGGGAGATCATAAGACTCATTGTGCAGAGAAGAATGTCACCAGGTTGATTGATCAATCAGTTGGGACAGGGCAGGAACAAGTCATAATGGAATGTCGTAAGATTGCTCAATCAGTTAAGACAGGAGCTGGCTGTTTCATTTCTTTTGCAGTTTTCAGTTGCCTCAGGCCATCTGGATGTACACGTGCAGGCTTGGGCTCAGAGGCCTGACATTCCTGTCTTTTTATATTAAGAAAAATAAAACAAAATAGTGGCAAAGTGTTGGGGCAGCAAAAATTTTTGGGGGGTGGTATGGAGAGATAATGGATGATGTTTCTCAGGGCTGCTTCAAGCGGGATTATGGGCCATGTGGACACCTTAAAGAAAATTTTATAATGAGTTACAAGGAATAGGAATTTAGGCTGTGGGGAGATCTTGGGGCAGAGGATGGTACCATGGACTTGTTAAAAGTAATATTTGTTGTATAGAATAATTGGTGATAGTCTGAATGTGTTTTTATATTAATTGAGAAACCAATTGAAGACACAAGTCCCGAATAACAGAAGGAGAAAAACAGGTACCAGAGGACTAAGAATAGGGAGGAGCTAAGACACCCAGTTAGAAAGTGTCCAGGTGGGTCCAAAATAAGTATTTGCCTGGCTGGTGAGTTTTTGGTCTTTATCTTTAAGCTTTTTTATATTGTCATATACCAGGCCAGATTGGTTTAGATAAAAACAACATTCTTCATTTAAAAATATAGAGTACTCCTTTTTCAGCAGTGAGTAGGTCAAGGCCTCAGCGATGTTGGAGGACGACTAGGGCTAAGAAGTCAACCTGGGTCTGAAGGACTGATAAAGTTTGTGATGTATCTGTAATGCTAGCAGAAAAGTCATTAGAAAGGCTACAGAAAGTTGTGACAGAAGTTGAAATACCTGCTATTCCAGCTCCAAGGGCAATAGTGGAAGCAGAAAGTCCTAACCCTACAAGTAGAGGGATTAGAGGAATAACTCATTTTTGTCTGGTTGGTGTCATGAGGGGGACAGGAAGTTGTTCAGTCCCATTTGCAAATTGAATTTTTTCAATTTGGGAATAAGAAATACTAGTGTACATGTACCTGTCCAATTAGCAGATAGACATATGTACGTGGTGGAGCCACAGAGGAAGCAGAGGCCTTGTGTGAGGCAAAACTGGAAATGCAAAGTGAAAAGATGAGAGGGAGTGCCAAAAGAGGTGTCTTGCACCCAGACTCTTAGGGATTTAGTGAGGGCATCAGCCCTTAGTGGTCATAATGGGGATTGATGGGGCAACTGGGTATGAGAAAGAGCATAGTGTCTACAACCAAACTTTCATTGCTATTCATGGGGTTCGGTATAAGTAAACAAGAAGGGGGAATGGGAGGAGAGTCTGAAGAACAAGGGGAAGGTAGCCAAGAATGGAGTGAAATACAGGGCAAATGTCTTAAGGGAAATGAGAAGTTCTAGGAGGGGGCTAGTTGCTTGTAACCTACATGGAAGAGGTCATGAAATGACAACAGAATAGAATGGGCCTGTGAGACTGGAAGGAGATATTTTTCTTGGTCTAAGAACCATCTTCCTTGAGTGGGGAGGGATTGATAGATGGAAACTTCAGTGGGAGAGTAAATAGGAGTGACTGATGAGAAGGAGAAAAACTGGCCATGAGGGACAGAAGTAGGAATACTGGTTGCTTCTTTAGCTGTCTTATCAGCATAATTGTTGCCTTGAGCAATGGGGTCTGAGGCCCTTTGATGGCCTTTGCAGTGAATGACTCCAGCTTTTTTTGGAAGTAAAGTGGCCTTGAGAAGAATTTTTATTAAAGAGGCATTAATGATGGAGGACACTTGCATAGTGAAGAAACTTCTTTCAGCCCATATTACAGCATGGTGGTGCAGGATATGGACAGCATTTAGAGTCAGTATAAATATTGATGTGTAGTCCCTTTGCAAGAGTGAGGCCCCAAGTTAAGGCAATGAGTTTGGCTTGCTGAGAGATAGTGGAGGGGGGCAGAGCAGTAGCCTCAATGATAGATGTGGAAGATAATATAGCACAGCCTGCCTTTGCTGGTGAGTGGTGATTAGGCCTGGTGGAACTGCCATCAATAAACTAACTGTGATTCAGGTGAAAAACAGGAAAGAAGGAAATATGGGGAAATAGAGTGAATGTCAGATGGATCAGAGAGATACAGTCATGGGGATAAGGTGTGGTATCAGGAATAATGTGGGAGGCCAGACTGAAGCCCAGGCCAGGTACAATGGTAATTGTGGGAGACTCAACAGAGAGTGGGTATTGCTAAAGGAGCTGGGGAACAGAAAGTATATGCATCAGGTGTGAGGAAGGAAATATATTTTGGAAGTTATGAGAACTGTATGGAGTGAGTTGAGCATAGTTTGTGATTTTGAGGGCTTCTAAAAGTATTAGGGTGGTGGCAGCCACTGCACAGAGACATGATGACCAGCCTAAAACAGTAAGGTCAAGTTGTTTGGACAAAAAGGCTACAGAGCACGGTCCCAGTCCTTGTGTAAGAATTCCAGCTGCACAGCCCTGCACTTTGGCTGTGTGTAATGAAAAGAGTTGGGATGAGTCAGGAAGAGCTAGTATGGGAACAGCCTCTAGAGCTGTCTTCAAGGAATGGAAAGAGGAGTGAGGAAAGGATTTAGGACTTATGGGGTCAGCTAGGTTTCCCTTTGTGAGTTTATATAATGGTTTTGTTAGGATGGCAAAACCAGGTATCCAAAGGCAAAAGTATCCAACCATGCCCAGGAAGGAAAGGAGTTGTTTTGTAGAAGGGGTTGGGGTTTCAGAGATCAGCCAGACATGATCAGCAGGGAGACCCCATGTGTTTTCATGAAGAATTATGCTGAGGTACGTAACGGATGGAGAAGAAATTTGAGCTTTGGAGGGGGATACCCGATATCCTTTGGAGAGTAAATGTTGAAGGAGCAGGAGGGTATCTTGTTGAAAAGACTCAAAGGAGGGACTACAGAGTAGAAGGTCATCAATATATTGAATAATGTGGGAAGCAGAGGGATGGGAAGAAAGTAAATCATGAGAGAGAGCTTGGCTGAAGTAATGAGGGCTGTCCCAGAAGCCTTGTGGCAGTACAGCCCAGGTAAGCTGCTGGGACTGATGGGTGTCAGGGTCAGTTTAGGTAAAAGCAAAGAGAGGCTGGGATGTGTGGTGCAGGGGAATAGTGAAAAAAGCATCTTTAAGATCAAGAATGGAATAGTGAGTTGTGGAGGGAGATATTGAGAACAAAAGAGTGTACGGGTTGGGCACCACAGGGTGGATAGGAAAACAATTTTGTTGATAAGGCGCAGATCCTGAACAAACCTGTAAGACTTGTCTGGTTTTTAGACAGGTAAGATGGGGGAATTATAAGGAGAGTTTGTAGGCTTTAGAAGCCCATGCTGTAGCAGGTGAGTGATAACAGGCTTCAATCTCCTTAAAGCCTCTTGTGGGATGGGATACTGGCGTTAAGCTGGGTAAGGGTGATTAGGCTTTAATGGGATAGTAATGGGCATGTGATCAGTTGCCAGGGAGGGAGTAGAGGTGTCCCATACCTGTGGGTTAAGGTGGGGGGATACAAGAGGAAGACACGAAGGAGGCTTTGGGTTGGGAAGAAGGATGGCAATGAGATGTAGCTGTAGTCCAGGAATAGTCAGAGAAGCAGATAATTTGGTTAAAATATCTCAGCCTAATAAGGGAACTGGCAGGTGGGGATAACTAAAAAGGAGTGCATAAAAGAATGTTGCCCAATTTGGCACCAAAGTTGGGGAGTTTTAAGAGGTTTAGAAACCTGGCCGTCAATACCCACAACAGTTATGGGGGCAAGGGAAGCAGGCCCTTGAAAAGAAGGTAGTGTGGAGTGGGTATCCCCCCTATCGATTACACAGGGGATGGACTTACCCTCTGCTGTAAGAGTTACCTGAAGTTTGGCATCCGTGATTCTCCGGGGGGCTTCCGAGGTGATCGGGTAGCATCAGTCTTCAGCCACTAAGCCAAGGAGATCTGGGAAGGAGTCAGCCAAGAAACATTGGGTTTGAGCTCCAGGAACTTTAGGAGCAGTGGCGATGTGAGTCAGACAGTCCAACCTCTAATTGGAGCCCACACAGACAGGGCACGGCTTAGGAGGAATCCCAGGCTGTGGGCCTTCTGAGGCCCAGTGGCCAGGCTTTTGGCATTTGAAGCAAGGTCCATGAGGAGGTTTTGAAGGAGCCCCTGGGAGCTGTGGCTTGGATGTTCTGAAGGTTTTGTATGCTGGAGACATGGTCTTGGGTTGTCTTACACTGGAGGCAAGTAGCTATAATTCAGAGATGCATTGTCACTTGGCCGCCTCTTCTCTATTATGATACACCTTGAAGGTGAGGCTATTTAAGTCCTGTTGTGGGGTTTGAGGCCTGGAATCCAATTTTTGGAGATTTTTTCTAATGTCAGGAGAGGATTGGGTCATAAAATGCATATTAAGGATAAGGCGGCCTTCTGGCCCCTCTGGGTCCAGGGCTGTGAAGCATCTAATGGTAGGTGCTAAGTGGGCCATGAACTGGGCTGGGTTTTCATCTTTACCTTGGGTAGTTTCCTTTAGCTTGTCATAATTAACAGCCTTGTATGCTGCTTTTTTGAACCCCTTGACTAGGCAGGAGACCATGTAATCTCACCTAGCTATACCTGGGGAGTCCATCTTGTACTGCCAATGGGGATGCTCTTGGGGAACTGCCCTGATGCCTTCTTGAAGGTCTGGCTCATGGCACTGGTGGGTGTCAGTGTGAGATTGGGCTAGGGTATCAACTCTTTCCTGCTCATCTGGGGAGAGGGGGGAGGTCAGGATGACATTTCAGTCACTCCAGGTTAAATCGCAGGACTGAGTTAAATATTGGAATTCCTGTATATATTTAGTGGGGTCTGATGAAAAAGAGCCTAAACGCTGACTGATCTGGGAGAGGTCGATAGAGAAAAAGGCACATGTACCTTGACTATGCCTTCAGCTCCAGCCACCTGACTAAGAGAAAATTGTTGGGCAGGTGGAGGAGGGCTAGTCTCGGAATGAAACTGTAAGGTGGAGTGGGTGTGAGGAGGGGAGGTGATACTTCTATTATAGGGTGGGGGAGCAGAGGATGAGGAAGAATTGGGACCTGGCTTGGCCTGGTGAGGAGCAGCCTGGTGGGGAGGGGAGAGGTCAGATGGGTTCATAGAAAAGGAGGATTCAAAGGACTCAGAGCTTAGGGTGGAGACTGAAGAAAGAGACAGGAGAGAAAGAAGAAAGATTTGGGATGAGTCACACTGGGAGCAGAGACTAGGGAGAGACTGATGTATAAAAGAATGCCTGGATGTCAGGCACCTCAGACCATTTGCCCATTTTTCAACAAAAATCATCCAGGTCTTATAAGATCGAGAAATCAAAAGTGTCATTTTCTGGCTATTTGGAACCATTGTCCAGTTTGTATTGAGGCCAAGCGGTATTGCAGAAGAAAATAAGGCATTTAGGTTTTAGGTCAGGTGTTAGTCAAAGGGGGTTTTAGGTTTTGAAGAACACAGGCTAAGGGAGAAGAAGAGGGAGTGGAGGCTGGAAGGTTGCCCATAGTGAAGGGGGCAAGCCCAGAGAAAAGAGAAGGTAGAGACATGGAGAGAGGGGAGATGGTACTTGCCACCCAGGGAAGGTGGTGCTTGCCACCCAGGGAAGGTGGTACTTGCCACCCAGGGAAGGTGATACTTGTGACCCAGGGGAGGTGGTACTTGTGCCAAGGTGAATGATCAAGGCAGGCATCCCCACAGTGATCAGATACCTCTGAAATGTGGGTGAATAACCAGGCAGGTGTCCTGGCAGTGATTTAGACACCAAGGGAAGACTGTTCCCGAGTCCATGACTGGCACCAGAGTTTTGAGTTCATGGATAAAACGTATCTCCTCCGTCTCTACCAGAAAGGGAAAGAAACTGAAATTAAGGAAGGGAGAGATTGAAGGGTGGAGGGATAGCAAGAGAGGTTGGAGAAGAGAATAAAAAGAGGCCGCTTACCCGATTTAAAATTGGTGAGATGACCTTGGGCTGGCTGGTCTGAGGACCCAAGAGGTGGATCTCCCCATGGAGTGAGGGCGAGGACAGGGGATGGGACTCCCGAAGGAGTCCCCCTGTCCCAGGTCTTTGGCACCAAATGTCATTTGCGTCCATGTGAAGAGACCACCAAACAGTCTTTGTGTGAGCAATAAAGCTTTTTAATCACCTGGGTGCAGGCTGACTGAGTCCGAAAAGGAGTCTGCAAAGGGAGATAGGGGTGGGTCAGTTTTATAGGACTGGGGTAAGCAGTGGAAAGTTGCAGTTAAAGGAAGTTATCTATTGTCAGCAGAGGAGGGGGTCACAAGGTGCATGGTAGGGAGATCATAAGACTCATTGTCCAGAAGAAGAATGTCACGAGGTCGATCAATCGATCAGTTGGGGCAGGGCAGTAACAAGTCATAATGGAACGTTGTAAGGTTGGTCAATCAGTTAAGACAGGAGCTGGCTGTTTCACCTATTTGTAGTTTTTGGTTGCCTCAGGCCATCTGGATGTACCCATGCAGGCTTGGGCTAAGAGGCCTGAAACCCACCACTTTCCCATGTCAAATCTTTAGTAGATGTACCCCCAAGATACACATTCCTCGGACCTTCTTTTCCATAGTTAAAACTTCACCCCTGAAATGTAGAAACAGGAAGGTTTTTTTTTAAGTTTCAGTGCAAACTCGGAGCAAGTGTCATAATTTTCTGTCTCCGATGTGTAGAGGTGACATTTTCTCAGAACTTTCATGTTAAGCTGGAAAACTGGAAAGCGAGTCCACTTTGTCATTCTGTCACTCACTCATTTTCTCACTCAACAAACATGCCTCACACTTATCTAAATCTGCTAGGCTAAAAGAGGTCCCTGGTGTCTGTAACTTTCTAATTCTGCTAGAATTCTAGAGTGAGCTCATGAAATAAATGAAAAGGATGAAGAACAAAGAGAAAAAAGACTGCACGTTCCCTTCTGGCGCTCACTCACATTCCCTCAGCCTCAGTTTCTCCACATGCCCCTAGAGGTGATCATTCAAGGATTTATGAGATTTTAGAGACAACACATGAAAAAGCAAAGAGACATCAGAAAGACAAGGAGTTACTTAGTATTTATACACAAGGATAAGACATTCAGTATCGACAACACTTAAAGAAAATTCAAGAGTGATTTTAAATTTCCCATTTCAAATACCTCCTCTATTTTGTTTCCTTTCTCTTATGACATCTCTAAATAAGCTTCCTCTAACTGCCAGCAAGTCTAATTTCATTGGATTTGACTGTTTTCAACCCCAATTAGAGGCAGGGTTAAGTACACTTAAAATAATAATGAAATATTATTTTGTTTCTCCTCCCAGGGCTATTGGACGTTTGACATGGAATGTTATAAAAAGTATAGAAAAGTCTGGGGGTGAGTATTCTGGAAGATTCCATTGGATAGACTTGTTTCTATGATGAGTTTACCCCACTGCACAGAGGATAGTCTCAGCCCAGAGCCTCTTGCGATGAAGCTCTTGCCAGCCTAACTACAAACAGAGAGGTTTTCTGAAAGAAGAAGATATGTATTTGGGAGAAGAGTATTAGAATGGGAAACTGTGTGCCATTATAAGCTATGTGCAAATTCAGGGAGGTAAAGGAAGACAAAGATGTTCCACAGAAAATATGAGGAGGACTTCATGTGGATTTTGAAATAGTTCTCCTTCACTACAAAGATCAGTAACAAGGGTGATGCCACACCAAGGTTGGACAGGCAGTTGCTGGGCAGGTGTCCTTGCAGAAATATTTTTGTGTAAGGTTGGGTTGGGCTTTCTGCAAGCTGGTGGTTTTGCCAAGTATTTTGTGATAGTTTTGTTATCAGGCACACAAGCATGAGAATCCACTCATCATAGCCTTCTTTGATTTATTTGTCAAGGTTTTTAATCACACACATAGGCACACAGACACACTGACACACACACACACACGTGTCATAATTTTGGTTCTCACAATGTTCACACTCGCTATTGTAAAACAACTTTTTGAGATTTGTCCTACCAAGGATCCCATATGTCACCAGGTGTTGAGGTCTTCGGTCTAAACTAGGCTGAGACCATTGTGGTTACCACTTTTCTCCAAGCTTTGGTGGCCCAGGGACTCCCAGCATCACGTTCTGTCCAGTGTCTGCCTATTCCCCTCTTCTTTTTTTCTTCCCTTGATGCCCTTTTATCACATGCATTGTCTCAGACCCTTCGAATATGTGCTCATAAATGCATGGCATCATCTCCTTCCCACATCGATTCACTTTCAATTAAAAGCCAAAACTCTTTCATTTCAACTTTGGATTTAACATGCTTTTGAAAGAAGGGTTGAGAAATATAGAGAAACAGATTGGGAAACCATGCTCTGCTGTTTCTTTTTTTTAAACTTTCTATGTAAGTGTGGAATTTTTCATTCTGTTTTATTATTAACTTTAAGCCAAGACTTTTTAATAGAAGGATATATAAATACATCTTTGTCTATACATTTCTGCTGAATTTGAAGAGATGCTGAATATTCTTAAACCATTGTGTTCCCTGGTGGGCTGATGGACTGTGATTTTATAAGGTGGCCTCAGCCAACTGCAGCAGCTGTTCCCTGTCAGAGGGGCTAGAGGTTTGGCAAGAGCGGTGGAAGAGGTGCAGTGGTGTGTTCGTTCACTAGAAGCATTAGGGAGAAGGTTTTGCCTGTTTGTATTTCATCTTCTCTCATCAAGTCCTCAGAAACCACAGTGCTGTCTGCAGGGTGCTGTGGATCTGGCATGGCCCATACAGGCAACATGACTGAGTAGAAAGGACACACAGCTCTGGATGTCCTTGGGCCCCACAGCAACTGCCCTTGAAACATTTAGTCCTTGTGAGCATTTGATGATTTACTTGCCTTCAATTTTCCATGGACCTAATACTCTTTATAAAGGGAAATATTTTAAACCTATGAAACATTGTGGAGAATGGCATGGGAAATACCCATGTATGCACCACCCAGCTTAACAAATGCTCTCCTGTCATTTCTAACCACAATCTCTTTGAAGAGCTCTTTTGTCTTTCAATCTCTCTTCCCTGTTTGGCCCACATTACCCTTCATCGTATGAAGACTTGGATGGCTCCTGTGTCAGACTCTTGCTGTGAGTTATACCTAATGAACTAGAACTTAAGATTACTGTGTATTGTACATCTAGAGGATTATGTAATGTCCGGATCAAAGTCTGGCTTCCTGGGTTTGGCTCCAGCTGTAGCATAAGGCTGTTGATGTTTAATCAACTCTGTTTTCTCCACACAGTATTTATGACTGTCAACAGCCTATGCTGGCTATCACAGATCCCGACATGATCAAAACAGTGCTAGTGAAAGAATGTTATTCTGTCTTCACAAACCGGAGGGTAAGCATCCATTTTTTGAAATTAAAATACTCATTGATTGATTAAATTTTTATTTTAAAATTCTTATATATTCATAGACAGTTGCCTAAAAACTGTGCAGGAAGGTTCCATGTACACTTCATCCTGCCCATCCCCCATGGTAACATCTTGCAATCTTGCATAACTATAAATACAGTATATTCACATTACTGCAGTACAGGAAATTAACATTGATACAGTTCACAGAGTTTATTCAGATTTCACCAGTTTTATGTGCCCTCATTTGTGTGGGTAGTTTTTTGTTTTTGTTTTTGTTTGTTGTTTGTTGTTTGTTTTTCGGACTGAGTCACACTCTGTCACCCAAATGGGAGTACAGTGGTGTGGTCTTGGCTCACTGCAACCTCCACCTCCAGGGTTCAAGTGATTCTTCTGCCTCCACCTCCCGAGTAGCTGGGACTACAAGTTGCACCACCACGCCCTACTAATTTTTGTATTTTTAGTAGAGACGAGGTTTCACCTTATTGGCCAGGCTGGTCTTGAGTGTGTGGGTAGTTCTATGCAAATTTATCACATTTGTAGATTTGTGCAATGACCAGCATGATCAAGATGCAGACCCATTCCATCTCCGTATGGCTCCCTGCTACTATCCTACAGTCACGAGTGTTTTTCTCTGAGAGGGTCTTTATCAGGGAAAACTTTTTTTATTTTGAGGAGGCCAATGTATTAATATTTTTTTATGGATTGTGCTTTTGGTGTCAAGTCTGAAAGTTCTTTGCCTAGCCCTCCTTCCTATATTGCCAATTTTTCTAAAAGTCATAAAGTTTAATGCTTTACTAAATGTAACTCTACTATCTATTTTGTGTTATTTTTTGTATAAGGTATGAGATTTAGATCAACGTTCATTTTTTGTGGCTTGTAGTTGTCCAGTTGTTCCAAAGCCATTTTTGGAAATGTGGGCATATTGTTAAAAATTAATTGGGCATGTTTCTTTGCATCTTTCATTTGCTATTCTGTCCCATTGATCACTGTGTTTATTCCTCCATCAACAACAAACTGGTGACTCTAATACCTGTACAGTAACTCTTAGCATCATGTAGAGTGATTCTTCCCACTTTTATGGATGTATTTTTTTAGATTTGTTTTAGCTCTTCCTGGTCCTCTGCTTTTCCATAAAAATTCAGAATGAGTCTCTCAGTGTCTATAAATAAACATGCTGTTATTTTAACAAGAATTGAATTAAATGTATAGATCAATTTAGGGAAAGTCTTTATCTTCACTATGTTTGGTCTTTCAATTCATGAACATAGTATGCCTCTCCATTTCCTTAGATTTTCTCTGATTGCTTTTAGCAATTTGTAGTTTTCAGCATAGAGATCCTGTGCATGTTTTGTTGGATTTACAGCTAAAGTATTTCATTTTTGTTGGAGTGATTGTAAATGATATTATGTTTTTCTTGTATTTTCAGATATTGATTGTTGGTACATAGAAACATGCTTGGCTTTTGTTTGTTGATCTTGTATCATAGAACCTTGCCGAGCTGACTTAGTATTTCTAGAAGTCTTTTTGTATATTCTTGAGATTTTATACATTGACAATTATGTCACTTGAAAATAGAGACAATTCTTTTATTTCCTTTCCAATCTGTATGCCTTTTAATTCTTTTTCCCAGTATAATGTCAAATAAATGTGTTGAATTTTTGAATTGTTCCTAATATTAGGAAGGAAGCATTTGGTCTTTCATCATCAAGAATGATTTAGATGAAGTGGGTTTTTTTGTAGATTCTCTTTATCAAATGGAGGAATTTTCTCTCCCTAGTTTGCTGAATTTTTAACATAAAAGAGTACTGTAAGTACTCATTATAAAACAAAATATGGCTGTGGAAGATGAAAGAGAGTTTCAAGCATGCTGGCTTGATAGGCCAGATCCAAGCTGGCAAAAATAATTATCTCTTTCTTCTTTTTTTCTATCCATGGAATAAAAAATTAAGAGGAAAGAATGTTAATAGAATCGCATTATTTCTTCAAAATACGTTGTGAGTTTTAAAAGTATTACCTACCTTTTTTATTATACTTTTTTTAGGGTACATGTGCACAACGTGCAGGTTTGTTACATATGTATGCATGTGCCATGTTGGTGTGCTGTACTCATTAACTCATCATTTAACATTAGGTATAACTCCTAATGCTATCCTTCCCCCCTCTCCCCACCCCACAACAGGCCCCAGTGTGTGATGTTCCCCTTCCTGTGTCCATGTGTTCTCATTGTATATTTTTTTAAATCTACCACATCAAGGCACCTCTTTTTCATGTTGCCCATGGTTTAGGTGAACATAAAGACAGAGCTCGTCTGAGGCAACATACAGTCCAACAAAGCCACCTGCCTCTCTGTCTCCACTCTCTCTCTACACTGCACGCGTGCTAGGTGTTGATCCTGTCTATTCCAGTGGAAGAACAGGTTCCGTACCATGTGGAGAATTTGCATGTAAAAGGAGACTGGGATATACAGGCTGGAGACCACATCAGGTGGCTGGGCATGTGGGATAAATCCTATTGAGCATCTGTCATAGGGCCTGTCACTTAGTAGACAGTCACTAAATATTTGTTAAATACATGATGCCTGTTTAACACATTTTCTACAACCATGGAGACCTCCACAACTGATGTAGGACAAAATCTTTCTGCTTTGAACTCTAGCCTTTCGGGCCAGTGGGATTTATGAAAAATGCCATCTCTATAGCTGAGGATGAAGAATGGAAGAGAATACGATCATTGCTGTCTCCAACATTCACCAGCGGAAAACTCAAGGAGGTATGAAAATAACTTGGGTTTTAATTAGAAACTTAAAGAATGAATCAGGTGGGGACAGGTAGAAAGTAAGATCAGAGTTCCTTTCCGAGGAGTAGTCTGCTGAATTTGAGCTTCCTAAAAATAGTCTTTTTATGTACAGAAAACACATCATAAAATTCATTATACAATGTCACTTATTGTTCCATGCCAGGCAAAGTCATGTCCTTCTGGGACTTATGTCTGCACATTTAACTATGGGTGGTGTTGTGTTTTGTGCTTAGATGGTCCCTATCATTGCCCAGTATGGAGATGTGTTGGTGAGAAATCTGAGGCGGGAAGCAGAGACAGGCAAGCCTGTCACCTTGAAACAGTAAGTAGGAGCACAGCCATGGGGTTCTGAGCTGTCATGAGCCCCTCCAGCTGCCTGCTATGGAGCTGATACTCCCGCTGTTGGGTTATTCCAGTGACCAGACAAAAGGAGGGCTGTGGTAATGCAACTTCAATGGGTCTCCCAAGATGGGGCAGCTCCGATGAGGAGGTGGGGCAGCTGGAGGAAAAGGATCTTCTCCCCTGTGCACAGAGGTCAGGGTTTACATATCTGTTAAATTGTCACCTTGGATATTCTGGAGGACTAAATACATCCTTTAGGGGGAAAAGTGTGATTGTATCAAAGTTTTAAGCATGGAGTGTATGGGATGGTGGAAGGGGAAGGCACTTGGTATCTGTTGGTTGGCAGTGAGTAGGGTGGGAAAGTTATAATGGAGAACTTAGAATAACTTTGATCATTTCATGTTTTTTTTCTGAGGGTATCAGTAGAATACTAAATATTAAACATTCCCACCATTTCTTTTTCCTCCAGTCTCAAAGAGAGAGGGTGGTAAAAACGCTATAGGTGGGGCAAGCCTATTATTTGCTGTCTACACTTATGCAGGAACAACAGGTGTAATCTGAGCCTGTCCTGGGCAGACAGGGGATATGTGGTCACTCACTATAGAAGTTTCCAAATCAAATTTTGAGAGTTTTTTTTAACCAGGACATCATTTGTCATTATATTTTACAAAAATAATTCTGCCATCAGGGCAACCTCAGCTCACCACAGCTGGGGATAGTGGAATTTTCCAAAGCTTGAGCAGGGAGTATAGAGAATAAGGATGATATTTCTAGGAGCTCAGGACATGGTACTGTTGCTTTGTAAAGTGCTGAAGAGGAATCGGCTCTGGGCATAGAGTCTGTAGTCAGGCAATGTCACCTGTCTTGAGCCCCTTAGAAAGAGTGAATTTTTCTACTCTTGTTCTGCTGAAGCACAGTGCTTACCCATCTTGTATCATCCACAATTAACACATGCTACTGCAGTTGTCTGATAGTGGATCTCTGTCTTTCTATGACTAGGCTCCTTGACCTCAGAGGTAAGTCTAACTCAGTTGAGTGTCTCCATCACCCCCAGCGGAGAGCCAGCTGTGTCACTGACACCTGATAATCACCTTCTGAGGGAGTGTGATGGGAGATGCTCCAGTAAATAGTTCTGAAAGTCTGTGGCTGTTTGTCTGTCTTGACTGGACATGTGGATTTCCTGCTGCACGCATAGAGGAAGGATGGTAAAGAGGTGCTGATTTTAATTTTCCACATCTTTCTCCACTCAGCGTCTTTGGGGCCTACAGCATGGATGTGATCACTAGCACATCATTTGGAGTGAGCATCGACTCTCTCAACAATCCACAAGACCCCTTTGTGGAAAACACCAAGAAGCTTTTAAGATTTAATCCATTAGATCCATTCGTTCTCTCAATAAGTATGTGGACTACTATTTCCTTTTCTCTCCCTCTCTCTTAAAAATAACTGCTTTATTGAGATGTAAATCACCATGTAATTCATCCACTTAAAATGTACAGTTTAATGGTTTGTAGTACATTTGAAGATATGTACGACCATCACCATTGTAAACTTTAAAACACTTCTGTCATTCTAGAAACCTCATACATGTTTAGCTATCAACCCCCTGCCAGAAATCCTGTTGTCGTATATAACCACTAGTCAACTTTCTGCATCTATAGATTTGCCTATTCTGGACACTTCATAGAAATGATATTAATTTTTCAGGGTTTTTTTAATTCTCTAGTTCATGAATTTGTACTTTAGTCTGTATTATTTTCTTTCTTCTGCTGGCTTCAGGCTTAGTTTGCCCTTCTCCGTTTACTGTGTTGTGGCATGAATGTAGATTATTGATTTGTGGGTTTTTTTCCTCTAAATTTAGACATTACAACTATAAATTTCCCTCTGGGCACTTGTTTGCTAAATAACATGACATTCTGGCCTATCACATCTTAATTTTTGCTCAGCTCAAAACAGTTTCTATTTGCCCTTTTAATTTCTACTTCAACTTATTGGTTGCTTAAAAGTTTATTGTTTAACTTCCACGTATGTGTGAGTTTCCCAATTTTCGTTACCTTATTGATTTTAGCTTTATCCTATGATAGGTGACAGAGATACACTGTGTTATTTCTATCTGATTTCTTGAAGAGCATGATTAATTTAAGCAGCAAATTATGATTTGGGTTATCCTAAGAGACCCTAGCCCAATACATAAAGGCAAAGAGATTAGGGCATTGAATTTTGTTCCTTTCATCATTCAAAAGATGCAGAAGGGGCTGCTGATCTCACTGCTGTAGTGGTGGTCCCTATGCACAGACCTTCCCTTGCTCAGCCACTGGCCTGGAAGAGGGGCAAAAGTCATAGAAGGAATGGCTTCCAGTTGAGAACACTGATGTATTTCACTCTTCTGATTGGTAGAGAAAATTAGAATTGCTCCAGGTAAATTTTGTATGTTCACAATGGTTTCGTTTTCTGTTGGTTTTTTTTTTCTACAGAAGTCTTTCCATTCCTTACCCCAATTCTTGAAGCATTAAATATCACTGTGTTTCCAAGAAAAGTTATAAGTTTTCTAACAAAATCTGTAAAACAGATAAAAGAAGGTCGCCTCAAAGAGACACAAAAGGTAAAACGTGGTGGTAGTTATAGGAGGATGTTTAGTTTTCATAATTTTTTAGAAATATACATATGATCGGTGCACTTCCCTGTATGTTTTTAGAGAAAGATTTTAACATAAAGAGTACTTATGTTTAGAGCAAGATAATTCATTTGGTAGGAATGCAGAAAGTGGAGTTTGAGGAAGGAGATATGAGAATGAGTCAGAGAGAGCACTTAAAATTTGATATCAGGCACAAGAATTAGTATGCCATGACATAAATATTATTCAGATAAAACCTTATCACAGCACTTCCCTTCAATAAATTGTCAAAGGATAAACATTACTGTTTGGAAATACATTTTATTGGTATTATGCTTTCTCTAGATCATAGATTGGTAAAGAGTCATTTCAAGTACAAGGCTATTATTTTACACATTCTCCAACAAAAGGTCCTATCAGGCCACCTGCTGAAGTGTAGTGTGTGTTACATTTGAGCCCTCTGACAGCCTCGAGTGAACAGAGGTCTTCTCTGGGAATTGAGGCTGCAAGGCTGGCTAACTCAGCTTTGCCTTCATGAGCCCTGGAGTCCAGCCAAAAGATATCTGCAGGTCAGGGGGGCAAGAAGGGGTAACCCAGGTGTCACTGAAGATTGTACAGATTTGGGGAATGTTGCAGTATTTGAAAGTGCTCCCACCAAAGCTGCTGACAAGTTCTGGAAATGTCAGGAGAATAATCTTTGTGGACATTGGTGATGAAGAAGACAGAAGAATAAAAGGCCCAGGACTTCTTCATGGGTATGCAGTTAGGACCAGGGAAAAGACCAAAAAGCAATTGAACATTTTAGCCAGATTTGTTTCAGGAAAACATCCTGCTTTCCAAGGATTTAGATGGATATTCCTTTTCACTGGTGACTCAGGCAACACCCATCAGATTTCTGGTCTCCAAGGGGCTATATTCTCAGAAGGGAGGTTGAGGACTGCACTTCTGATTAACTTCTGACTTCACGAGTCACTTTCTGTCAATAAAATTTCTCTTTTTGCTTCTAGCACCGAGTGGATTTCCTTCAGCTGATGATTGACTCTCAGAATTCAAAAGACTCTGAGACCCACAAAGGTAACAAAAGAGTGCTTCTGAGGGCTACTGGTGGGGCACTCAGAGGGAAGGTTTTGTTCTGAAAATGTGCAGGAAGTATTCCAGGTAGATGAGAATTTCTGCCACATAGCAGAATGACACAGGTTTGGATGTTAAAATGGTAGCTGGAGGCAACTTCTAGAGGCATGCAGGCATAGATAGCCATGTTCTAAGCTTAAAGGGCAACCCTAAGGAAAACTGGCATGCCAGGAAGAGTCAGCAGTCTGTGGATC
Organism: Homo sapiens; assembly: GCF_000001405.40. NCBI lineage: Eukaryota > Metazoa > Chordata > Mammalia > Primates > Hominidae > Homo > Homo sapiens. The sequence goes on along the minus strand of NC_000007.14, from coordinate 99,713,217 downwards.
ACCTACATAAGATCAAATGCCAGTTCTCAGCCTCCTCCAGATCCACAGAATTAAAGTTTCTTCCTGGAAATTTATTAGGTTTCTGCAAAAATAATTGCAATTTTTGTGATTGCTTTCAATGGCAAAAACCGCAATTACTTTTGCAGCAACTTAATGCATCTAACACCTAATCAGGAGCCATGCTATCCAAATAAGGGCGATTTTAACTGGCAATTTTTGGTGAAAGTGTGTTCACCAGGTTAATCAACTATGAAGTTATTTTTTCCTTTGCAATGGATAAGTAACTTTTTGGAAAACCTCTGAGACTGTGTAAATATCCTTTGTCTTCAGTCTTTCACCTACCAGTTTTACAACCCATGTACGATTTTTACTGAAGTCATTGTTACTATGAGTGGCAAAATGATGGCCATGTTCAGTTTCAAGCCACCAAGATTTGGCAATCATGTCACAAAATTCCTGAATATTTAATCATTGGTTCTAGAGAGCAGGAGTAGGCTGACTTTGGCATACAGATTTAAATATGTCCATGTCTACATCTACTTCTGTCTGTCTGTCTATCTATCTATCATCTGTCCATCAATCATCTATTTATCTACTTACTGATTATCTAGCTATCATCTCTCTATCTATCCCAATACAACTTGCTGTGATAAAGGAAATAGCCTACTGTTTTAGTGTTTCATCTAGAAATCACTAGACACATATAGCTATTGAGCACTGCACATGTGGCTAGTGCCACTGATGAAAAATTTTAAGTTGTATTTAAGTTTAATTGAATAAAATTTGATTTTAAATAGCCACATGTCAATAGTGGCTACCACATTGGACAGCAGAGCTCTAAACTTTGAGATTATAGTTTGGTTTCACATCAGTATCATCAGGTTCATGGTAACAGAATACAATTATTAGATAGTTGAATTTACCCACAACTGCATCACAGAAATCTTCACTGGTAAATCACAGCTCTGTTGACATTTCTCACACTCCTTTCGTATTGGTTTTGGTGGTGAGTTACATGGTTGGAACAGGCACTATATTTATTTCTGTGTTCCCGGTCTCTAAATGTCCTAATCCAGTCCTGATCAAACAGACCAGTGATGGGCCATCCTGAGCTTCTCTCAGGAAAAAAATCAAGAGAGGGGCCAACTTGCAATCACAAGAGCTTATACCATTTTAATGCCATTCATCAGACTGCAATCAATCACCACTCATCTAGCTTTTTGTCCATCTTCAGTTGCTGTACATCCTGAGATAGTCAATTCTGAGACCTATAGCCTGGGTCTATTACCTGGTGCCTCTCAAAGATATAATCCATACTTCTCAACCTGGGCTATGCACACAAATTACCACATCTTGTGAAATTCAGACTTGAATCAGTAGTTCAATGGTGGGGTTTGAGATTTTGCATTTCTGTTTTTGTTGTTGTTGTTGTTGTTTTGTTTTGTTTTGAGACAGAGTTTTCGCTCTTGTTGCCCAGGCTGGAGTGCAATGGCATGATCTCAGCTCACCACAACCTCAGCCTCCCAGATTCAAGCGATTATTCTGCCTCAGCCTCCCAAGTAGCTGGGATTACAGGCATGCGTCACCATGCCTGGGTAATTTTGTATTTTTAGTAGAGAAGGGGTTTCTCCATGTTGGTTAGGCTGGTCTTGAACTCCTGACCTCGGGTGATCCACCCACCTTGGCCTCCCAAAGTGATGGGATTACAGGTGTGTGCCACCATGCCCAGCCTTTGCATTTCTAATAAGGTCACAGATGCTTATGATCCACGGACCACACTTTGAGTAGCAAGAGGTGGTCTGTATTCCAATATTGGTCTCTTAAGTTCCCTCAAACATATCTAAAGGAAAGGTCCTTTAATTTTCCATACATCTAGCCATTAATGTTGCAAATTCTCTCAAAGTTTGTCAAGGTATATTGTAGCTAAAATGAATTACATTTTTCTTGGGAGAGAAGACTACCCCATATTAATTTACAATAAAGTACTTTTAGGATCATTCAAGGAGCACACCATGACACTGAGTATGTTATGCAGAAATGTTCTCTCTGGAAATTACCCAGCTGTGAAGGTGGCAGGGATGGCACGAGGAGGAGCGGATGGTCTACGTTCTTGAAGACATTGGGGGAAAACTGGATTAAAATGATTTGCCTTGTTCTGGCTCTGTAAGACACACATCAGAGTGAAACCACCCCCAGTGAGACTCTGAATTGCTTTTCTATTTTTTCCCCTGGGGATTTGAAGGTTCCACTTAGATTTCTTTTCATCTAAACTGTGATGCCCTACATTGACCTGATTTACCTAAAATGTCTTTTCTCTCCTTTCAGCTCTGTCTGATCTGGAGCTCATGGCCCAATCAATTATCTTTATTTTTGCTGGCTATGAAACCACGAGCAGTGTTCTCTCCTTCATTATATATGAACTGGCCACTCACCCTGATGTCCAGCAGAAAGTGCAGAAGGAAATTGATACAGTTTTACCCAATAAGGTGAGTGGACAGTACATGGAGAAGGAGGGAGGAGGTGAAGCCTTAGCAAAGATGCTTCCTCACCACTTCCCAGGAGAATTTTTATAAAAAGCATAATCATGATTGTTTCATTCACAATATGTAGGAAGGCTCTCAAAATAAAAAGAAGGAAGCATAGGGAATGGTTGCTATTGGCAGAAGTATAAGATCTTTGTAAAACAGTCCTCTCCCTGGTTCATCTGCTTTCTGTTACCACAATAATGCTAAGTAAAAAAACATCCAAAAACCTCCCTGGCATTTAACAATATGCATATTGCTCACACGTCTTGATAGTGAGCTCTGCTGATATTGGCAGGACTTGCTCTGGTCTGGCTGTGATCTGATGGAGCCTGGCCCTGGGTGCGCTGTGCAGGTTGACTCAGCTCTGCCCCACATGTGTCTCATGTTTCAGTCAGGTAACCACTGGTGAAGAAGCAAGCTAGGAACCAGGGTATCTGACTTCTGAGCTAAACTCTTAAACTCTATAATATTGCCTTTCAAATATAACACTAAGTACTAGGTGCCTATCAACCACACTGTTTTCAGACCTCTGCCAAAACTTGGATTCTTTGTGCTATGAAGAGACATGGCTTTTGGGCTGGTCTTTGTGTGGCAGTGAGGTGAGCACAAAGGGATGTTCTTCAGAGATTACAGTCCAGCCCTGAAGCAACAACTAGGAGACTGTTTCAGCAAGTGAGGACAGGGCTGTGTGGGGTTCTATCCTTTTCATAACTTTGCCTGGCACTGAAATCACATGCTCTGATAACATCCACCAGAACTTTCTTTTGTCATATTTGGGATAGAAAGGGACTAGTTTTTCCTCAAATTATTGATAGAGATTTTATATAATATAGTGTTTCTCTCCACATTTTATGTATATAACAAAAGCCCTGCTTTTGTGTATATATGCATATATATATATATACACACACACACACATATATATAATACAAATCCTGCTTTGTAACTGTTTTTGTTTGTATATATAACAAAAAGAGTTATGAACCAGAAGTTTGGCCAATAATCCTTGTCGCACAGAGAATTTGCTTTTTCTATCTGTTTTCACTTCCTTGGTTACAGACGTGTAACCTCTTTTTTGAATGGTGACAATCACTTTGTCATATTTTATTTGATGCTAGTGGTCATAGCCTATTAGTCATGTTTGCTTCCATGAGAAAGAAAAACCACTACATGGTTATGCTAAGGATTTCAGTCATTGGGGTTAGAGCCTTCCCGAATGTCTCCTGCTTTCATAACTCCTCCACACATCTTAGTGGGCCATTGAGCACATCAAAGGGCATGACAGTTATTAAAATACTTTATGAATGCTACAATCCTTTGCCAGTATGAGTTGTTCTCTGGAACTTCTAACAGTTCAACAGTACTACATGGACTGAGTTAAAAGTTAATTCAAAAATCTCAATTTATCCAAATCTGTTTCTTTCTTTTCAGGCACCACCCACCTATGATACTGTGCTACAGTTGGAGTATCTTGACATGGTGGTGAATGAAACACTCAGATTATTCCCAGTTGCTATGAGACTTGAGAGGGTCTGCAAAAAAGATGTTGAAATCAATGGGATGTTTATTCCCAAAGGGGTGGTGGTGATGATTCCAAGCTATGTTCTTCATCATGACCCAAAGTACTGGACAGAGCCTGAGAAGTTCCTCCCTGAAAGGTAGGAGGCCCCTGGGAAGGGAGCCCTCCCTGAACCAGCCTGGTTCAAGCATATTCTGCCTCTCTACAGGACAGTCTGGGCTTGTACAATCGTTTGCTTGTCTTTTTATGTTTAAAAGGTTTTTTCAAATCATGAAATTGATCATTGTCACACTTTACAAACCACAGACTAGATAAAAGAAAACTATAGCCAGTCACAGTCCCAGCAACTTAAGATGAAGGTCCTCAATTATGTCCTTATGGGTCATAAGTGTCCAAAATGTAAGGACTCTTTTAAAAACACATGATCACAATGCTATTATTATGTCCCACAAATGAATATTTTTTCCTGAATATACTCAAATCTTCAGGAATCAAATTTGAATAAAAAACATGCGTCTAATCTTCAAAGAATTTATAGGTTAGTGCAACAGATAGACAAAGAAAGCAGTGATGACACTGCTTTCCATCAATACAGTAGCATCATATGCCTGTGTAAATTATCTGACTTAAACTATTCTATGGAGGTGTGGGGGAGAAAGAAGGAGAGATGGAGATTAGAAGAAGGAGGAGAAGGAGGAGAGAAGGAGGGGTAAGACAAGGTAGGGAGGAGAAGGAGGAGAATTAGAAAAACAAGAGACGAGAGGAGAAGGAAAGTGCAAAATAACAATTTTGAAGTAGTGCAAGACAATTTCTTCTCCTTCCTCATGACCAACATAAGGGTGACTTGAGGCAGGAATCTACTTTTCTGTCAGTCATTCTCATCACTTATGTGCCTTTTGTAGTGTGAACACATCACCATCCTGACTATAATTTGAGTGTTTAGAAATAAATATACTTTGCAACAGTATTTATCTCCTCTCAACAAGACTGAAAGCTCCTATAATGTAAGGAGAGTAGAAAGGATCTGTACCTTACAATTCTCATAGCAAAATATGCATAGCAGGATTTCAGTGACTAGCCCACAAAAGTATCCTGTGTACTGCTAGTAGAGGGGTGGGCCCTAAGTAAGAAACCCTAACATGTAACTCTTAGAGGTATTATGTCTTTAACTTTTAAAATATCTACCAATATGGAACCAGGTTCAGTAAAAAGAACAAGGACAACATAGATCCTTACATATACACACCCTTTGGAAGTGGACCCAGAAACTGCATTGGCATGAGGTTTGCTCTCGTGAACATGAAACTTGCTCTAGTCAGAGTCCTTCAGAACTTCTCCTTCAAACCTTGTAAAGAAACACAGGTCAGTCAATTTTCTGCATTAATAATGTTTTATTAACAATTATTTTAACTGAATGGTCTATATATTTAAAAAAGAATACACTCACTTAATCTTTTAATAATTTGTTCTATGGGCCAAGGAATCTATTTGGACCCATCTATGATCTTTAAGGGTGCTTCAGTTCTGGAGTTCAAAAGCTGTAGCATTAAAAACATCATGCAATGTCAATGTAGACTAGCATGACATGATTATCTACAGTCTCCTTGAACTTGAGCAAAATTAAATTCAGTTTCAAGTCAATTGGAAAGATGGGGAAGTATTTTGCACAATCATGAGGTGCACTTATTATCTTGTTTTGACTTTTGAATGATGCTCTTCCTTCCCAGAACTTGTAGAAGTTTTCTCATGACAGTGGCTCCCAACCACTAGCTGTACATTGGAATCACCAGGGAGCTTTAAAAATTCATGATGCCTGGAACATCTCAGAAATTCTAAACTAATTTGCCCAGAGTGTGGCTTTAAAAGCTCCCCCATTGCTTCTCATGTGAAGCCAAGGTGGAAAATGACTAATTTAAGGTAGTTCTATTGGATACGAAGGACTACCACAGTCCAAGGCCATCCTTACTGACCTCACCTTCCAGGTGCCTAGCTCCAACCAACTGGGCTCCTTTTCAACTCAATTATAACTCTGCTAATCTTCTTTCCTTTCTTCTCCTCATTCTGTTCTTATCTTTCAAGTCCTAGTTCAATTCCCAAGCCCCTCCAAGGTGTCTTCTTGACCTAGTCCAGGGCTCATTTACTCCTCTGCTCTGTTATTAGTTACTGGAGGCTATTATCATATAATTTCATAATTTGCCATTAAATCATTGAGTTTTGTTCTCTATATTTTCTCTTTATCTAAGAATGTCTTCCCCCCTCCATTAACAATATCTTCTCATTTTATTCCATTTAAAATATCCCAGTGGTGCCTTGCAAGTGACCTCATCTAACTCAAGCATTTGGTCATTTGGTAAATGTTTAAGGAGTGATATGCAGTCGATTGGTTTGCATACAAATATTAAGTTTTTTAATGTGAACATTTAGCAAATGACATTCATGTATTTGCATGTGTGTGTGCTTGCACATGTGCACATGCATGTCTGTCTGCAGGGAAAATATATTCATGCCTTTTGAAAATTTTTAAATAATGTGTTATATTTATAGAAAGATTTGGAACCTTTTCTCTGAAGAAGTTAAAGAACAGATGTCATTGATTCATATTAAGCAAGACCCTATAAATCTTATTTCTAGGTCTCATGTATTTATTAAGCAACTCCACACCTTAAGCAGGCTTTCTACATAGAAGAGGAAGAAGATAGAGATGGTTTCCATATTATTTTCATATTCCACATTATTTGTGGCTTTAGGCCAGCTATGTAGCTATCCTGTATGTGTGCTCAGACAGGAGACTCAGCCCTGAGAGAAGGCGGTCCTCTGGCACACCTAGGATGGGGAAGGTACTCCCTTGGAAGTCCCAAGCTGGCACTTCTGGATCTCCATGGCAATTTTCTTGCCCATCACTCCATGGAGATCAGAATATCACTCTATTGTGTCCCCTCAACACTGAAGGAGTGTCTCAATAAGAAAAGTTGAGTCAAAACACTGTAGGAATTGAGAGGTTCCCCACTTGCACTACCCTTGTAAACCAAGAGAAGATGTTAAAAAATAAAACGATAATGCTTCCTGAAGGTGTCTTCCCATCTTTACACTAGATGGGTTCAATTGAGAGGAATTACTGGACTGTGGAAGTTGAAGACTGTCCACATAATTAAAATGTACAATAGCTACTCAGGATTACCTTGCAAGTTTCAACATACACAAAATTAACTTCATAAGATGGTTTAAAAAGTTTACCGTTATACCTAATAATCTGGTTTAAATTTTTAAAACTCATCCATTTTCGTTAAAATTTAAATCAAAAAAGAACACGGGTTCCCATGAATTTGTCTCAGGTCAAACCTCACACAGAATAGGTGCTCCATGAATATTTTGTTAAATGATAGATGATGAATGTTCTCACTATCCAATCTTCACACATCTTATAGAGTAAGTATAACGAATCCAAGATTTATAGTGCTGAAAGTAGTTTTTATATGTTTACAAAGCATTATTGTCAGTAATTTTTTTTTACTTTGATGCTATACTTTCTACTTTTGCTTTATTTAATGCTTCTCAATATGCTCGTTTAACTGTTGCAGATCCCCCTGAAATTACGCTTTGGAGGACTTCTTCTAACAGAAAAACCCATTGTTCTAAAGGCTGAGTCAAGGGATGAGACCGTAAGTGGAGCCTGATTTCCCTAAGGACTTCTGGTTTGCTCTTTAAGAAAGCTGTGCCCCAGAACACCAGAGACCTCAAATTACTTTACAAATAGAACCCTGAAATGAAGACGGGCTTCATCCAATGTGCTGCATAAATAATCAGGGATTCTGTACGTGCATTGTGCTCTCTCATGGTCTGTATAGAGTGTTATACTTGGTAATATAGAGGAGATGACCAAATCAGTGCTGGGGAAGTAGATTTGGCTTCTCTGCTTCTCATAGGACTATCTCCACCACCCCCAGTTAGCACCATTAACTCCTCCTGAGCTCTGATAACATAATTAACATTTCTCAATAATTTCAACCACAATCATTAATAAAAATAGGAATTATTTTGATGGCTCTAACAGTGACATTTATATCATGTGTTATATCTGTAGTATTCTATAGTAAGCTTTATATTAAGCAAATCAATAAAAACCTCTTTACAAAAGTATTATTGGATGTTTCCTGCACATTAAGGAGAAATCTATAGAACTGAATGACTGAGAACCAACAACTAAATATTTTGATCATTGTAATCACTGTTGGTGTGGGAACTGGAGTGCAGTGGTGCAATCTTGGCTCACTGCGAGCTCTGCCTCCCAGGTTCACGCCATTCTCCTGCCTCAACCTCCTGAGTAGCTGGGATTACAGGTGCCTGCCACCACGCCCGGCTAATTTTTCTATTTTTAGTACAGACGGAGTTTCACTGTGTTAGCCAGGATGCTCTCGATCTCCTGACCTTATGATCCACCTGCCTGGGCCTCCCAAAGTGCTGGGATTACAGGCATGAGCCACGGTGCCCAGCCCAATTTGATTATTAACATAGGTGAGAGTTAACCCACTATGACTTTGCCCATTGTTTAGAAAGAATATTCATAGTTTAATTATGACATTTTTGATGAGACACAGTGGCTCACACCTGTAATCCCAGCACTTTGGGAGGCCAAGGCAGGCAGATCATCTGAGGCCAGGAGTTCAAGACCAGCCTGACCAACATAGTGAAGCCCCCTTTCTACTAAAAATACAAAAATTAGCTAGGTATGGTGGCACACGCCTGTAATCTCAGCTACCCAGGAGGCTGAGGCAGGGGAATTGCTTGAACCTGGGAGGTGGAGGCTGCAGTGAGCCAAGATCATGCCACTGAACTCCAGCCTGAGTGACAGAGTGAGACTGCATCTAAAAAATAAAATTATGCCTTTTTGTAGCACATATATTTTGTAACATACAACTGAAGCCAGTATTATATTATTAGTTTTCATTTAATGTTTTCAGCCCATCTCCCCTGATATTTCTGGGAGACAGGAAATATGTTTTCTTACACCTCTTGCATTCCATCCTCAACTCCCAACTGTCTAAATGCAATGAACATTTAATAAAAAAAACAGTTGATTGGTCAATTGATTGGACAACAAGGCTGAAACTACTCATTTCTTTTCTTTTCCTATTTCTTCCTTTATTTTCCCTTTCTGAATAATTTAGCCCTAGAGCCATTAGGTGGGTGGCAGCCAGATGGTGGCCACACATTAAGGTAGAGAAGAGAGTCATGGTGGTTCCAAGTCAGAGACCAAGTAGGATGAGGACAAACTGGGTGTTCATGTGGAAACAGCCTGCCTGGGTGTGGGAGTCCAAGCAAGCAGAGAAGGGGTTCATAGAGAGGTGTGGCCTACAAGAGCAGCCAGAGCCTAAATAGAGCATGGAGAACCCATGTGAGGTCAGGAGGGCATCCATGAGTGGGAAGTGATGGGTGAGGTTTGGTTACATAAAGGGGATTTATCAAAGAAGTAAATATATTAAGGATGATAGAAGCCAGGCTTCTCATCTTTGAAGAACGGAGTCATGGATTCAGAAAGGGAGAAAACTAGCATGAATCCTATGAAATTAGATTGGAATGGATGTATTCGTGTATATTCATACCCTTCTAGATGGATAGATGGGTAGATAGGTGATAGATAACAGATATACGATAGATATATAGATAGATGAAATGTATACATGTGTTTGTGTGTGTGTACAAAAAAAACCATATATTTCCTACTTCTCTTCACTGATAGGTCTAGGTAACAATGACATTTCAATAGCAATGAGCACACTTAGCGCCCAAGTCTTGGCTTATGAATACCATATTCCATGGAAAGGAACCAGAGCTCTTTAGAGAAATGCCTGATTCCAGGGCCAGGGTTAAGAAGGTTCAAGACAAGCCTAGGACACATTTTGTGCCAGGAAGCAAGAAAATGTTCAAATGATTTCCAAGTAATGTTTGGAAATGATATTTGAAAAAGACCCTCCAAATGATAACTCCAAATTATTTTCAAATGATATTTGCAAAAACCTAAAGACTCCACCAAGGAACTACTAGAACTGATAAAATATTCAGTAAAGTTGCAGTTGCAGGATACAAAATCAACATACAAAAATTAGTAGCATTTCTATATGCCAATAGTGAACAATTTGGCAAAAATAAAAAAGTAATCCCATTTACAATAGCCACAAATAAAACTAAATACCTAAGAATTAACTTAATCAAAGAAGAGAGAGATCTCTATAATGAATACTGTAAAACACTGATGAAGGAAATTGAAGAAGACACAAAAACAGAAGGATATTCCATGTTTACATATTGTAAGAATCAATATTGTTAAAACTGTCCACACTACCCAAAGCAATGTACAGATTCAATGCAATCCCTCAAAATACCAATTACATTCTTCAAAGAAATAGAGGAAAAAATTCTAACATTTCTATAGAACCACAAAATACCCAGAATAGCCAAAGCTATCTTCAGCAAAAAGAACAAAACTGGAGAAATCTTATTACCTGACTTCAAATTATACTACAGGGGTATAATAACCAAAACAGTATGGTGTTTGTATAAAAACAGACACATTGACCAATGAAATAGAATAGAGCACCCAGAAACAAGTCCACACACCTGGAGTGAACTCATTTTTGACAATGTTTTCAAGAACATACACTGGGGAAAAGACGGTCTCCTCTGGTGCTGGGAAAGCTGGATATCAATATGCAGAAGAATGAAACTAGACCCCTATATCTCACCAGACACAAAAATCAAATCAAGGTGGATGAAAGACTGAAATCTGGCCAAACACGGTGGCTCATGCCTGTGATCCCAGCACTTTGAGAGGCTGAGGCAGACAGATCACTTGAGGTCAGGAGTTCAAGACCAGCCTGGCCAATAAGGTGAAACCCTATCTCTACCAAAAAATACAAAAGTTAGCTGGGCATGGTGGTGCATGCCTGTAGTCCCAGCTACTCAGGAGGCTGAGGTGGGAGAATCACTTGGACCCATGAGGCATAGGTGGCAGTGAGCCAAGATCATACCAATGCATGCCAGCCTGGGCAACAGAGTAAGACTCTGGTTCCAAAAAAAAAAAAAAAGACTGAAATCTAAGATCTCAAATGATGAAACTGCTACAGGAAACATTGTGGAAACTCTTCAGGACATTGGTCTGAACAAAAAATGCTGAAGTAATACCCCACAAGCACAGGCAACCAATGCAAAAATGGACAAATGGAATCACATCAAGTTAAAAAGTTTCTGTGCTGCAAAGAAAGCAATCAACAAAGTGAAGACGCAAACCACAGAATGGGAGAAAATATTTTCAAACACTCTGACAACAGATTAACATCCAGAATATACACAGAGCACAAACAACTCTTTGGAAAAAATTCAATAATCCTAATAATCAAAAAATGGGCAAAATATTTATACAGACATTTCTCAAAAGAAGAAATACAAATGCCACATAGTTATATGAAAATGTGCTCAACATCATTGATCATCAGAGAAATGCAAATCAAAACTACAATGTCATCTCTCCCCAGCTAAAATGGTTTTAATCCAAAAGACAGGCAATAACAAATGCCAGTGAGAATGTGGAGAAAAGGGAATTCTCGTACACTGTTGGTGTAAATTATTACAACCACTATAGAGAACAGTTTGGAGGTTCCTCAAAACATTAAAATGGACCTATCATAAGATCCAGAAATCCCGGTGCTGGGTATAAACCAGGAAGAAAGGAAATCCATATATTGAAGAGATATCTTCATTCCCATGTTCCCAATAGCTGCTATTCACAAATGCCAAGATTTGGAAGCAACCTACATGTCCATCAACAGATGAATGGGTAAAGAGAGTACTTCACTTATGCACAATGGAGTACAATTCAGCCATGAAAAAAGCATGAGATCCTGTCCTTTATAATAACGTGGCTGGAACTGCAGGTCATTATGTTAGGTAAAATAAGCCAGGCACACAAAGACAGACATTGCATGTTCTCACTTATTTGTGGGATCTACAAATCAAAACAATTGAGCTAATGTCTGGGTCTTAGTCAATTTTGTACCCTAAGTACAGGGAGCACAGCCATTAGAATACATGATGAATGCTTTAATACAGGAATGAATAGGTGAGAGGCACAGGGTGGTTGGGTGTTCTTCTGATACATAGTATCTTCCTTGACACATTCAGTACAACTCTCAACAGGTAAGTCTCTTCATGTATGTTACCTTCTGAGGAATTAAGTGGCAGAACATGCCTTCTATTATTTTCCTTTGCAGAACAAGACCAATTGCATTAGTTGGGAAACAGTGCTGGCTGCATCTGAGCCCCAAGCAACCATTAGTCTATTGCTATCACCACAGACTCAGAGGGGATGACACACAGGGGCCCAGCAATCTCACCCAAGTCAACTCCACCAACATTTCTGGTCACCCACCATGTGTACAGTACCCTGCTAGGGTCCAGGGTCATGAAAGTAAATAATACCAGACTGTGCCCTTGAGGAACTCACCTCTGCTAAGGGAAACAGGCACAGAAACCCACAAGGGTGGTAGAGAGGAAATAGGACAATAGGACTGTGTGAGGGGGATAGGAGGCACCCAGAGGAGGAAATGGTTACATCTGTGTGAGGAGGTTGGTAAGGAAAGACTTTAACAGAAGGGGTCTGTCTGGCTGGGCGTGCAAGGATGTGTAGGAGTCATCTAGGGGGCACAAGTACACTCCAGGCAGAGGGAATTGCATGGGTAAAGATCTGCAGTTGTGGCTTGTGGGGATGGATTTCAAGTATTCTGGAATGAAGACAGCCATGGAAACAAGGGCAGGTGAGAGGATATTTAAGAGGCTTCATGCCAATGGCTCCACTTCAGTTTCTGATAAGAACTCAGGTTCCGTGGACTCCCTGATAAAACTGATTAAGTTGTTTATGATTCCCCATAGAATATGAACTCAAAGGAGGTAAGCAAAGGGGTGTGTGCGATTCTTTGCTACTGGCTGCAGCTGCAGCCCCGCCTCCTTCTCCAGCACATAAACATTTCAGCAGCTTGACCTAAGACTGCTGTGCAGGGCAGGGATGCTCCAGGCAGACAGCCCAGCAAACAACAGCACACAGCTGAAAGTAAGACTCAGAGGAGACAGTTGAAGAAGGCAAGTGGCGATGGACCTCATCCCAAATTTGGCGGTGGAAACCTGGCTTCTCCTGGCTGTCAGCCTTGTGCTCCTCTATCTGTCAGTAACTGTCCAGATTCCTCTCCTCTGTTAACTTGGACTTGGGGTGCTACTCAGGCCCCTGTTCCCTCATCTGTTTTAAAGATCAAAAGAGATGTTCAAGGAGGAGTAGCTTCTTGGATGCTACAAACACATAGAGGTTATTATTGATCTTATGCAGATTTATGAAGAAATAAATAAGCATTTGTCCCAGCCACCTTCTAATTTTGGTGACTAGGAGGGTTTGGGGACAGCATTTGTTAGTGGGAATGATTTGATTAGCTTAGATTTGACCTATACTAATCAATGAAAATGAAAACCCAGCAAAGGCAGATTACAAACTGCTGAACAAGACGAGAAGTGTGATCCTCATCCCCTTCCCAGGTTCTCGGGATTCTGGGGGCAGGAGGGAGCAGCTTGGGTTTTTGTCTCATTACCTTCATTTTCTGGGTTCTCTGTCTGCTGGAAGAGATGTGTAGAAGTTTTTCCTCTGTGGACCTGGTGGTTCCTGCTCCCCTAACTTCCACCCCAGGATATCATTTACATAACACACCGGGGAACACCAAGACTTCACGGGAAGCTGTCCCCCGGCTCTTCCCTCTTTCCTGTGCCATGTCCCAAAACATCCCCTCCCTCCTATGACTCACTCCTCCACCCTGTCATACACAGAACTATTTACCTTGCAATGATTAATCTCCAGAGCAAAGGAGACTTGGAGGAAGTTTTGAAGATTTATTCTTTGCTTTAATCTTTTTCCTCCCGTCTCTGGGAGGCTAGCATTAATATAGAGCTTTGTTTCTCAGCTAATGGGAATCTGCTAGCAGCCTGAAAAGGCAGGAGCTGTGAAAGCCAATTTGGATTTTACACATTTTTTCCCCTTTGTGTTACAGTAAAGGAGGATGAACCCTCTCACTGGTGGGATTCCTGGCATCCTAGAGCAGGTGGAGAGAAGAGTTACTTTCCACTGTGGTTAGTGGAGGCTCCACCTGTCCCATTAACTTCTACCTCAATTTGACTTTTAAGAGCAGGCAACAACAATGACATGAAAATAGGAAATATAAACTTCATTTTAATTTTTTCACAGAAAGCTTAGGAATTCAGTGAGTTGTGGCAACATGGTTTCCATTGTCTAACATTTTAAAATGAATTGATATGGTTTAAATTCATTCATTTTTAAATCAGAATTTTTTGGAGATGGAATATTTCCAGCATGTTCCTTCTGGATGATGAAAGAGGGCTGTTAGTTCAGTATTTGTGACAATAAATGTGTGTAAAATAACATCACCTCTCCAGAATAATGTCAGGAATATGAGTCTAAAGCATGAATGTATATCGCTAAGACAAGACTGCGATATACATATTTATGTATATCTTTTTATATTTAAAAAGATATGTCTTTTTAAATATACATGCCTGACAGTTTATTTTAATACCTCCTTTTTGAATATACCTGCTTAGCAGGTTATCTTAAACTGTCAGGCAGGGGAGTAAGCAATACTGTGAGCTAGTGATGATAGCAAAGGCATCCACGTAGGATCCGTATGAAGTAAGAAAATATTCCTCAGCTCTCAGGGTAGAACTCCAAAGAGATATTCATGGGTCCTGGCCCCACAGTGGAGGTCACTCAAAAGGCAAACAGGTTGGCATCTCATCTGCTTCAAGCCTGGACACAGGGACATCAAATGTGTCACTGTGTGCGTGGTCTGCCATGTTGTGGGGCGGTCACTACAGACTCGGGCAGCCAGGCAGACAATGCCTTAGCCTTAGACAATGCTGGTGCAGCCCAGGAGTCAGAAACTGTAGTGTAGACCATGCCCTCCTTAGGCCAACACAATTACGTGCAATAGATGACTGGCTTTTCTGTTAGCCTCTTCATTGGAACCAAAAGTGGTATTACTCTACCAGAGGGGAGCTAGAAAGAAACTAAACAGTTTGCCCAGCACAGCCTCTGCCTTGACATGGAACCATGTGAGTCTAGACACTCACCTAGATCTTTCCTTGGGGGACAGTGCTGCTGACAGATTAACTCAATAGTTTGTCCTGACCTGAGAGATCACGTAACTTCTAGAAAGTGTAGAAGCAGAGATTAGTGTCATTGATTTGCCATAGCTGTGACAATAAAAGAAGGAACAGGAGTAGAAAACCCAAGGCCACCCTGGTTTCAGTAGATGGTGCACACATTTCCACTAACTATTCTGGGGCAAGGATCCAAATGCACTATATGCTGCCTCTGCTGGGATCTCCAAACACGACCCTCCATGCCATTTCTCAGTTGTATTTTACCACATATTATCAGAGTCACTGGATTTGTACAGAATGTTTGGAACCTATACTGCCTTAAGTGCTACCCATTATAGAAGAGAAAACAAGGTCTTCATTCAACTGTCTGGAACATTTTATGTTTACTTATGTGGAATACTGTACCTTTTGCTATCAACAGGAAGGTACCTGGACATTAGAAGGTGCCTGTCTTTCAGCTGAAAGCACACATGACGCATATGGATCCATTTATATACACCATACTTTTCAGCCACATTTTCCTAATTTGCCTCTCTGGGACCAACCTTGTGGGACTAGCAGATTCACGGTTGAGTTGATGGCTGGTGATGTCTGCCATCAGCCTTTCTTCTTCCTCCAGTCTTCCACCCCTCAGTAACATCAGACTGGGAAGGTCTTCAGATATCCAGAACCCTCAGTTGGGGGAGTCCATACATGACCCATCAAAGATGAGTTGCAAGCAGGCCTGCCATAGGGAGCAGCAGCCTTAATGGGTTTTCCTACAGAGATACTTGATGTGCAGAGGCAATAAACTGACTGCTTTGTGATTGATCACCTTGAAAAAAGTGAGCATATCTGGGTGTATTAGTCCTTTCCTACATCGCTGTAAAGAAATACCTGAGGCTGGGTAATTTATAAATAAAAGAGATTTAATTGGCTCATGGTTCTACAGGCCCTACAGGAAGCATAGCGACTTCTGCCTCTAGGGAGCCCTCAGGAAATGTTCAATCATGGCAGAGGGTGAAGGAGAAGTAGGCAGATATTACATGGCTGGAGCAGAAGCAAGAGAGGGTGGGGAGGAGGTGCCACACACTTATAAGCCACCACATCTCATAAAAACTCATTGTCACGAGGAAACACCCAAAGGGGGTTGGTGTGAAACCAGGAGAAACTGCCCCTAAGATACAATCGCCTTCCATCAGGCCCCACCACCAGCATTGGGGATTACATTTCCACATGAGATTTGCGTAGGGGCAGATTCAGACCATATCACTGGCAGTGTGCTTATTATCAGGTGAATACCACCAGTTGGAAGGCTAGATTCCACAAGAGGAGGAATGTCCTGGAAATTGGTTTTTTAAGTTGTGGATCTTCTGCACACTGTCATTCAGGGAAATATGAGTTAATCATCCTCCCCAATAGCGCAAATCAACCAGATCATCTGGCCACAGAGACTGAGGTGTAGCTGAAAGGTGCTTGCATTTCTACGAGGCCAATGGAAGCCTTCAGCACAGTTGTCAATCTGTAGAAATAAGGACTCTGTGACTCCTCTGACACCCCTCTATGAATGACAGTTTAAGAAGGGCCAGATCCTAAAATAGGGTCAGAGCTTAGAGGGAAAGGAAAGTATAAAAGACTCTTCACAAATTCTAAAGACATGGTCACCATAGGCTCTCAGTGACCCTCTGTGACTGAGTGGATGCAGTGATGCAAAATCTCATCATCACTGCAGAAGAGAAAAAAAAAAAAAGTCACCCTTTCTGCCTAGGATGAGAATCCCCAAATCAGGGAAGAGTCCACTTACTAAATAGACATAAGGAAATGAAGTGCCCTGGAAGAATTCCTTCCTGAACCTCTGAGGAGCACTCACGTTTGAGGACATTTATCAAGTATTCATTCCAGGATTGGGACCATAAAGACTTCTGCTGCTTTCGACTAATCATTGTGACTTTTTGGTGTCTCATGGTGGAGACGGGAAAGGACTTGATGTACAAATATAATCATTGCTGTCAGAGTTACTGTTATCATTTATTGCCTTAATGTTACCTCCTTCTCTTGAGCATTCCAGTTCCTCAGTCAGTGACTTACCAGCCCCCATATCTATAAAGTCACAATCCCTGAGACCTGATTTCTGATTCAGTTTGTAGATATGGAGCCCATTCACATGGACTTTTTAAGAAGCTTGGCATTCCAGGGCCCACACCTCTGCTTTTTTTGGGAACTACTTTGTCCTACCATCAGGTGAGTGTTTTTGAGCTCACTCTTTGGCTTCTTATGATTGGAGAGAGCAGCTTAGTTCCATCAGTAAAACTGCTTCTCCTCAGGAGGAAGGTCTGAGGTTTTACACTTTCAGAAACAGTGTATAGGCATCATCCAGAGCATGGCAAGGTTTACCCCGGGACTCTCTTGCTAACTCTCAGGAACCTCAGGTTTGCCTCAGTTGAACAGTCCAAATCTCAGGTATATCGGCAACCTGATGTTCAGAACTTGATGTGCAGACTTTGTGAGCACCATAAAGAACATTTTTCTTTTGCCCCATGTAGGTTCCCAGGAAGGTACAGTCATATTTAGTTAGTATTAAGAGTAGGAAAAGGAGCCCCCATTTGTGGCTTGCTATCTGTGTACATGAGAGTCAAACTTTCCTCTCTATAGCAAGAGCTCAGGAGTAGCCTTTTTCCCCTACCTCCTGGACAGCTTTGAAACTCACTTTATTAGGGAGCTCAAGTATTTACCATTGGGTCATTCGCACTTGCTTGAATCCTCTCCAAAAAATGCTAAATCCCCTGAAGGTATTTCCATGGCTCTACCCCAGCTCTTACTCCCCATGACATCTTTTGCAGCTTTGGGAGTCAGAGCAAAGGTGTTCTGCTTTACTTCTTTTATTTCAAAGGCTGCACCTTATGGGTGAGTCTGAGCAGGGAGTGGATATAACTGAGATGAGATAGTGGTTATCTATCAAACTCAGATATTTAAGCATAAAATGAATTTGTGGTTTTTTTTTTAAACAAAGGCAGAATCATATGCAAAATCACTAGAAAGGTGATAATTTGATGAAATTATTAAATATTTAATTTTGCTGAATAAAATGTCATATGTGCCACATGGACTGTGAACTTTGGTCGAGCCTTTGTGCCTAACCTGGTCTGATGCTCTGTCTAGGGCCTGGCCTCTGGATGGAAAATTATGAGCTTATCTCCACAGGGCCAGCAGCAGCAGTAGTCAGCTCTGTGGCTTAGATCATCTTTCCCGCATACCTGAGGCTTGTTTCCCTGATTCCAATTCTTCCAAGTGAGGGTTTTGTTGTCTAATTACTGCCCAGGAATTTCATATTTTTCCCTTTGCAAAAGCAATAATTTCCCCGCCACCTTTTCTAGGTCAGTTCTTTAGTAGATGTACCCCCCAAGATAAACATTCCTGGGATCTTTGTTTGCACAGGTAAAACATCAACCCTGAAATGTAGAAAACAGGAAAGTTTGTTTTTCAGTTTCAGTGAAAACGCTGAGCAAGTGTTGTAATTTGCTGTGTCCAATGTGTAGAGGGGACATTTTCTCAGAACTTCCATGTTAAGCTGGAAAACTGGAAAGTGAGTCCACTTTGTCATTCTGTCACTCACTCCTTTTCTCACTCAACAACATGCCTCAGACTTATCTAAATCTGCTAGACTAAAAGAGGTCCCTGATGTCTGTAACTTCCTAATTCTGCTAGAATTCTAGAGCGAGCTGATGAAATAAATGAAAAGGATGATGAACAGAGATAAAAGACTGTGCATTCCCTTCTGACACTCACTCTCTTTCCCTCAGCCTCAGTTTCCCCATGTGCCCCTGGAGGTGATCATTCAAGGATTTATGAGATTTTAGAGACAATACATGAAAAAGCAAAAAGGCATCAGAAAGACAAGGAGTTACCTAGTTTACACACAATGATAAGTCATTCAGTATCTACAGCACTTTGAGAAAATTCAAGAGTGATTTTAAATTTCCCATTTCAAATACCTCCTCTGTTTTCTCTCCTTTCCCTTATGATGTCTCCAAATAAGATTCCTCTAACTGCCAGCAAGTCTGATTTCATTGGATTCAACTGTTTTCAGCCCCAATTAGACGCAGGGTTAAGTATATTTGAAATATTAATCAAGGGAAGCATTTCCAAGATGGCCGAATAGGAACAGCTCTAGTCTGCAGCTCCCAGCAAGATTGAGGCAGAAGATAGGTGACTTCTGCATTTCCAACTGAGTCTTAGCAACAGGCAGACCAGGAGATACCCTCCCGTGCCTCGATCGGCAGGTGCCACACCCACGGAGACTTGCTCACTGCTAGTGCAGCAGTCTGAGATCCACCTGATATGCTGCAGCTTGATAGAGGAGGGGTATCAGCCATTGCTGAGGCTTGAGTAGCTTACTGTGTAAACAAAGAGGCCTGGAAGCACGAAGTGGGTGGAGCCCACCGCAGCTCAGCAAGGCCTACTGCCTCTGTAGATTCCACTTCTGGGGGCAGGGCAGAGTAGAACAAAACACAGGAGACAGACAGCCTCTGCAGACTTAAACGTCCCTGTCTGACAGCTCTGAAGAGAGCAGTGGTTCTCTCAGCACGGTATTCGAGCTCTGAGAACGGATAGACTGCCTCCTCAAATGTGTTCCTGACCCCCCTGTAGCCTGACTGGGAACCACTTTCCAGTAGAGGCCGACAGACACTTCAAACATGCGGGTGCCCCTCTGGGATGAAGCTTCCAGAGGAAGGATGAGGCAGAAATATTTGCTGTTCTGCAGCCTCTGCAGGTAATACCCAGGCAAACAGGGTCTGAAGAGGACCTCCAGCAAACTCCAAAAGACCTGCAGCTGAGGAGTCTGACTGTTAGAAGAAAAACTAACAGACAGAAATAGCATCAACATCAACAAAAAGGACATCCACACCAAAACCCCATTTGTAGGTCACCAACATCAGAGACCAAAGATAGATAAAACCATAAAGATGGGAAGAAACCAGAGCAAAACAGCTGAAAATTCCAAAAAACAGAGCATCTCTTCTCCTCCGAAAGATCACAGCTCCTCACCAGCAAGGGAACAAAACTGGACAGAGAATGAGTTTGATGAGTTGACAGAAGTAGTCTTCAGAAGGTCGGTATTAGCAAACTTATCCGAGCTAAAGGAGCATGTTCTAACCCATCACAAGATAGCTAACAACCTTGGAAAAAGGTTACATGAATGGCTAACTAAAATAAACAGTGTCAAGAAGACCTTAAATGACCTGACAGCTCAAAACCATGGTACAAGAACTTCGTGATGCATGCACAAGCTTCAATAGCCGATTCGATCAACTGTAAGAAAGGATATCAGTGATCAAAGATCAAACTAATGAAATAAAGCAAGAAGACAAGATTAGAGAAAAAAAAGTGAAAAGAAATGAACAAAGCCTCCAAGAAATATGGGACTATGTGAAAAGACCAAATCTACATTTGACAGGTGTATCAGAAAGGGACAGGGAGAATGGAACCAAGTCAGAAAACACTCTTCAGGATATTATCCAAGAGAACTTCCCCAAACTAGCAAAGCAGGCCAACATTCAAATTCAGGAAATACAGAGAACACCACAAAGATACTCCTCAAAAAGAGCAACCCCAAGACACATAATTATCAGATTCACCAAGGTTGAAATGAAGGAAAAAATGTTAAGGGCAGCCAGAGAGAAAGGTCGGCTTCCCCACAAAGGGAAGTCCACCAGACTAACAGCAGATCTCTCAGCAGAAACCCTACAAAACAGAAGAGATTGGGGGTCAATATTCAACATACTTAGGGAAAAGAATTTTCAACCCAAAATTTCTTATCCAGCCAAACTAAGCTTCATAAGTGAAGGAGAAATAAAATACTTTACAGACAAGCAAATGCTGAGAGATTTTGTCACCACCAGGCCTGCCTTACAAGAGCTCCTGAAGGAAGCACTAAACATGGAAAGAAAGAACTGCTACCAGACACTGCAAAAACATGCCAAATGGTAAAGACCATCGATGCTATGAAGAAACTGCATCAATTAATGGGCAAAATAACCAGCTAACATCATAATTGCAGGATCAAATTCACACATATCAATATTAACCTTAAATGTAAATGGGCTAAATGCCCCAATTAAAAGACACAGACTGATGAACTGGATAAAGAGTGAAGACCCATTGGTGTGCTGTGTTCAGGAGACCCACCTCACATGCAAAGACACACATAGGCTCAAAATAAGAGGATGGAGGAAGATCTACTAAGCAAACAGAAAGCAAAAAAAAGCAGGGGTTGCAATCCTATTCTCTGATAAAATAGACTTTAAACCAACAAAGATCAAAAAAGACAAAGAAGGCCACTACATAATGATAAAGGGATCAATTCAACAAGAAGAGCTAACTATCCTAAATATATATGCACCCAATACAGGAGCACCCAGATTCATAAAGCAGTCCTTAGAGACCTATAAAGAGACTTAGACTCCACACAATAATAATGAGAGGCTTTAACACCCCATTGTCAATATTAGACAGATCAATGAGACAGAAGGTTTATTTTATTTTATTATTATTTAAGTTTTAGGGTACATGTGCACAATGTGCAGGTTTGTTACATATGTATACATGTGCCATGTTGGTGTGCCACACCCATTAACTCGTCATTTAGCATTAGGTATATCTCCTAATGCTATCCCTACCCCCTCCCCCTACCCCACAACA
The DNA here is from genome assembly GCF_000001405.40 of Homo sapiens. Taxonomy (NCBI): domain Eukaryota; kingdom Metazoa; phylum Chordata; class Mammalia; order Primates; family Hominidae; genus Homo; species Homo sapiens. Next base: position 99,691,287 of record NC_000007.14, on the reverse strand, counting down.
GTCCCCGGAGTGTGATGTTCCCCTTCCTGTGTCCATGTGTTCTCATTGTTCAATTCCAACCTTTGAGTGAGTACATGCGGTGTTTGGTTTTTTGTCCTTGCGATAGTTTGCTGAGAATGATGGTTTCCACCTTCATCCATGTCCCTACAAAGGACATGAACTCTTCATTTTTTATGGCTGCATAGTATTCCATGGTGTATATGTGCCACATTTTCTTAATCCAGTCTATCGTTGTTGGACATTTGGGTTGGTTCCAAGTCTTTGCTATTGTGAATAGTGCCACAATAAACATAAGTGTGCATGTGTCTTTATAGCAGCATGATTTATAATCCTTTGGGTATATACCCAGTAATGTGATGGCTGGGTCAAATGGTATTCCTAGTTCTAGATCCCTGAGGAATCGCCACACTGACTTCCACAATGGTTGAACTAGTTTACAGTCACACCAACAGTGTAAAAGTGTTCCTATTTCTCCACATCCTCTCCAGCACCTGTTGTTTTCTGACTTTTTAATGATCACCATTCTAACTGGTGTGAGATGGTATCTCATTGTGGTTTTGATTTGCATTTCTCTGATGGCCAGTGATGATGAGCATTTTTTCATGTGTCTGTTGGGTGCATAAATGTCTTCTTTTGAGAAGTGTCTGTTCATATCCTTCACCCACTTGTTGATGGGGTTGTTTTTTTCTTGTAAATTTGTTTGAGATCATTGTAGATTCTGGATATTAGCCCTTTGTCAGATGAGTAGGTTGCAAAAATTTTCTCCCATTCTGTAGGTTGCCTGTTCACTCTGATGGTAGTTTCTTTTGCTGTGCAGAAGCTCTTTAGTTTCATTAGATCCCATTTGTCAATTTTGGCTTTTGTTGCCATTGCTTTTGGTGTTTTAGACATGAAGTCCTTGCCCATGCCTCTGTACTGAATGGTATTGCCTAGGTTTTCTTCTAAGGTTTTTATGGTTTTAGGTCTAACATGTAAGTCTTTAATCCATCTTGAATTAATTTTTGTATAAGTTGTAAGGAAGGGATCCAGTTTCAGCTTTCTACATATGGCTAGCCAGTTTTCCCAGCACCATTTATTAAATAGGGAATCCTTTCCCCATTGCTTTTGTCAGGTTTGTCAAAGATCAGATGGTTGTAGATATGTGGCATTCTTTCTCAGGGCTCTGTTCTGCTCCATTGGCCAATATCTCTGTTTTGGTACCAGTACCATGCTGTTTTGGTTACTGTAGCCTTGTAGTATAGTTTGAAGTCAGGTAGCGTGATGCCTGCGGCTTTGTTCTTTTGGCTTAGGATTGACTTGGCAATGCGGGCTCTTTTCTGGTTCCATATGAACTTTAAAGTAGTTTTTTCCAATTCTGTGAAGAAAGTCATTGGTAGCTTTATGGGGATGGCATTGAATCTATAAATTACCTTGGGCAGTATGGCCATTTTCACAATATTGATTCTTCCTACCCATGAGCACGGAATGATCTTCCATTTGTTTGTATCCTCTTTTATTTCATTGAGCAGTGGTTTGTAATTCTCCTTGAAGAGGTCCTTCACATCCCTTGTAAGGTGGATTCCTAGGTATTTTATTCTCTTTGAAGCAATTGTGAATGGGAGTTCACTCATGATTTGGCTGTTTGTCTGTTATTGGTGTATAAGAATGCTTGTGATTTTTGTACATTGATTTTGTATCCTGAGACTTTGCTGAAGTTGCTTATCAGCTTAAGGAGATTTTGGGCTGAGACGATGGGTCCTGGACTTTTTTGGTTGGTAAGCTATTGATTATTGCCACAATTTCAGAGCCTGTTATTGGTCTATTCAGAGATTCAACTTCTTCCTGGTTTAGTCTTGGGAGGGTGTATGTGTCGAGGAATTTATCCATTTCTTCTAGATTTTCTAGTTTATTTGCATATAGGTGTTTGTAGTATTCTCTGATGGTAGTTTGTATTTCTGTGGGATGGGTGGTGATATCCCCTTTGTCATTTTTTATTGCATCTATTTGATTCTTCTCTCTTTTCTTCTTTATTAGTCTTGCTAGCGTTCTATCAATTTTGTTGATCTTTTCAAAAAACCAGCTCCTGGATTCATTAATTTTTTGAAGGGTTTTTGTGTCTCTATTTCCTTCAGTTCTGCTCTGATTTTAGTTATTTCTTGCCTTCTGCTAGCTTCTGAATGTGTTTGCTCTTGCTTTTCTAGTTCTTTTAATTGTGATGTTAGAGTGTCAATTTTGGATCTTTCCTGCTTTCTCTTGTGGGCATTTAGTGCTATAAATTTCCCTCTACATACTGCTTTGAATGTGTCCCAGAGATTCTGGTATGTTGTGTCTTTGTTCTTGTTGGTTTCAAAGAACATCTTTATTTCTGCCTTCATTTTGTTATGTAGCCAGTGGTCATTCCAGAGCAGGTTGTTCAGTTTCCATGTAGTTGAGCAGTTTTGAGTGAGCTTCTTAATCCTGAGTTCTAGTTTGATTGCACTGTGGTCTGAGAGACAGTTTGTTATAATTTCTGTTCTTTTACATTTGCTGAGGAGTGCTTTACTTCCAACTATGTGGTCAATTTTGGAATAGGTGTGGTGCTGAAAAAAATGTATATTCTGTTGATTTGGGGTGGAGAGTTCTGTAGATGGCTATTAGGTCTGCTTGGTGCAGAGCTGAGTTCAATTCCTGGGTATCCTTGTTAACTTTTGGTCTCGTTGATCTGTCTAATGTTGACAATGGGGTGTTAAAGTCTCCCATTATTATTGTGTGGGAGTCAAAGTCTCTTTGTAGGTCACTAAGGACTTGCTTTATGAATCTGGGTGCTCCTGTATTGGGTGCATACATATTTAGGATAGTTAGCTCTTCTTGTTGAATTGATCCCTTTACCTTTATGTAATGGCCTTCTTTGTCTCTTTTGATCTTTGTTGGTTTAAAGTCTGTTTTATCAGAGACTAGGATTCCAACCCCTGCCTTTTTTTGTTGTCCATTTGCTTGGTAGATCTTCCTCCATCCCTTTATTTTGAGCCTATGTGTGGCTCTGCATGTGAGATGGGTTTCCTGAATACAGCACACTGATGGGTCTTGACTTTTTATCTAATTTGCCCATCTGTGTCTTTTAATTGGAGCATTTAGCCCATTTACATTTAAGGTTAATATTGTTATGTGTGAATTTGATCCTGTCATTATGATGTTAGCTGGTTATTTTGCTCGTTAGTTGATGCATTTTTTTCCTAGCCTTGATGGTCTTTACCTTTTGGCATGTTTTTGCAGTGGCTGGTACCAGTTGTTCCTTTCCATGTTTAGTGCTTCCTTCAGGAGCTCTTTTAGGGCAGGCCTGGTGGTGACAAAATCTCTCAGCATTTGCTTGTCTGTAAAGGATTTTATTTCTCCTTCACTTATGAAGCTTAGTTTGTCTGGATATGAGATTCTGGGTTGAAAATTCTTTCCCTTAAGAATGTTGAATATTGGTCCCCACTCTCTTCTGCCTTGTAGAGTTTCTGCCAAGAGATCAGCTGTTAGTCTGATGGGCTTCCCTTTGTGGGTAACCCGACCTTTCTCTCTGGCTGCCCTTAACATTTTTTCCTTCATTTCAACTTTGGTGAATCTGACAATTATGAGTCCTGGAGTTGCTCTTCTCGAGGAGTATCTTTTTGACATTCTCTGTATTTCCTGAATCTGAATGTTGGCCTGCCTTGCTAGATTGGGGAAGTTCTCCTGGATAATATCCTGCAGAGTGTTTTCCAACTTGCTTCCATTCTCCCCATCGCTTTCAGGTCCACCAGTGAGACGTAGATTTGGTCTTTTCACATAGTCCCATATTTCTTGGAGGCTTTGTTCATTTCTTTTTATTCTTTTTCTCTAAACTTCCCTTCTCGCTTTATTTCATTCATTTGATCTTCCATCACTGATACCCTTTCTTCCAGTTGATCGCATCAGCTCCTGAGGCTTCTGCATTCTTCATGTAGTTCTCAATCCTTGGCCTTCAGCTCCATCAGCTCCTTTAAGGACTTCTCTGTATTGGTTATTCTAGTTATCCATTCATCTAATTTTATTTCAACTTTTTAACTTCTTTGCCATTGGTTTGAAGTTCCTCCTGTAGCTTGGAGTAGTTTGATCGTCTGAAGCCTTCTTCTCTCAACTTGCCAAAGTCATTCTCCATCCAGCTTTGTTCCATTGCTGGTGAGGAGCTGCATTCCTTTGGAGGAGGAGAGGCACTCTGCTTTTTAGAGTTTCCAGTTTTTCTGCTCTGTTTTTTCCCCATCTTTGTGGTTTTATCTACTTTTGGTCTTTGATGATGGTGATGTACAGATGGGTTTTTGGTGTGGATGTCCTTTCTGTTTGTTAGTTTTCCTTCTGACAGGACCCTCAGCTGCAGGTCTGTTGGAGTTTGCTAGAGGTCCACTCCAGACCCTGTTTGCCTGGGTATCAGCAGTGGTGCCTGCAGAACAGCAGTGGCTGTAGAACAGCAGATATTGGTGACCTGCAAATGCTGCTGCCTGATCGTTCCTCTGGAAGGTTTGTCTCAGAGGAGTACCTGGCCGTGTGAGGTGTCAGTCTGCCCCTACTGGGGGGGGGGTGCCTCCCAGTTAGGCTGCTCAGGGGACAGGGACCCACTTGAGGAGGCAGCCTGCCCGTTCTCAGATCTCCAGCTGCGTGCTGGGAGAATGACTACTCTCTTCAAAGCTGTCAGACAGGGACATTTAAGTCTGCAGAGGTTACTGCTGTCTTTTTGTTCATCTGTGCCCTGCCCCCAGAGGTGGAGCCTAAAGAGGCAGGCAGGCCTCCTTGAGCCGTGGTGGGCTCCACCCAGTTTGAGCTTCCCAGCTGCTTTGTTTACCTTATCAAGTCTGGGCAATGGCAGGCACCCCTCCCCCAGCCTCACTGCCGCCTTGCAGTTTGATCTCAGACTGCTGTGCTAGCAATTAGTGAGACTCCATGGGCATAGGACCCTCCGAGCCATGTGCAGGATATAATCTCCTGGTGTGCCGTTTTTTAAGCCCGTTGGAAAAGCACAGTATTAGGGTGGGAGTGACCTGATTTTCCAGGTGCTGTCTGTCACCCCTTTCTTTGACTAGGAAAGGGAACTCCTTGACCCCTTGCGCTTCTCAAGTGAGGCAATGCCTCGCCCTGCTTCGGCTTGTGCACAGCACGCTGCACCCACTGTCCTGCACCCACTGTCTGGCACTCCCTAGTGAGATGAACCCGGTACCTCAGATGAAAATGCAGAAATCACCCGTCTTCTGTGTCACTCACACTGGGAGCTGTAGACCGGAGCTGTTCCTATTCGGCCATCTTGGCTCCACCCCCCGAGTTTTGGCTTTTAATTGAAAGTGTATTGATGTGGGAAGGAGATAATGCCATGCATTTATGAGCACATATTAGAGGGTCTGAGACAATGCATGTGATAAAAGGTCACCTAAGGAAGAAAAAAAGAACAAGGGAAGACACTGGAAAGAACGTGATGCTGGGAGTCCCTGGGCCACCAAAGTCTGGAGAAAAGTGGTAACCACAAGGCTCCCAGCCTAGTTTCACTGAAGACCTCGACACTAGGTGACTTATGGGATCCTTGGTAGGACAAGCCTTGAAAAGTTTTACAATAGCAAATGTGGACGTTGTCAGAACCAAATGATGTCACGTGTGTATTTGTGTGTGTGTGTCAGTGTGTGTGTTTAAAAATCATGACAAATAAAGCAGGCTGTGAAGAGGGGATTCCCATGCTCGTGTGCCTGATAACACAACTATCACAAACGCTTTGCGAAACCACAAGTTTGCACAAAGGCAATCCCAACCTTACACAAAAATATTTCTGCAAGGGCACCTGCCCAGCGACTGCCTGTCCAACCTTGGTGTGGTGTCACCCTTGTTATTGATCTTTTAGCAAAGGAGAATTATTTCAAAACTGATATGAAATCCTCCTCATATTTTCCTTGGAACATCTTTGTCTTGCTTTACCTCCCTGAATTTCCACATAGTTTGTAATGGTCACAAACTATGTGCATAGTCAGCAATACATTTTTTGTTTACTTTGATGCTACAGTTTCTAATTTTGCTTTATTTAATGCTTCTCAATATGCTTGTTTAACTGTTGCAGATCCCGCTGAAATTACGCTTAGGAGGACTTCTTCAACCAGAAAAACCCATTGTTCTAAAGGTTGAGTCAAGGGATGGGACCGTAAGTGGAACCTGAATTTCCCTAAGGACTTCTGCTTTGCTCTTCAAAAAAGCTGTGACCTAGAACACCAGAGACCTCAAATTACTTTGTGAATAGTACCCTGAAATGAAGATGGGCTTCATCCACTGTACTGCATAAATAACCAGGGATTCTGTACATGCACTGAGCTCTCTCCCTGTCTGTGTAGAGTGTTATACTTGGGAATATAAAGGAAGTGACCAAATCAGTGCTTGGGAAGTAGATTTGGCTTCTTTGTTTCTCACAGGACAATCTCAGCCACCCCTAGTTAGCACCATTAACTCCTCCTGAGCTCTGATAAAAGAATCAAAATTTCTCAATAATTTCATCCAAAATTATTAATGAAAATAAGAATTATTTTGATGGCTCTAACAGTGACATTTATATCATCTGTTTTATCTGGAGCATTCTATAATAAGTTTATATTAAGCAAATCAATAAAAACCTCTTACAAAAGTATCATCGGATACTTTCCTGAACATTAAGGAGAAATCTATAGAACTGAATGAATGAGAACCAACAAGTAAATATATGTGATCATTGTAACCATTGTTGGTGTGGGGCATTTGTCAGAACTCCAATGTGATTATTAACATAGGTGAGAATTAATCCACTGTGACTTTGCCCATTGCTTAGAAAGAACATTCATAGTTTAATTATGCCTTTTTTGACCAAGCACAGTGGCTCATGCCTGTAATCCCAGCACTTTGGGAGGCCGAGGTGGGTGGATCACCTGAGGTCAGGAGTTCGAGACCAGCCTGACCAACATGGTGAAACCCCATCTCTACTAAAAATACAAAAATTAGCTAGGTGTGGTGGTATGCACCTATAATCTCAGCTACCCAGGAGGCTGAGGCAGGAGAATCACTTGAACCTGGAGGCAGAGGTTGCAGTGAGCCGAGACGCACCATTACACTCCAGCCTGGGTGACAGAGTGAGATTCCATCTCAAAAAAAAAAAAAAAAAATTATGCCTTTTTGAAGCACATACATTTTATAACATACAACTGAATCCCTTATTATATTATTAGTTTTGATTTAATGTTTTCAAACCATCTCCCCTGATATTTCTGGGAGATGGGAAACATGTTTTCTTACACCTCTTGCATTCCATTCTCAACTCCCAACTGTCTTACTGCAATGAACACTTAATAAGAAACAGTCAATTGGTCAATTGATTGGGCAACAGGCTAAACACACTCATTCCTTGTCTGTTCCCACTTCTTTCTTTACTTTCCCTTCCTGAGTAACTTATCCTAAAGTCATTAGGTGGGTGGCAGCCAGATGGTGGCCACACATTAAGGTAGAAAAGAGAGTGTCATGATGGTTCCAAGTCAGAGACCTAGTAGGGTGAGGATCAAGTAGGTGTTCACGTGGAGAAACAGCCCGGCCTGTGTGTGGGAGTCCAAGCAAGCAGAGAAAATGTCGACACAGAGGGGTGGCCTGAAAAAGCAGCCAGAGCCTAAACAGGGCATGGAGAACATATTTAGGGCATGAGGTGAGGAGGGCATCCATGAGTGGGAAGGGATGGGTGAGGTTTCACTACATAAAGGGGATTGATGAAATAAGTAAATAAAGTATACTGGAAGCCAGGTGTGTCACTTTTGCAGAAAAGAGTCATGGATTCAGAAAGGGAGAAAACTAGCAGGAATCCTATGAAATTAGATTAAAATGGATGTATCCATGTATATTCATACCCTTCTAGATAGATAAATGGTTAGATAGGTGATAAAAAGATAACAAGAGGACAAGATAATTAGATAGACATAAATGTATGTATGTGTTTGTGTGTGTGTACAAAAAAACATATACTCCCTACTTCTCTCCACTGATAGGGCTAGGTAACAATGGCATTTCAATAGCAATGAGCACACTTAGTGGCCAGATCTTGGCTTATTAATACCATTTTCCACTGAAAGGAACCAGAGCTTTTTAGAGAAATGGCTGATTCCAGGGCCAGGATTAAGAATGTTCAAGATAAGCCTAGGATACATTTTGTGCCAGGAAGCAAGAAGATGTTCAAATGATTTCCAAGTAATGTTTGGAAATGATATTTGAAAATGATTTCCAAATGATATTTCCAAATGATTTCCAAATGATATATGGAAACACTTAAAGACTCCACTAAAGAACTATTAGATCTGATAAACAAATTCAGTAATGTTGCTGGATACAAAATCAACATACAAAAACCAGTAGCATTTCTGCATGCCAACAGTGAACAATCTGGCAAAAATAAAAAATGTAATCCCATTTACAATAACCCCAAATAAAACTAAATACCTGGGAATTAACTTAAGAGAAAGATGTCTACAATTAATATTGTAAAACACTGATGAAGGAAATTGAAGAAGACACAAAAAAGAAGGATATTCCATGTTTATATATTGTAAGCATTAATATTGTTAAAAATGTCCATACTACCCAAAGCAATGCACAGATTCAATGCAGTCTCTCAAAATACCAATGGCATTCTTCAAAGAAATAGAAAAAAAAAAACCCTAAAATTTGTATGGAACCACAAAAGACCCAGAATAGCGAAAGCTACCTTCAGCAAAAAGAACAAAACTGGAGGAATCATATTACCTGACTTCAAATTATACTACAGAGGTATAATAACCAAAACAGTATGGTACTTGTATAAAAACAGACACAGACCAATGAAATAGAATAGAGAACCCAGAAACAATTCCACACACCTACGGTGAACTCATTTTCAACAATGTTGTCAAGAACATACACTGGGGGAAAAGACAGTCTCTTCTGGTGCTGGGAAAGCTGGATTTTAACATGCAGAATAATGAAACTAGAACCCTGTATCTCACCAGACACAAAAATCAAATCAAGGTGGACGAAAGACTGAAACCTGGCTGAGTGCCGTGGCTCATGCCTGTAATCCCAGCATTTTGAGAGGCCGAGGCGGGTGTATCACTTGAGGTCAGGAGTTCAAGACCAGCCTGGCCAACATGGTGAAACCACATGTCTACCAAAAAATACAAGAGTTAGCTGGACATGCTGGTGCGTGCCTGTAGTCCCAGCTACACAGAAGGCTGAGGTGGCAGAATCACTTGGACCCAGGAGGCGGAGGTGGCAGTGAGCTGAGATCATGACAATGCACCCCAGCCTGGGCAAGAGAGTGAGACTCTGTCAGAAAAACAAAAAACAAAAAAACAAAAAACAAAACTGAAATCTGAGACCTCAAACGATGAAACTGCTACAAGAAAACATTGTGGAAACTCTTCAGGATATTGGTCTGGGCAAAACTTTCTGAAGAACTACCCCACAAGCACAGGCAACCAAAGCAAAAATGGACAAATGGATCAGATCAAGTTAAAAAGCTTCTGTACCACAAAGAAAGCAATCAACAAAGTGAAGACACAAACCACAGAATGGGAGAAAATATTTTCAAAGTCACACTCTGACAACAGATTAATAGCCAGAATACATGAAGCGCTCAAACAACTCTGTAAGGAAAAATCTAATAATCCAATCAAAAAATGGGCAAAATTTGAATAGACATTTTTCAAAAGAAGACATACAAATGCCACATAGGCATATGATAAGGTGCTCAACATCACTGGTCATTAGAGAAATGCAAATCAAAACCACAATGAGATATCATCTTACCCCAGCTAAAATGGTTTTTATCCAAAAGACAGGCAACAACAAATGCCAGCGAGAATGTGGAGAAAAGGGAACCCTTGTACACTGTTGGTGTAAATTAGTGCAACCACTATAGAGAACAATTTGGAGGTTCCTCAAAACATTAAAATTAACATTAAATAGAGCTACCACAATATCCAGAAATCCCCATGCTGGGTATATACCTGGAAGAAAGGAAATCATATATTGAAGAGATAACATCACTCCAATATTCACAATAGCCACTATTCACAAATGCCAAGATTTGGAAGCAACCTAAGTGTCCATCAACAGATGAATGGATAAAGAAAGTACTCCAATTATACACAATGGAGCACAATTCAGCCATGAAAAAAGCATGAGATCCTGTTATCTGTAATAATATGGATGGAACTGGAGGTCATCATGTTAAGTGAAATAAGCCAGGCACAGAAACACAGATATTGCAAGTTCTCACATACTTGTGGGATCTACAAATCAAAACAACTGAGCTAATGTCTGGGCCTTAGTCAGTGTTGTACCCAAGTACTGGGAGCACAGCTTTTAAAATACATCATGAATGCTTTAATACAGGAATGAATAGATGAGAGGCACAAACTGGTTGGGTGTTCTTCTGATACACAGTATCTTCCTTGACAGATTCAGTACAACTCTCAACAGGTAAGTCTCTTCATGTTATGTTACCTTATGAGGAATTAAGTGGCAGAACATGATTTCTATTATTTTCCTTTGCAGAACAAGACCAACTTTATTAGTTGGGACACAGTGTGGCTGCATTTGAGTCCCAAGCAACCATTAGTCTATTGCTATCACCACAGAGTCAGAGGGGATGAGACGCCCAGCAATCTCACCCAAGACAACTCCACCAACATTCCTGGTTACCCACCATGTGTACAGTACCCTGCTAGGAACCAGGGTCATGAAAGTAAATAATACCAGACTGTGCCCTTGAGGAGCTCACCTCTGCTAAGGGAAACAGGCATAGAAACTTACAATGGTGGTAGAGAGAAAAGAGGACAATAGGACTGTGTGAGGGGGATAGGAGGCACCCAGAGGAGGAAATGGTTACATTTGTGTGAGGAGGTTGGTAAGGAAAAATTTTAGCAGAAGGGGTCTGTCTGGCTGGGCTTGGAAGGATACGTAGGAGTCATCTAGAGGGCACAGGTACACTCCAGGCAGAGGGAATTTCGTGGGTAAAGATGTGTAGGTGTGGCTTGTGAGGATGGATTTCAATTATTCTAGAATGAAGGCAGCCATGGAGGGGCAGGTGAGAGGAGGGTTAATAGATTTCATGCCAATGGCTCCACTTGAGTTTCTGATAAGAACCCAGAACCCTTGGACTCCCCGATAACACTGATTAAGCTTTTCATGATTCCTCATAGAACATGAACTCAAAAGAGGTCAGCAAAGGGGTGTGTGCGATTCTTTGCTATTGGCTGCAGCTATAGCCCTGCCTCCTTCTCCAGCACATAAATCTTTCAGCAGCTTGGCTGAAGACTGCTGTGCAGGGCAGGGAAGCTCCAGGCAAACAGCCCAGCAAACAGCAGCACTCAGCTAAAAGGAAGACTCACAGAACACAGTTGAAGAAGGAAAGTGGCGATGGACCTCATCCCAAATTTGGCGGTGGAAACCTGGCTTCTCCTGGCTGTCAGCCTGGTGCTCCTCTATCTGTGAGTAACTGTCCAAACTCCTCTCTTTGTTTCCTTGGACTTGGGGTGCTAATCGGGCCCCTTTTCCCTTATCTGTTTTGAAGATCAAAAGAGATGTTCAAGGAGAAGTAGCTGAAGTGTTGGACGCTACAAACGCATAGAAGTTATTATTATCTTATGCAGATCTATGAATGAATAAATAAGCATTTCTCCCATCCACCTTCTAATTTTGGTGACTAGGAGGGTTTAGGGACAGCATTTGGTAGTGGGAATGATTTGATTAGCTTAGATCTGACGAAGACTAATCAATGAAAACATGGCAGCGGCAGATTACAAACTGCTGATCATGATGGACAGTGTGATCCTCATCCCCTTCCCAGGCTCTGGGGATTCTGGGTACAGGAAGGAGTGGCTTGCATTTTTGTCTCATTAATTCGCTTTCTGGGTTCTGTGTCTGCTGGAAGGGATGTGTAGCTGTATTGCCCCTGTAGACCTGGTTCCTGCTCCCCCGCCTTCCAACCCAGGATATCATTTACATAACGCACCAGGGGACACCAAGACTTCATGGGAAGCTGTCCCCTGGCTCTTCCCTCTTTCCTGTGCCATGCCCCTGAAAATCCCCTCCCTCCTATGAGTCACTCCTCCACCCTGTCATACACAGGATGGTTTATCTTGCAATGATTAACCTCTAGAGCAAAGGAGACCTGGAGGAAGTTTCGAGGATTTATTCTTTGCTTTAATCTTTTTCCTCCCGTCTCTGGGAGGCTAGGATTAATATAGAGCTTTGTTTCTCACCTAATGGGAATCTACTAGCAGCCTGAAAAGGCAGGAGCCATGAAAGCCAATTTGGATTTTACATATTTTTCCCCTTTATGTTACAGTACAGGAGGGCAAACCCTCTCACTGGTGGGATTCCTGGCATCCTAGAGCAGGTGGAGAGAAGAGTTACTTTCCACTGTGGGTAGTGGAGGCTCCACCTGTCCCATTAACTTCTACCTCAATTTGACTTTTATTAAGAGCAGGGAACCACAATGACATGAAAATAGACACTATAAACCTCATTTTAATTCTTTCACAGAAAGCTTAGGAATTCAGTGAGTTGTGGCAACATGGTTTCCATTGTCTAACATTTTTAAATGAATTGATATGGTTTAAATTCATTCATTTTTAAACCAGAATTTTTTGGAGATAGACTATTTCCAGCATGTTCCTTCTGGATGGTAAAACAGGGCTGTTAGTTCAGTATTTGTGACAATAAGTGTGTGTAAAATAATGTCACCTTTCCTGAATGTCAGGAATATGAGTCTAATGCACAAATGTATACCTCTAAGACAAGACTGCACGTCTTTTCAAATATACCTGTCCGGCCATTTATTTTAATAACTCCTTTTCGAATATACCTGCTTAGCAGATTGTCTTAAACTCTCAGGACAGGGGAGTAAGCAAGACTGTGAGCCAGTGACGATAGCAAAGGCTTCCAGGTAGGATCCATATGAAGTGAGAAAATATTCCTCAGCTCTCAGGGTAGAACTCCAAAGAGATATTCATGGGTCCTGGCCCCACCGTGGAGGTCACTCAAAGGGCAAACAGGTTGGCATCTCATCTGCTTCAAGCCTGGACACAGGGGCACCATCTGTGTCACTCTGTGTGTGGTCTGCCATGTTGTGGGCCGGTCACTACAGACTCGGGCAGCCAGGCAGACAATGCCTTAGCCTTAGACAATGCTGGTGCAGCCCAGGAGTCAGAAAATGCAGTGTAGACCAGGCCCTCCTTAGGCCAACACAATTACATGCAATAGATGACTGGCTTTTCTGTTAGTCTCTTCACTGGACCCAAAGGCTGCATTACTCTACCAGAGGGGAGCTGGAAAGAAACTAAAGAGTTCGCCCAGCACAGCATCTGCCTTGACATGGTACCATGTGAATCTAGACACTCACCAAGATCTTTCCTTGGGGGCCAATGCTGCTGACACATTAACTCAATAGCTTGTCCTCACCTGAGAGGTCAGGTAATGTGTTTAAAGTTCAGGAGCAGAGATTAGTGTCATTGATTTGACATGGCTGTGACAACAAAGGAGGGAACTGAAGTGGGAATACCCAAGGCCACCCTGGCTTTGGCAGGTGGTGCACGCACTTCCACTAACTGTTCTGGGGCAGGGAACCAAATGTATGACTGGGCCTGCTCATGCTGCCCCTGCTGAGTCCTCCAAACCCTGCCCTTCATGTAATTTCTCAGTTTTATTTTATCACATTTTATAAGTCACTGGATGTTTACAAAATGTTTGGAACCTATACTGCCTTGAAGGCTAACCTCTAAAGAGGAGTAAACAAGGTCTTAATACAACTCTCCGGGACGTTTTATCATTACTTATCTTATATGCCATACTGCACCATTTGCTATCAACAGGAAAGTACCTGGACTTTGGAAGGTCCCTCTGTGTCTTTTAGCTGAAAGTACATATGAGGCATGTGGATTCTTTTATGCACATCATCTTTTTCAGCCACATTTTTGTAGTTTGCCTCTCTGGAGCCAACTGTGTGGGGCTAGCAGCTTCACAGCTGAATCAGTGTCTGGCAACCTCTTCCTTCAGCCTCTCTTCTTCCTCCAGTTTTCCATCCCTCAGTCACACCGGAGGGGGAAGGTCTGCAAGGATCCAGAACCATCAGTTGGAGGAGTTTGCACATGACTCATGAAAGATGAGTTCCAGGCAGGCCTGCCATAGTGAACACCAGGCTTAATGGGTTTTTCCTCAGAGATACTTCACGTACAGAGGCAGTGAACTGACTGCTTTCTGGTTGACCACCTTGAAAAAGATGAGTGTGCCTGGCACTGTGCTTCTCAGGTGAGTATGACCTGAGAAGTATTAGTTGCTGGTTCTTCTGCACACAATCATTCAAGGACATATGGATCAACCATCCTCCTCAACAGCTCAAATCAACCAGATCATCTGACCACAGAGACTGAGGTGTACCTGAAAGCTGCCCACATTTCTATAAGGCCAATAGAAGCCATGAACACAGTTGTCAATCTGTAGAAATAAGGACTCCATGACTCCTCCAAGGCCTCTCTGTGAATGAACGTTTAAGAAGGGCTAGATCCTAAAACAGGGTCAGAGCTTAGAGGGAAGAAAAAGCATAAACATTTCTGAGCAAATTGTAAGGGCAGTGTCACCATAGGCTCCCAGTGACCCTCTGTGATTGAGTGCATACAGTGATGCAAAATCTCATCATCAGTGCAAAAGACAAAAAAAATCTTACTCTTTCTACCTAGGATGAGAGTCCCCAAATCAGCGAAGAGTCCACTTACTAAACAGACATAAGGAAATGAAGTGTCCTGGAAGAATTCCTGCCTGAACCTCTCAGGAGCATTTGAGGACATTTATCAAGTATTCACTCCAGGATTGGGACTATGAAGACTTCAGCTGCTTTCAGCTAATCATTGAGACTTTTCAGGGGTCTCAGAATAGTCAGGAAAGGACCTGATGAGTGAATGCAATTACTGATGTTGGAGTTGCTGTTATTATTTATCGTGTACATATTACCTCCCTCTCTTGACCATTCCAGTTCCTGAGTAACTCACCAGCCCTCTGATCTATAAAGTCACAATCCCTGTGACCTGATTTCTGTTTCACTTTGTAGATATGGGACCCGTACACATGGACTTTTTAAGAGACTGGGAATTCCAGGGCCCACACCTCTGCCTTTGTTGGGAAATGTTTTGTCCTATCGTCAGGTGAGTTGCTTGAGCTTCCTCTTTTGCTTCTTATGGTTGCAAACATCAGCTTAGTTCCATCAGTAAAAATGCCCCTCCTTGGGAGGGAGTTCTGAGGTTTCACATTTTCAGAAATGGTGGGACTGGGTGCAGTGGATCATGCCTGTAATCTCAGCCTCTGTGAGGCCAAGACTGGCAAATTGCTTGAGCCCAGGAGTTTGAGAACAGCCTGGGCAACACAGTGAGACACCTGTCTCTAGAAAGAAAAAATTACCTGTGCATGATATGGTAGCCCATGCCTGTAGTCCCAGCTACTCTGAATGTTAAGGTGGGAGGATTGTATGAACCCAGGAAGTCAAGGCTGTATTGAGCTGTGATCGCACCACTGCACTCCAGCTTGGTCAACAGAACAAGACAGAAAGGAAGAAAGAAAGAGAGAGAGAGAAAGAAAGAGAGAGGAAGGAGAGGGGAGGGGAGGGGAGGGGAGGGGGGAGGAGAGGAGAGGAGAGAAAAGGAGAGGAGAGAGGAGAGGAGAGGAAAAGGTGTGTAGGCTCCACCCAAAGCATGGCCAGGTTTACCCCTGGAGGGAAAGTCACAAGCTCATGTCCAGAAGGCCAGTAGCAGCAAGCTGCTCTCCAGCCCAGATTTCCTATCCTGTGTACCTGGAGCTTGTTTCTCAGATTCTAACTCTCACAACTGAAGCCTCTGTTGTCTGATTACTATCTGAGAATTCTACACAATTTTACCCTCGATAAAAGCAGTAATTTCTTCTTCATCTTTCCCAGATCAACTCTTGTAGTAGATCAACATTTCTGGGACCTTCTTTTGCATGGTTAAAACATCACAGCTGAATCTTAGCAACAGGAAGGTTTGTTTTTATGTTTCAGAAGTGAAAGCTCAGAGCACGCATTGTAATTTGCTGGGTGTGATGTGTAGAGGTGGCATTTCTCCATCTTTTCTGTGTTAAGCTAGAAAACTGGAAAGGAAGTCTACTTTCTCATTCACTCACTCACTTTCTCACTCAACAACATGCCTTAGACTTATCTAAATCTGCAAGACTAAAAGAGGTTCCTGGTTTCTTTAACTTTCTAATTCTGCTAGAGTTCTAGAGAGAGCACATGAGATAAATGAAAAGGATACTGATGGAGGAGATTAAAAAATTGTGCATTCCCTGCAGACACTCACTTTTCCTCACCTCAGTTTCACCCCTGCCCTTGCAGGTGATCATTCACGGGGTTAGGAGACTTTAGAGAGAATAAAAGAAAAAGCAAAAATACATCAGAAAGACAAGGAATTACTTACTGGTCATAGACAAGGGTGAGTCCTTCAGTACTTAGAGAAAATTCAAGAGTGACTTTAAATTCCCCACTTCAAATATATTCTCTGTTTTCTTGTCTTTCCCTTAAGACATCTCTGAATAGCTTCCTTCAACTGCCAGTGAAAGATAGCAGGCCTGATTTCATTGGACGCAACTGTTTTCAGCCCCAATTAGAGGTAGGGTTTATTCTATTTAAAATAATAATCAACTTGTATTTTGTTTCCTCTCCCAGGGTCTCTGGAAATTTGACACAGAGTGCTATAAAAAGTATGGAAAAATGTGGGGGTGAGTATTCTGAAAACCTCCATTGGATAGACCTGCTACTGTGAGGAGGTTACCCCACTGCAGGATAGTCTCTGCCCAGGTCTTCATGGGATGAAGCTCTTGTCAACCTAAATACAAACAGAGAGAGGTTCTCTGAAAGAAGAGGATAATTACTTGGGAGTAGAATATTGCAATGGGAATCTGCTTGCCGTTATAAACTATGTGCAAATTCAGGGAGGTAAACAAGACAAAGATGCTCCATAGAAAATATGAGAAGAATCTCATAACTGTTTTGAGATAATTATTGTTAGCTACAAAGATCAATAACAAGGGTGATGCCACACCAAGGTTGGACAGGCAGTTGCTGGACAGGTGTCCTTGCAGAAATATTTTTGTGTAAAGTTGAAATAGCCTTTGTGCAAAGTTGTGGTTTTTGTAGACACTTTTGTAATAGTTTTGTTTCCAGGAACACAAGCATAAGAATCCTCTCTTCATAGCCTTCTTGGGATTTATTTGTCAGGGTTAAAAAACAATTAGTGACATCACTTTGGTTCTGATAAAGTTCACACTCGCTATTGTAAAACTTTTCGAGGCTTGTCCTACCAAGGATCCCATGTGTCACCAGGTATCGAGGTCTTCAGTCTGAACTAGGCTAGGAGCATTGTGGTTACCACTTTTCTGCAGGTTTTGGTGGCCCAGGGACTCCCAGCATCGCCTTCTGTCCAGTGTCTGCCTATTCCCCTCTTCTTTTTTTCTTCCTTAGGTGCCCTTTTATCACATGCATTGTCTCAGACCCTTCTAATATGTGCTCATAAATGCATGGCATCATCTCCTTCCCACATTGATTCACTTTCAATTAAAAGCCAAAACTCCTTCATTTAGACTGAATTTAACATGTGCTTTTGAAAGAAGGGTTGAGAGATAATAGAGAAACAGATTGGGAAACCACTTATGCTCCACTTTTTTAAACTTTCTCTGCAAGTATGGAATTTTTTGTTCTGCTTTGTTGTTTAAATTTAAGCCAAAACTTCTTAATAGAAGGATATACAAATATTTATTGGTTTATACCATTGCACTTACTTTGAAGAAGAGATGCTGAATATTATTAAACCATTGTGTTCCCTGGTGGGCTGATGGACTGTGATTTTATAAGGTGGTCTCAGCCAATTGCAGCAGCTGTTCCCTGTCAGAGGGGCTAGAGGTTTGGTGAGAGCAGTGGATGAGGTGCAGTGGTGTGTTTGTTCACTAGAAGCAAGTGGGAGAAAGCTTTGCCTCTTTGTACTTCTTCATCTTCTCCCCTCAAGTCCTCAGAATCCACAGCGCTGACTGTGGAGTGCTGTGGAGCTGGCATGGCCCATACAGGCAACATGACTTAGTAGACAGATGACACAGCTCTAGATGTCCATGGGCCCCACACCAACTGCCCTTGCAGCATTTAGTCCTTGTGAGCACTTGATGATTTACCTGCCTTCAATTTTTCACTGACCTAATATTCTTTTTGATAATGAAGTATTTTAAACATATAAAACATTATGGAGAGTGGCATAGGAGATACCCACGTATGTACCACCCAGCTTAACGAATGCTCTACTGTCATTTCTAACCATAATCTCTTTAAAGAGCTCTTTTGTCTTTCAATATCTCTTCCCTGTTTGGACCACATTACCCTTCATCATATGAAGCCTTGGGTGGCTCCTGTGTGAGACTCTTGCTGTGTGTCACACCCTAATGAACTAGAACCTAAGGTTGCTGTGTGTCGTACAACTAGGGGTATGGATTACATAACATAATGATCAAAGTCTGGCTTCCTGGGTGTGGCTCCAGCTGCAGAATCGGGCTAGTGAAGTTTAATCAGCTCCGTTGTCCCCACACAGAACGTATGAAGGTCAACTCCCTGTGCTGGCCATCACAGATCCCGACGTGATCAGAACAGTGCTAGTGAAAGAATGTTATTCTGTCTTCACAAATCGAAGGGTAAGCATCCATTTTTTGAAATTTAAATAATGATTGATCCACTGATTAAATTTTTATTTTGAAAAAAACATATATTCACAGAAGGTTACCTAAAAAATGTACAGGAAGGTTCCATGTACTCTTCATCCTGTCCCGCCCAGTGGTAACATCTTGCAATCTTGTATATTGCAATATATATCTAGTATATTCATATTATCAGGTTGGCACAAAAGTTAAAATGGCAAACTACAGGCTGGGCATAATGGCTCATGCCTGTAATCCCAGCACTTTGGGAGGCCGAGGCAGGTGGATCACGAGGTCAGGAGTTCGAGATCAGCCTGACCAACATGGTGAAACCCCATCTCTACTAAAAATACAAAAATTAGCTGCGTGTGGTGGCATGCGCCTGTAGTCCCAGCTACTCAGTAGTCTGAGACAGGAGAATCGCTTGAACCTGGGAGGCGGAGGTTGCAGTGAGCCGAGATCACGCCATTATACTCCAGTCTGGGCAACCCAATGAGACTCCATCTCAAACAACAACAACAACAACAACAACAAAAACCGGCAAACTGCAATAACTTTTGCACCAACCTAATACTATAGTACAGGAAATTGACTTTGATATAGTTTACAGAGCTTTTCAGATTTCACCAGTTTTACATGCCCTTGTTTGTGTGTGTTTATGTGTGTGGGTAGTTCTAAGCAATTTTTCACATTCGTAGATTTGTGCAACGACCAGCACCATCAAGATGCAGACCCATTCCGTCACCATGTGGCTCCCTCCTGCTGTCCTACAGTCACAACATGGAGTTTGTCTTTTTCTCTGACAGGTTCTATATCAGAGCAAACTTTTATTTATTTGAGGAGGCCAATGTATTAATATTTCCTTTTATGGATTGTTCTTTTGGTGTTAAGTCTGAAAATCCTTTGCTTAGCCCTCCTTCCTACATTGCTTTTTCTAAGAGTTATATAGTTTAACACTTTACAAAATGTAACTCTATTACCCATTTTGTGTTAATATTTGCATAAGTTATGAGATTTAGATCAAGGTTCATTTTCTGTGGACTATGGCTGTCCAAATGTTCCAACACCATTTTGGAAAGGTAGGCATATTGTCAAAACTCAGCTGAGTATATTTTGTGAATCTATTTCTTATTGTTTACTCCTCCACTAATACCACACTGTGGTGACTCTAGTAGCTGTACAGTAACTCTTAACATCATATAGGGCAATTCTTTCCACTTTATTGATTTATATTTTCAGAATGGCTTTAGCTTTTCTTGTCCCTTGCCTTTCCATAAAAATTCAGAATAAGCTTGTAAGTGTCTACAAACAAACCTGCCATAATTTTGATAAGAATTAAAGCAGAGGTGTCCAATCTTTTGGCTTCCCTGGGCCACAGTGGAAGAAGAAGTGTCGTGGGCCACACATAAAATACACACACACACACACACACACACACACACACACACACACACACACAAATGGTCTGTGTATAGTTTTCATTATATATCTACCACCACAGATAAGCAAAAATGTCCTTGCATAATAATCCTAATTATGCACTGCCCCATTCAGAGGGTCTTTCAAAATCATTGAACAGGTTCCAAGTTTGCAATCACTGATACAGAAAATGTACATATCTAGCTAAACTTCACTACTTTTTTGATATTTTTTATTATAAAAGAAAAGAGAACAACATAAAACTAGTGGGGTACTTGACATTGTTTTTGAGAAACTAATCCATCAGTATCTGGCTTGATGGAAGTAGTTGCAATTCTCAGTGAGTTCTCAAGGTGCTCATCAGATATTTTGGTTCTAATTTTACTCTTCGTGTTCTTCATCCTTGAAAATAGTAGCTCACAAATGTAAGTGCTGCCAAAAAGCAATGACATGAACAAGGTGTGATTGTGAAGCAAGGGATATTTGTCATTGGGAAGACAGGTCTTACAAAAGTCCAGTAAAGAGGCAAAATCAAATTTTTCTATAAGTTGAACATCAGATTGCAGCTCTAGGCATTCCATTTCAAAATTGCCAGGTAACATATATATGTCGACTGAAAATGGAGTTGCAAATATACCAAAATATTGATGATTTTTTCAGAAATCTTGAAATACCTGTTTTCAAATTCCTGTATCAAATTGAAAAGCAAGGCTGCGTATTTTTGGCTGTTCACAGGACCATGTTTAGCCAACATGTCGAAATGCATAAAATTGTTTGCCTTAATTTGAGCTTGCCATAATTTCAGTTTCATATGGAATGCTGTTATGGTTTGAAACATTGTATTGTTAAGTTGGTTTTCAACTTGAAGACACAGGTTTAACTCACTTAAATGGGCCGTCAAACCCACTAAAAATGCTAAATCTGTAAGCCAGTTTTCATTGTCAAGTTCTGGCACCAATTTTGTTTGATACCATAAACAGCTTGATTTCACATCACAAAGCATAAAATCTTTACATTTTGCCTTGACTTAACCATCTTACTTCTAAAAAGTGAATGACTTGCTAGAGTCAGCATCCATACTTTTAAGGAATTCCTGAAACTAGCGATGATTCAATTCCTGGGCCCTTGTGAAATTTACAGCCTTGATGACAATTTGCATGACGTTATCTACTTTTAAAGCTTGTGCACATGGATTTTCTTGATGTATTATGCAATAATACTTCATCAAATGTGAGTTTTGTGTGGCAACTGCATCATCTATTAATTGTACAAGTCCCTCTCTTTTACCTACCATCGCCAGGGCAGCATCTGTAGCTATATCACATATGTTTACAAAGGACAAAGAAAATTGCTTTAACATATTTTTCACTGCTTCATATAAATCTCTTGATTTAGTTGTGTCTTTTAATAGCATGGTGACATTTCGATTTCTTCAGTGACATTATATTCATCATCAATACCTCTAATAAAAATAGCAAGTTGTGCCGTATCTGTAGTGTCAGTGCCTTCATCCATCACCAAAGCATAAAATTTTAAATTAGCAGTTTTACTCTCCAAACGTCTTTCAATAGATTTCCCAATTTCTCCAATTCTCCTGGCTATAGTCTGGTGAGACAAACTGATTTTAGAAATATCAGTTTCTCAAGGCAAATAATATCTACCACATCTTCCAGACATTGCTTAATAAACTCACCATCAGTAAATGGTTTTGATTTTTTTGCTATTAAATTTGCTACCACATAACTAGGTTTTACCTTACGATTGAGTCCGAGTTGTAACTTTTTAAAAAATCTTTTTTGTTGAAAAGACAGACTTTTTTTCAGTTCTGCTATTTTGTCCTTACAACACATACACACCAAATTTGTCAGCACGTTTTTGCATATAATGCCTCTTCAAATTGTAGTCTTTGAAAACTGGCACAAATTCCGTGGAAATTAAGCAGAGTGCTTCGCTATTTGCCTCAACAAGAAAAAGTCATTTGTCCACTTTTCATTGAACAATCTTCCTTCATCCATAATTTTTGTTTTTTAGGGTTTTCTTTTTAAGACATTGTGGAAGCCATTCTGGAATTAAAAGCATTATAATAGATAAGCAACTATATTTACTTTTATTATGGAAATTAACAGATAGGAAAATAGAACAGAAAGCAAGGTTTAATAATCAAATAAGAATACTTACATGTCTTCTAAATAATATTAAACACCTATCATCTACAAAGGTAGGTTGAAATATTATTGATAATTGCTGGGTTTTACTTGCCAAATTGCCACAAACACACCTAATACCTGACAGTGTCAATTCAACTGTCCGTGATTAGAAGATAACACACTGGAAGTCGCACACCACCATAAAACTGAAGCCACACATGCGTACAAATGGCGACAGTGTCTGGTGTACAGCAGCGCTCTGCCTTGTCCAGAATACACACTTGAATTCTTTGTCACAATTCACTTCACGTGGCACTGCAATAGCGTCCTCTCGCTCTTTGTTAGTTAATTTTAATGGCTTTTAATTTCTTCTTGCTGAACTGTTTGCAATTATAATGCAAATTATGGATACTAGTCCATTATTTGTGGATGTGACATACTCTGATTACCCCTTTCCATTCCATTGTTGTCTACGAAGTTCACACTTGAGAATCACATAGTCAAATTACAAAATTACAAAAAAAATTGCAAAAAAACTCAAAATGTTTTAAGAAAGTTTCCACATTTGTATTGGGATACATTCAAAGCCATCCTGGACTGCATGAGGCCTGCAGGCCACAAGTTGGACAAGCTTGAATTAAACCAATAGAACAATTTGGGTATAATCTATATCTTTACTATGTTCAGCCTTTCATCCCGTGAATATAGTATGCCTCTCCATTTCTTTAGCTTTTATTACTTTCCTCAACATTTTATAGTTTTCAGCATAGAGGTCCTGTACATCTTTTGTTAGATTTACACCAGAAATATTTCATTTTTGTTGGAGTAACTGTAAATGATACTGTTTTTCTTGTATTTTCAGATATTGATTATTGTTACATAGAAATGTGAATAATTTTGTTTGTTGATCTTGTATCCTATAGCCTTGCAGAACTTACCTATTCGTTCTAGAAATTTTTTTGTATATTCCTTGACATTTTATACATTGACAATTATGTCACCTGAAAATAGAGACAATTCTATTATTTCCTTTCCAATCTGTATGCCTTTTATTTCTTTTTCTTGTCTAGTGTATTAAGACATCAGGTATGCTCTTTAGTAAGAATGTTGAGAGTGGGCATTTTTTAGTTCTTCTTGATCTTGGAAAAACCATTCAGTCCTTCATCATTAAATGTGATTTAACTGAATGATTTTTTTACAGATTGTCTTTATCAAATGAAGGAACTGTCTCTCTCTTCCTAGTTTATTGAGATTTTATCATGACAGCTGGAAGTACACATTTTAAAACAAAACATAGTTGTGGAAGATAAGAGAAAGTTCCAAGCATGCTGGCTTGATAGTCCAGCCCCAAGTTGGGAAAAGTAATTATCCCTTTCTTTTTCCTTCTATTTATGGAATAAAAAATTAAGAGAAAAGAATTTTCAAGGAAATTGCATTATTCCTTCAAAACAGGTTTCTAGTCTTTAAGTATTACCTACTTTTCAAAAAAAAATCACCACATCATGGCATCCCTTTTTCAAGTTGCCCATGCTGTAGGTGTATTAAAGACAGAGCTGGTCTGAGGCAACATACAGTCTGCCCATCTGTCACCAATCCTTTTCTACTCTGCACACTCCTGGGGAAGGGCTAGGTCTTGTTCCTGTCTATTCCACTGGAAGAACAGTTCCCTACCACGTGGAGCATTTGCAATTAAAAGGAGACTGAGATATAGAGGCAGGAGACCACACCAGATGGCTGGGTCTCCCCACTCCCACCCCCGCCCCACATACACTCAGAAGAGGCTAGGCATCTAGGATCTCCATTGAGCATCTTGAATATGGCTTGCCATAATATCATATACAGTCAATAAATATTTGTTAAATAAGGATGCCTCTTCAATATATTTTGTGCAACCATGAAGATCACCACAACTAATGTGAGAAAAAATGTTTCTGTTGAACTCTAGTCTTTAGGCCCAGTGGGATTTATGAAAAGTGCCATCTCTTTAGCTGAGGATGAAGAATGGAAGAGAATACGGTCATTGCTGTCTCCAACCTTCACCAGCGGAAAACTCAAGGAGGTATGAAAATAAGATGAGTCTTAATTAGAAATGTAAAGAATGAATCTGGGGACAGGTAGAAAGTAAGATCACAGTCCGTTTCCAAGGGGTAGTCCACTGAGTTCGAGCTTCCTAAAAATGGTCTTTTATCTTTATGTACAGAAAAGACATCACAAAATTCATTACAAAATGTCACTTACTGCTCCATGCTGGAGAAAGCCATATCCTTCTGGGACTTGAGTCTGCACATTTAACTACAGGTACTGATCTGTTTTGTGCTTAGATGTTCCCCATCATTGCCCAGTATGGAGATGTATTGGTGAGAAACTTGAGGCGGGAAGCAGAGAAAGGCAAGCCTGTCACCTTGAAAGAGTAAGTAGGAGCACAGCCATGGGGTTCTGAGCTGTCATGAGCCCTTCCAGCTGCCTGCCATGGAGTCGACAGTCGCACTGTTGGGTTACTCCAGTGACCAGACAAAAGCAGGGCAGCGCTGCAACTCCAAAGAGCCACCTAAGAGGGAGTGGCTCCCATGAGGCGGCAAGTCAGCAAGGGAAAAGGGCCTTCTCTCCTGTGCACAGGAGCCAGGATTTACTTATCTGTTAACTTGTCACCATAAATATTCTGGGAGATTAAATACATACTTTAGAAATTAAAAAAACATGATTGTATCAAAGTTTTGAGTGTAGTGGATATGGAACTGTGGGTAAGCAAGCATTTGGTACTTGTTGCCTTGCATTGGGTAAGATGGGAAAGTTACAATGGGGAACTTGGAACAATTTCAATCCCTTCATGGTTTTTCTGAGAATATCAGCAAACTATGAACTATTAAACCTTCCCACTACTTCCTTTTCCTCCAATCTCAAAAAAGAAAGGGTGCTAGAAATGCTATGTGTAGAGCAAGCCTATTATTTGCTGTCTACAATGGTATGTGCTTCAATTATGCAGGAACGACAGGTGTAATCTGAGCCTGTCCTGTTCAGACTTGGGACATGTGGTCACTCAGTTTTGGGTTCTCCAAATCAATGTTGGAGAGATCTATTTTTTTTAACCAGAACATTCTTGATTGTCACATCTTACAAAAATGACTCTGCTCTCAGCGCAACTTCAGGTCAGAGGAGCTGGGGATAGTGGGGTTTTCCAGAGCATTAGCAGGGAGTGTAGAGAATAAAGGATGATATTTCTAGGAACTCAGAACAGGGTGTTACTGTTTTGTAAAGTGTTGAAGAGGAATTGGCTCTGGGCATAGAGTCTGTAGTCAGACAACGCCACCTTTCTTGAATCCACTAGGAAGAGTTAATTATTCTACTCTTGTTCTGCTGAAGCACAGAGCTTACATATCTTATATCATCCACACTCAACACATGCTACTGTAGTTGTCTGATAATGGGTCTCTGTCTTCCTATGACTGGGCTCCTTGACCTCAGAGGTGAGTCTAACTCAGCTTGGTGTCTCCATCACCCCCAGCATAGGGCCAGCTCCATCACTGGCACCAGATAACCACCTTCTGAGGGAGTAGATGGAAGATGATTCAGCAGATAGTTCTGAAAGTCTGTGGCTCTTTATGTGTCTTGACTGGATATGTGGGTTTCTTGCTGCATGTATAGTGGAAGGACGGTAAGAGGTGCTGATTTTAATTTTCCATATCTTTCTCCACTCAGCATCTTTGGGGCCTACAGCATGGATGTGATTACTGGCACATCATTTGGAGTGAACATCGACTCTCTCAACAATCCACAAGACCCCTTTGTGGAGAGCACTAAGAAGTTCCTAAAATTTGGTTTCTTAGATCCATTATTTCTCTCAATAAGTATGTGGGCTATTATTTCTTTCTCTCTTTTTAAAAATAACTGCTTTCTTGACATATAATTCACATATCGTATAATTCATCCACTTAAAAGGTACAATTCCATTGTTTTTAAGATAATCAAAAATATGTATGACCATTACTATTGTAAACTAAAATGTTTTTGTCAATCTAGAGCCCTCACACACTTTAGCTGTCAACACCCCACCACAAACCCCACTGCCCTAAGCATCCAATAATCAACTTTCTGCCTCTATAGATTTGCCTATTCTGGACACTTCATAGAAATAATATCATTGATTTTTCTCTGTTGTTTTTTATTCTCTATTTCATGAGTTTATTTTAGTCTGTTATTTTCTTTCTTTTGCTGGCTTTAGGTTTCATTTGCTCTTCTTCTTTTAGTGTTTTGTGGTGTAAATAATTATAATCAATTTGAGATATTTTCTTCTTTTAAATTTAGATATTACAGCTATAAATTTCCCTCTGAGCACTGGTTTGGCTACATCCTGTGTTTTGGTACATCATGCCTTCTTTTTGTTCATCTCAAAACAATTTCTTGTTGCCCTTTTGATTTCTGCTTTGACTCACTGGTCACTTAAAACTGTATTGTTTAACTTCCACAAATGTATGAGTTTCCCAAATTTCTTTCCCTTATTGATTTCTAGTTTTATTCCATGGAAGTTGATGTACATATGCTGTGTTAATTCTATCTTGACTATCATTTCCTGAACAGCATGATTAAGTTAAGCAGCAGATTATGGTCTACATTAATCCAAAAACTCTAGTCCAATAGATAAAGGCTAAGAGGTCAGGGAATTTAATTCTATTACTTTGGTCACTCCAAAGACTCAGAAGGTGCCATTGATCTCACTGCTGTAGTGGTGTTTCCTATGTATAGACCTGCCCTTGCTCAGTCGCCGGCCTGAAAGAAGGGCAAACATGATAAAAGGAATGGGTTCCAGTTGAGAATCATGATGTTCTTATTCTTATTACTGGTAGAGAAAATTATAATTGCTCCAGGTAAAGTTTGCATTTTCAATGATTTCCTTTTGTTTGTTTTGTTTTTCCCACAGTACTCTTTCCATTCCTTACCCCAGTTTTTGAAGCATTAAATGTCTCTCTGTTTCCAAAAGATACCATAAATTTTTTAAGTAAATCTGTAAACAGAATGAAGAAAAGTCGCCTCAACGACAAACAAAAGGTAAAATCTGATGGTGGTTAAATGACGATGTTTAGGTTTTGATAAATTTAGATTTTATACACATGATAGAGCATGTATCTGTATTTTTAAAAATAAAGACAGAGAACTTATGTTTAGAACAAGAGAAGCCATTTGGTAGAAATAAAGAAGGAGATTGGGGAAGGAGATGAGAATGAGTCAGAGAGATAGCATTTAAAACTTGAAATCAGGCACAACAATTAGTATGTCATGATATAAACAGTATTGAGATAAAATTTTACCACTTCTCTTCCCTTTAATAAATTGTCAAAGGATAAAGTTTCCTGTTTGAAAATATATTTTACTGGTATTGTGCTTTCCTCATATCACAGATTGGTAAAGAATCATTTTAAGTCCAAGACTCTTATTTTACATATTCTGCAATTAAAGGTCCTATGAGGCTACCTGCCGACTGCTGACATGTAGTGTGTGGTAAATGTGAGTGTTTCACAGCCTGGAGTGAACAGGGGTCTTCTCTGAGAATTGAGGTTGCAAGGCTGGCTAACTCAGCTTTGCCTTCACGAGCCCTAGAGGCCAGCCGAAGGATGTCTGCAGGTCAGGGAGACAGGACCAGGTAACCCAGCTGTCACTGAAGATTATATAGAGTTTGAGAATGTTGGAATATTTGAAAATGCTCCCCCAAAAAAGCTGCTGATGAGTTCTGGAAATGTCAGGAGATTAATCTATACGGACACTGCTGAAGAAAAAGGTAGAAGAATAAAAGATCCAGTACTTCTTCCTGGGTAAGCAGTTATGACCAGAGATGGAACCGGCAACTCTTTGGCCAGAAAGCTGTATCCAAAAGACAGAGAAGATGAGAAACAGGGAGGGCAAAGGCGAAAAAGCAATTGGACATGATAGCTAGATTTGTTTCAGGAAAACATCCTGCTTTCCAAGGATTTAGATGAATGTTTTTGTTCACTGGTGACTCAGGTAACACGTCTTCAAGAAGCCATAGGGAGGTTGAGGGAGGGAAGTCAAGAAGGGAGGTTGAGGACTGCACTTTTGATTTACTTCTGACTTCACGAGTCACTTTCTGCCAAAGAAATCTCTCCTTTTGCTTCTAGCACCGACTAGATTTCCTTCAGCTGATGATTGACTCCCAGAATTCGAAAGAAACTGAGTCCCACAAAGGTAACCAAGGAGTGCTTCTGAGGGCTACTGGCGGGGACACTAAGAGGGAGGGCCTTGTTCTGAAAATGTGCAGGAAGTATTCCAGGAAGATGAGAATTTTTGCCACATAGCAGAACAACACACATTTAGATGTTATAAATGGTAGCTGGAGGCACTTTCCAGAAGCCCACAGGTATAGCCATGTTCCAGGCTGAAAGGGCAACCCTAAGCAAACCTAGAATGCTTGGAGGACAGTCAGTGGTTTGTGGATCACCTACATGAGATCAAATGCCAGTTCTCAGCCTCCTCCAGATCCACCAAGTGAGAACCTCTACTTGGAAATTTATATCAAACATACCGATCAGGAAGCACACTATCCCAGTAAGGGTGATTTTAACTGGCAGTACTTGAAAGTGTGTTCGCAAGGTTAATCTACTGCAAAGTTTTATTTTTCCCTTTGAAATGCATAAGTAACTAATGGGGGACACCTCTGATACCATGTAAATCTACTTCAATCTTCAGTCTTGTATCTACTAGTTTTATGACCCATGGATGGTTTTAACCAAAACCATTATTACTAAGACAGTGGCAAAATGATAACCATGGTCAATTTCAAGCTACCAAGATTTGGCAACCATCTCACAAAATTTTTGAATATTTAACAATTGGTTCTAGAGAGCAGGACTCAGCAGACTCCAGTATACCACTTTAAACATGTCCATGTCTACATCTACTTCTGTCTGTCTATCTATCTGTCAATCATCTATCTGCCTATAATTTATCAATTAATCATCTATCTATCTCAACAAAACTTGCTGTGATAAAGAAAATAGTCTATCATTTCACTGTTTCATATAGAAATCACTAGACACATATGGCTATTGAGTACTGGACATGTGGCCAATGCCACTGAAGAACAATTTTTAAGAGTATTTATTTTTAATTGAATAAAATTTGAATTTAAATAGCCACATGTGGATAGTGGCTACCAGATTGGACAGCAGAGCTCCCAACTTTAAAATTACAGTTCAATTTCAACTCAGTATAATGGGGTTCAATGTAACTGAGTAAAATAATTGGATGGTTGAATTTACCCACAGCAGCATACAGAAATATTCACTGATAAATCAGAACTCTGTAGACCTTTCTCACACTCATTTTATATTGTGTTTGGTTGTGAGTTACATGATTGCTGCAGGCACCATATTTATTTCTGTGCTCCAGGTCTCTAAAGGTCCTAATCCAGTCCTGACCAAACAGACTAGTGATGGACCATCGTGAGCTTCTCTCAGGAGAAATATCAAGAGGGAGGCCAACCTGTAATCATAAGAACTTCTGCTATTTTAATGCCATTCATCAGACTACAGTCAATCACCATGCTTCTGGCTTTTTGTCTATCTCTGCTGTCTTGTACATCCTGAGATAGTCCATTCTGAGAACTGTACCCTAGATCTTGTATTGCCTGATGCCTGTCAAAGATGTAATCCATGCTGCTTAAGTGAGGTTGTGCACACAAATCACCATATCTCCTGCAAGTTTGGATTTTGATTCAGTAGTTCGATGGTGGGGTTTGAGATTCTGCATTTCTAATAAGCTCCCAGATGTGGCTGGTGCTGCTGGTCCATGAAACACACTTTGAGTAGCAAGAGGTGATCTGTAGCTCAGTATTGGTCCTTTAAGTTCCCTCAAACATATATAGAGAAAAGGTCCTAAATATTGCAAATTCTCTCAAAGTTTGTCAAGCTATATTGGAATTCTCTCAAAGTCTGTCAAGCTCTATTGTAGAAAATCAAATTTTTATTGGGAAAAAGCCTACCCCATATTTACTTACAGATAAAGTACTTTTAGGATCATTCAAGGCACACACCCATAACACTGAGTATGTAAGACAGAAATGCTCTCTCTGGAAATTACAGCAGTGCTGGTGCTGGGATGCCATGATGAGGAGTGTGTGGCCCACAATCATGTAGACCTTGGGAAAACCTGGATTAAAATGATTTTGCGTCATCCTGGCCCTGTATAAGATACATATCAGAATGAAAACCACTCCCAGTGTGACTTTGAATTGCTTTTCCATTTTTTCTTCTTGGGATTAGAGAGCTTCACTTAGATTTCATCTAAGCTGTGATGTTGTACGTTGACCTGATTTACCTAAAATGTCTTTCCTCTCCTTTCAGCTCTGTCTGATCTGGAGCTCGCAGCCCAGTCAATAATCTTCATTTTTGCTGGCTATGAAACCACCAGCAGTGTTCTTTCCTTCACTTTATATGAACTGGCCACTCACCCTGATGTCCAGCAGAAACTGCAAAAGGAGATTGATGCAGTTTTGCCCAATAAGGTGAGGGGATGACCCCTGGAGATGAAGGGAAGAGGTGAAGCCTTAGCAAAAATGCCTCCTCACCACTCCCCAGGAGAATTTTTATAAAAAGCATAATCACTGATTCCTTCACTGACATAATGTAGGAAGCCTCTGAGGAGAAAAACAAAGGGAGAAACATAGAGAACGGTTGCTACTGGCAGAAGCATAAGATCTTTGTACAATATTGCTGGCCCTGGTTCACCTGTTTACTGTTATCACAATAATGCTAAGTAAAAAAAAAAAAAAAAAAAAAAAAAAAAAAAGGAGTGTGGCGAGAAGATGGCCAAACAGGAACAGCTCCAGTCTACAGCTCCCAGCGTGAGCAACACAGAAGACGAATGATTTCTGCATTTCCAACTGAGGTACCGGGTGCATCTCAATGGGGATTGTTGGAGAGTGGGTGCAGGACAGTGGGTGCAGTGCACCCAGCCTGAGCCAAAGCAGGGCGAGGCATCACCTCACCTGGGAAGTGCAAGGGGTCAGGGAATTCCCTTTCCTAGGGGTGACGGACAGCACCTGGAAAATCAGGTCACTCCCACCCTAATACTGCGCTTTTCTGATGGTCTTAGCAAACGGCACACCAGGAGATTATATCCCGCGCATGGCTCGGAGGGTCCTACGCCCATGGAGCCTCGCTCATTGCTAGCACAGCAGTCTGAGATCGAACTGCAAGGCAGCAGCAAGGCTGGGGGAGGGGCGCCCGCCATTGCTAAGGCTTGAGTAGGTAAACAAAGCTGCCAGGAAGCTCAAACTGGGTGAAGCCCACCGCAGCTCAAGGAGGTCTGCCTGCCTCTGTAGACTCCACCTCTAGGGGCAGAGCATAGCCAACCAAAAGGCAGCAGAAACCTCTGCAGACTTAAATGTCCCTGTCTGACAGCTTTGAAGAGAGTAGTGGTTCTCCCAGCACACAGCTGGAGATCTGAGAACAGACAGACTGCCTCCTCAAGTGGGTCCCTGACCCCCGAGCAGCCTAACTGGGAGGCACCCCCCAGTAGGGGCAGACTGACACCTCACACGGCCGGGTACTCCTCTGAGACAAAACTTCCAGAGGAATGATCAGGCAGCAGCATTTGCGGGTCACCAATACCGCTGTTCTGCAGCCTCCACTCCTGATACCCAGGCAAACAGGGTCTGGAGTGGACCTCCGGCAAACTCCAACAGACCTGCAGCTGAGGATCCTGACTGTCAGAAGGAAAACTAACAAACAGAAAGGACATCCACACCAAAACCCATCTGTACATCACCATCATCAAAGATCAAAGGTAGATAAAAACACAAAGATGGGGGAAAAACAGCAGAAAAACTGAAAAATCTAAAAATCAGAGCACCTCTCCTCCTCCAAAGGAACGCAGCTCCGCACCAGCAACGGAAAGCTGGATGGAGAATGACTTTGACGAGTTGAGAGAAGAAGGCTTCAGACGATCAAACTACTCCGAGCTAAAGGAGGAAGTTCGAACCCATGGCAAAGAAGTTAAAAACCTTGAAAAAAGATTAGACAAATGGCTAACTAGAATAATCAATGCAGAGAAGTCCTTAAAGGACCTGATGGAGCTGAAGACCATGGCACGAGAACTACGTGATGAATGCACAAGCCTCAGTAGCCAATTCAATCAACTGGAAGAAAGGGTATCAGTGATGGAAGATCAAATGAATGAAATGAAGAAAGAAGAGAAGTTTAGAAGAAAAAGAATAAAAAGAAAGGAACAAAGCCTCCAAGAAATATGGGACTATGTGAAAAGACCAAATCTACGTCTGATTGGTGTACCTGAAAGTGACGGGGAGAATAGAACGAAGTTGGAAAACACTCTGCAGGATATTATCCAGGAGAACTTCCCCAATCTAGCAAGGCAGGCCAACATTCAAATTCAGGAAATACAGAGAACGCCACAAAGATACTCCTCGAGAAGAGCAACTCCAAGACACATAATTGTCAGATTCACCAAAGTTGAAATGAAGGAAAAAATGTTAAGGGCAGCCAGAGAGAAAGGTCGGGTTACCCACAAACACAAACCCATCAGACTAACAGTGGATCTCTCGGCAGAAACTCTACAAGCCAGTAGAGAGTGGGGGCCAATATTCAACATTCTTAAAGAAAAGAATTTTCAACCCAGAATTTCATTTCCAGCCAAACTAAGCTTCATAAGTGAAGGAGAAATAAAATACTTTACAGACAAGCAAATGCTGAGAGATTTTGTCACCACCAGGCCTGCCCTAAAAGAGCTCTTGAAGGAAGCACTAAACATGGAAAGGAACAACTGGTACCAGCCACTGCAAAAACATGCCAAATTGTAAAGACCATCGAGGCTAAGGAGAAACTGCATCAACTAACGAGCAAAATAATCAGCTAACATCATAATGACAGGATCAAATTCACATATAAAAATATTAACCTTAAATGTAAACGGGCTAAATGCTCCAATTAAAAGACACAGACTGGCAAACTGGATAGAGTCAAGACCCATCGGTGTGCTGTATTCAGGAAACCCATCTCACGTGCAAAGTAACACATAGGCTCAAAATAAAGGGATGGAGGAAGATCTACCAAGCAAATGGACAACAAAAAAAGGCAGGGGTTGCAATCCTACTCTCTGATAAAACAGGCTTTAAACCAACAAAGATCAAAAGAGACAAAGAAGGCCATTACATAATGGTAAAGGGATCAATTCAACAAGAAGAGCTAACTATCCTAAATATATATGCACCCAATACAGGAGCACCCAGATTCATGAAGCAAGTCTTTAGAGACTTACAAAGAGAGTTAGACTCCCACACAATAATAATGGAAGACTTTAACACCACACTGTCAACACTAGACAGATCAACAGGACAGAAAGTTAAGAAGGATATCCAGGAATTGAACTCAGCTCTGCACAAAGTGGACATAATAGACATCTACAGAACTCTCCACCCCAAATCAACAGAATATACATTCTTTTCAGCACCACACCACACCTATTCCAAAATTAACCACATAGTTGGAAGTAAAGCACTCCTCAGCAAATGTAAAAGAACAGACATTATAACAAACTGTCTCTCAGACCACAGTGCAATCAAACTAGAACTCAGGATTCAGAAACTCACTCAAAACCGCTCAACTACATGGAAACTGAACAACCTGCTCCTGAATGACTACTGGGTACATAACGAAATGAAGGCAGAAATAAAGATGTTCTTTGAAACCAACAAGAACAAAGACACAACATACCAGAATCTCTGGGCCACATTCAAAGCAATGTGTAGAGGGAAATTTATAGCACTAAATGCCTACAAGAGAAAGCAGGAAAGATCTAACATTGACACCCTAACATCACAATGAAAAGAACTAGAGAAGCAGGAGCAAACACATTCAAAAGATAGCAGAAGGCAAGAAATAACTAAGATCAGAGCAGAACTGAAGGAAACAGAGACACAAAAAAACCCTTCAAAAAAATCAATGAATCCAGGAGCTGGTTTTTTGAAAAGATCAACAAAATTGATAGAATGCTAGCAAGACTAATAAAGAAGAAAAGAGAGAAGAATCAAATAGATGCAATAAAAATGATAAAGGGGATATCACCACCCATCCCACAGAAATACAAACTACCATCAGAGAATACTATAAACACCTCTATGCAAATAAACTAGAAAATCTAGAAGAAATGGATAAATTCCTCGACACATACACTCTCCCAAGACTAAACCAGGAAGAAGTTGAAACTCTGAATAGACCAATAACAGGTTCTGAAATTGAGGCAATAATTAATAGCTTACCAACCAAAAAAAGTCCAGGACCAGATGGATTCACCGCCGAATTCTACCAGAGGTACAAGGAGGACCTGGTACCATTCTTTCTGAAACTATTCCAATCAATAGAAAAAGAGGGAATCCTCCCTAACTCATTTTATGAGGCCAGCATCATCCTGATACCAAAGCCTGGCAGAGACACAACCAAAAAAGAGAATTTTAGACCAATATCCCTGATGAACAGTGATACAAAAATCCTCAATAAAATACTGGCAAACCGAATCCAGCAGCACATCAAAAAGCTTATCCACCATGATCAAGTGGGCTTCATCCCTGGGATGCAAGGCTGGTTCAACATACGCAAATCAATAAACATAATCCAGCATATAAACAGAACCAACGACAAAACCCACATGATTATCTCAATAGATGCAGAAAAGGCCTTTAACAAAATTCAACAGCCCTTCATGCTAAAAACTCTGAATAAATTAGGTATTGATGGAACCTATCTCAAAATAATAAGAGCAAATTTATGACAAACCCACAGCCAATATCATACTGAATGGACAAAAACTGGAATCATTCCCTTTGAAAACTGGCACAAGACAGGGATGCCCTCTCTCACCACTCCTATTCAACATAGTGTTGGAAGTTCTGGCCAGGGCAATCAGGCAAGAGAAAGAAATAAAGGGTATTCAATTAGGAAAAGAGGAAGTCAAATTGTCCCTGTTTGCAGATGACATGATTGTATATCTAGAAAACCCCATCGTCTCAGCCCAAAATCTCCTTAAGCTGATAAACAACTTCAGCAAAGTATCAGGATACAAAATCAATGTGCAAAAATCACAAATATTCTTATACACCAATAACAGACAAACAGAGAGCCAAATCATGAGTGAACTCCCATTCACAATTGCTTCAAAGACAATAAAATACCTAGGAATTCAACTTACAAGGGATGTGAAGGACCTCTTCAAGGAGAATTACAAACCACTGCTCAATGAAATAAAAGAAGATACAAACAAATGGAACAACATTCCATGCTCATGGGTAGGAAGAATCAATATCATGAAAATGGCCATACTGCCCAAGGTAATTTATAGATTCAGTGCCATCGCCATCAAGCTACCAATGACTTTCTTCACAGAACTGGAAAAAACTACTTTAAAGTTCATATGGAACCAAAAAAGAGCCCGCATTGCCAAGTCAATCCTAAGCCAAAAGAACAAAGCCGGAGGCATCATGCTACCTGACTTCAAACTATACTACAAGGCTACAGTAACCAAAACAGCATGGTACTGGTACCAAAACAGAGATATTGATCAATGGAGCAGAACAGAGCCCTGAGAAAGAATGCCACATATCTACAACCATCTGATCTTTGACAAACCTGACAAAAACAAGCAGTGGGGAAAGGATTCCCTATTTAATAAATGGTGCTGGGAAAACTGGCTAGCCATATATAGAAAGCTGAAACTGGATCCCTTCCTTACACCTTATACAAAAATTAATTCAAGATGGATTAAAGACTTACATGTTAGACCTAAAACCATAAAAACCCTAGAAGAAAACCTAGGCAATATCATTCAATACAGAGGCATGGGCAAGGACTTCATGTCTAAAACACCAAAAGCAATGGCAACAAAAGCCAAAATTGACAAATGGGATCTAATGAAACTAAAGAGCTTCTGCACAGCAAAAGAAACTACCATCAGAGTGAACAGGCAACCGACAGAATGGGAGAAAATTTTTGCAACCTACTCATCTGACAAAGGGCTAATATCCAGAATCTACAATGATCTCAAACAAATTTACAAGAAAAAAACACAACCCCATCAACAAGTGGGGGAAGGATATGAACAGACACTTCTCAAAAGACATTTATGCAGCCAATAGACACATGAAAAAATGTTCATCATCACTGGCCATCAAAGAAATGCAAATCAAAACCACAATGAGATACCATCTCACGCCAGTTAGAATGGCGATCATTAAAAAGTCAGGAAACAACAGGTGCTGGAGAGGATGTGGAGAAAACAGGAACACTTTTACACTGTTGGTGGGACTGTAAACTAGTTCAACCATTGTGGAAGTCAGTGTGGTGATTCCTCAGGGATCTAGAACTAGAAATACCATTTGACCCAGCCATCCCATTACTGGGTATATACCCAAAGGATTATAAATCATCCTGCTATAAACACACATGCACACTTATGTTTATTGCAGCACTATTCACAATAGCAAAGACTTGGAACCAACCCAAATGTCCAATAATGATAGACTGGATTAAGAAAATGTGGCACATATACACCATGGAATGCTATGCAGCCATAAAAAATGATGAGTTCATGTCCTTTGTAGAGACATGGATGAAGCTGGAAACCATCATTCTCAGCAAACTATGGCAAGGACAAAAAACCAAACACTGTATGTTCTCACTCGTAGGTGGGAATTGAACAATGAGAACACATGGACACAGGAAGGGGAATATCACACACTGGGGCCTGTTTTGGGGTGGGAGGAGTGGGGAGGGATAGCATTAGGAGATATACCGAATGTTAAATGACGAGTTAATGGGTGCAGCACACCAACATGGCATAGGTATACATATGTAACAAACCTGCACGTTGTGTACATGTACCCTAAAACTTAAAGTATAAAAAAAAAAATTCAAAAACCTCAGTGGCATCTAATGAGAAGCATTTATTGCTCACAAGACTGGATAGTGAGTTCTGCTGATACTGACTGGACTCACTCTGGTCTGGCTATGGTCTGAGGTAGCCTGGCCCTGGGGGCGCGATGGAGGCTGACTCAGCTCTCCCCACACCTGTCTCATGTTCCAGTCAGGTAGCCACTGGCCAAGAAGCCAAGCTAGGAACCAGGGTATCTGACTCCTGAGCTAAACTCTAACCCTCTACAATACTGCCTCCCAAATATAACACCAAGTGCTAGGTACATATCATCCACAGTTTTCAGACTTCTGCCCAAACTGGGATTCTTTTTAGTGTGAAGAGACCTGGCCTGTGGGGCTGACCCTGGTGTGGCTGTGAGGCAGACACAAAGGGACATTTACATCCAGTCCTGAAGATTACAGTCCAGCCCTGAAGCAACAACTAGGAAACTATTCCAAAAGGAGGGGATGGGGCTGAGTGTGGGGTTCTATTCTCTTCATAACTTTAACTAGAACTCAAATTGTGTACCTTGGTAGCATCCAATCATAAATTTATTTTGTCGTATTTGTGATAGAAAGGAACAAGTTTATCCACAAATTTATTTATTTATTTATTTATTTATTTATTTATTTGAGACAGGGTCTGACTCTACGACCCAAGCTGGAGGGCAGTGGTGCAATCTCAGCTCACTGCAAACTCTGCCTCCCAGGCTCAAGCCATCCTCCCGCCTCTGTCTCCTGAGTAGCTGGAACTACAGGCACACGCCACCACACCCAGCTAGTTTTTGTATTTTTTGTAGAGATGGGTTTTCACCATGTTTCCCAAGCTGGTCTCAAACTCCTCAAAAGAGTTACCAAGCAGGACTCTGCAACCAATAATCCTTGTGTGAAGAGGATATTTGCTCTTTTCCCTGTTTTTCTTTCTTGGTACAGATGTGTGACCTCTTTTTGAAAGGTGATAGTGACTTTGGTGTATTTTATTTGGTGGTAATGGTCATAGCCCCATTAATCACATTTCTTCCCATGAGAAAGAAAAACCACTACATGGTCATGCTAAGGATTTCAGTCCCTGGGGTGAGGATGGTCTTGAATATCTCCTACATTCATAACTCCTCCACACATCTCAGTAGGTCACTGAGCACATCAATGGACATGCCAGTTATTAAAATACTTCACGAATACTATGATCATTTACCAGTATGAGTTATTCTCTGGAGCTTCTAATACTTCAATAGTACTGCATGGACTCAGTTGAGAGTTAATTCAAAATCTCAGATTATCCAATTCTGTTTCTTTCCTTCCAGGCACCACCTACCTATGATGCCGTGGTACAGATGGAGTACCTTGACATGGTGGTGAATGAAACACTCAGATTATTCCCAGTTGCTATTAGACTTGAGAGGACTTGCAAGAAAGATGTTGAAATCAATGGGGTATTCATTCCCAAAGGGTCAATGGTGGTGATTCCAACTTATGCTCTTCACCATGACCCAAAGTACTGGACAGAGCCTGAGGAGTTCCGCCCTGAAAGGTACAAGTCTCCAGGGAAATGGAGCTCACCCTGACCCAGGCTGGTTCAAGCATATTCTGCCTCTCTTAATCTACATGACAATCGTGTGGTTGTACAATCATTTGCTTGTAAGTCTTTTTATCACAAAAAAGTGATAATTATCAAACTTTACAAACCACAGACTAGAAAAAACGAAACTACATCCATCCACAGTCCCAGCACAAGACAAAGATAATCAATTATGTCCCTGTGGGCATTTTTCTACGCCTATATAGATTTTTAAAAATTAGAATGGTATCACTTTTTATTTGGTTTGAATTGCTGCTTACTTGATTTAACAGGAAACTATCCACTGACCTATATTACTATAAATATACATATATATGTATATATATAAATATATATATATGTATATATTGCATATGCCATAAACCATTTAACCATGATGTTATTTCAGGTGTATAGGCTTTTTATTCCTTTCTGTTTTTTCTATGCTGTGCCCTTTAGCTCTCTGAATTTAACAGAAACTTTAAAACATGCTTCCACATTCCATTTGCTTTCAACGTTACTTGCTATTTCCTCTGTAGTAATTATAAGAGTGCAGGCTGAGGTCCTGAGAAGTCCTCATCCCTAATGGTTTAAGCCACTTCACTGAAGACACAAGACAGCACAGGTCCTCCTGGTCCTATCTGTGGCTGCAGTCCTGTGCCAGCTCCCTTATACTCTCAGTAGACATCTCACACACTCCTCCTTGGAGGTGTCTTGAGCATGCTCTTCTGGGAATTCAGGGACAAGGTCAGGCCTTAGGCACAGTTCGCACTCTGGATATAGTTGGTGTTTTCCCATTACTGTATTATTAAGCAAAATTTAGAATGAAATTTTTAGGGTACTGGCTGGTGATTCAGGATGCTTGGGATCTAGACTTTCATTAGCCCCTACCTGCAAGTTTGCTGATGGGAGGAACCTTGTCTTGTTGGTCATGGTGTCCCTAGTGCTAGCATGGAGTCTGCACATAATACTTGTTCACAGAGTAAGTCAGAGCTGACCAAGTTCTCTGTTTTCTGGAGTAGAGGACTTCTATGTTTCCTGCAAGCTCAGCACTTCCACCTCCTGTGGCTGCACTAATACGAAATCAGAGACCACTCGCTGTACTTCACTTTGAATCACTCAGTCACCAAAAAGATAGTGCTTGCCATGTGTCAGGAACTTGGCTAGGCAGGGAGAAATTCATATGATTTATATAAATCCATAAATCCATATGATTTACATAAATCCATAAATTCATGTGATATATACGTATATGTGTGTGTATATATATATTAGAGAATGTTTGACATATACACAAGTACATGTTACCGACACCAGCCTATAGAATAGTTTTCGTGCATCTCCATATATCTATCACTGGTTCCAACAGCCATCAATCCATGTTAGCTGCCCCATCCAAATGCCACCATCACCCTCCTCCTGACTATCATGTTATTTTGAAGCAATAGCCTGTAAATATTTCAGAATGCTCTCCAAAATATAAAGACTCCTGTAAAAACATATGACAACAATGCCATTATTACTTTCTTTGAATCAACATTTTTTCCTTAATATAATCAAATATTTAGAAATCAAATTTGAATAAAACATGGGTCAATCTTCAAAGAATTTATAGCTTAATGGAACAGATCAAGGAAAGCAGGGATGACACTACAGTAGGGTAGCATCATATGCCCATGTAACTTATGTGACTTAAACTATCCTGTAAGGGTGTGGGGGAGAAAGAGAGGAAGAGATGGAGAGAAGAAAAAGGAAGAGAAGGAGGAGGAGAAGGAGGCAGAGGAGAAGGTGGACGGGGAAGGTAGAGAGGAGGAGGAGGGGAATTAGAAAAAAAGAGATGACAGGAGAAGGAAAGGGAAAAATAACAACTTGAAATAGCACAAGACGTTTTCTCCTTCTCCTTTCTCAATGAGCATGTGACCAACACAAGTGTGAGTTGAGGCAGGAATCCACTTTTCCATCCATCAGTCTTATCATTTATGTGCCTTTTATAGTGTGAACACATCACCACCCTGAATATAATTTTAGTGTTTAGAGATAAATATTATTTGCAACAATATTCATCTCATCTCAAGAAACGCTCCTATAGGGTATGGAGAATTTAAAGGACCTGTAGGTTATGATGATTATAACGAAATAACCAAAGCAGGATTTCAATGACCAGCCCACAAAAGTATCCTGTGTACTACTGGTTGGGAGGTGGAGGGGGGTTGTTCTTAAGTAAGAACCCCTAACATGTAACTCTGTGGTTTTTATGTTTCATTAACTATTTAATCTACCAATATGGAACTAGGTTCAGTAAGAAGAAGGACAGCATAGATCCTTACATATACACACCCTTTGGAACTGGACCCAGAAACTGCATTGGCATGAGGTTTGCTCTCATGAACATGAAACTTGCTCTAATCAGAGTCCTTCAGAACTTCTCCTTCAAACCTTGTAAAGAAACACAGGTCAGTACACTTTCTGTATGTTTTATTAAGAATTTTTTTAACTGAAGGGTATATATTTTTTAAAAGAATATGCATGTTTATCTTTTAATAATTCATTCTATGGGCCAAAGAACCTACTTGGATCCATCTTTGATCATTAAGGATGCTTCAGTTCTGGACTTCAAAACCTGTAGCATTAAGAACATCATGTAAAGTCCACACAGATTAGCATGACATGATTATGTGTAGTCTCTTTGAACCTGAGTAAGTTTAAATTCAGTTTCAAGTCAATTGGAAAGAAGTGTTTTGCACAATCATGAAGTGCAATGATTACCTGGCTGTGACTTAAATGGTGTTCTCCATCACCAGAACCTGCAGAAGCTCTCTCATGACAGTGGTTCTCAACCACTAGCTGTATATTGGAATCACCAGGGAGCTTCAAAAATTCATGATGCCTGTGACATCTCAGAAATTCTAAACTAATTAACCCAGAGCGTGACTAGGTTCTGTCATGCTGTCGGGTGAACCCCTGATTAGTTCTCACGTGAAGCCAAGGTGGAGAATGACTAATTTCAGGCATTTCTGGTGGATATGAAGGACTACCATAGAGCAGGGCTATCCTTACTCCTTGACCTTATGTTCCAGGTGATACATTTAAAGAAAGATTTAGAATCTTTTCTCTGAAGAAGTTAAAGAACAGATGTCATTGATTCATATTAAGCAATAGCCTATAAGTCTTATTTCCAGGACCGGTGTATTTAATATGCAACTCTACCCCTTAAGTACACTTTGTGCTTGGGAGAGGAGGAGGATGGAGATGGTTGCCATCTTATCTATGGCTTCAGGGCAGCTGTGTAGCTTTCCTATGTGTGTATTCAGGCAGGGGGCTCAGCCCTGAGAGAAAGTGGGCCTCTGGCACACCTGGGACAGGGAAGATATTCCCTGGCAAGCTCTCAGGCATCTCAGGCTGGCACTTCTTTGTATCCATGGCAATTTGCTTTCCCCTCACTGAACTGAGATCAGAATGTTACTCTGTTGGTGGCTCCCCCAACAGTGAAGGGGTGACTCAGTGACAATAGTGCTAGAAGTATGAGTCAAAACACTGTACAACTTGAGAAATTCCCCGTTTGCACTACGCTTGGAAGCCAAGAGGAGATGTTAAAAAGAAAAGAATAATTCTTTCTGAAGACATTTCCCATCATTGCACTTGATGGGTTCAACTGGGAAGGGTTACTAGACTCTGGAAGTTGAAAACTGCCCACATAATTAAACTGTACAACAGCTACTCAGGATTACCTTGCAAGTTTTAACCTATAAAAATTTAACTTTATATAGCACTTCCAAAATAGTTTGCCATAATACCTACTAATCTGGATTTAATTTTTAAAACTCATCCTTTTAACTTAAGATTTAAATAAAAAAAAAAAAACACGAGTCCACAAGAATTTGTCTCAGGCCTGGCACAGAGTCAGTGCTCCATAAATATTTTGTTAAACGATGGATGGTGAGTGCTTTTACTATCCAGTATTTACCCAGCTTATAGATTAAGTATGAAGAGTTCAAGATACATGGTGTTAAGAGTCGTTTTTATATGCTTGCAAAGCATTTTTGTCATATTTTTTCTACTTTGCTTCCATCTTTTCTTCTTTCACTTCATTTATTAATTCTCCATATGCTTGTTTAACTATTGTAGATCCCCTTGAAATTAGACACGCAAGGACTTCTTCAACCAGAAAAACCCATTGTTCTAAAGGTGGATTCAAGAGATGGAACCCTAAGTGGAGAATGAGTTATTCTAAGGATTTCTACTTTGGTCTTCAAGAAAGCTGTGCCCCAGAACACCAGAGATTTCAACTTAGTCAATAAAACCTTGAAATAAAGATGGGCTTAATCTAATGTACTGCATGAGTAGTTGGTGATTTTGTACATTCATTGAGCTCTCCCAGAGTCTGTGTAGAGTGTTGTGCATTATGTAGTATAAAGGAGGTGACCAGGTAAGTGACAGATAGGTAGAC
This sequence comes from Homo sapiens, assembly GCF_000001405.40. Taxonomy (NCBI): domain Eukaryota; kingdom Metazoa; phylum Chordata; class Mammalia; order Primates; family Hominidae; genus Homo; species Homo sapiens. The sequence continues at coordinate 99,648,078 of NC_000007.14, read as the reverse complement.
TCAGCTTCTCTGCTTCTCATAGGACTACCTCTACCCACCTCTAGTTAGCATTATCAACTCCTCCTGAGCTCTCATCAGAGAATAAATATTTCTCAACAATTTGATCCATAACTTTTAAGAAAAATAAGAATTATCATGATGACTCTAATAGTGACATTTATATCACGTTTTATTTGTAATATTCTATAAGTTTTATATTAAGCGAAGTGATAAAATCCCCTTTACAAAAATATTATCTGATGCCATCCTGCACACTAAAGAGAAATCTATAGAACTGAATGACTGAAAACCAGCAAATAAACATTTTTTATCATTGTAATCACTGTTGGTGTGGGGCCTTTGTCAGAATTCCAATTTGATTATTAACATAGGTGAGAGTTAATCTGCTGTGACTTTGCCCATTGTTTGGAGAAAATATTCATAGTTTCATTCTGCCTTCTTTGAAGAACATATTTTTTGTAACACTCAACGAAGCACTTATCATATTATTAGTTATGATTTATTATTTTTACCACATCTCCCCTGACATTTCTGGAACACAGGAAACATGTTTTCTTATACGTCTTGCATTCCATCTTCACCTCCCAATTGTCTTAATGCAATGAACACTGAATAAAAAATTGTCAATTCGTCAGTTGATTGGGCAGCATGTCTAAAAGCACTATTCATTTTCCTTTTTTATTCTTTCATTTTCCCTCCTTTTCTGAATACTAAAGCCATTAGGTGGGTTGCAGCCATGTGGTAGCCACACATTAAGGTGGACAAGAGAGTCATGGTGGCTCCAAGTCAGATTCCAAGTGTGCTGGGGAAGGCATCCACATGGAGGGGCAGCCTGACCTGGAAGCGGGAGCCCAAGCAATCAGAGAAGGGGTCCACACAGAGGTGTGGCCTTCAAGAGCAGCCAGAGCCTAAATAGGGCCTGGAGAACCCACGTGAGGTGAGGAGGGTATCCCTGAGTGGGAAGGGATGGGTGAGAGTTGGCTACATAGAAGGGATTGATCACATAAGTAAATAAAGTATACTGGAAGCTAGGTGTGTCACTTTTGCAGAAAAGAGTCATAGATTCAGAAAGGGAGAAAGCTAGCATTAATCCTATGGTGTTAGATTGGAATGGATGTATCAGTGTACATTCATACTTTTCTAGATAGATAGATGGATAGATAGACAGATGATAGATAGATAATAGATAGTTGATAGATAATTAGATGTAAATATATGTGTTTGTATGTGTGAGCATGCATGTGTGTGTGTGTGTGTGTGTGTGTGTGTGTGTGTGTGTGTATAAAACATATATTCCCTACTTCACTGATAGGGCTAGATAACAATGACATTTCAATAGCAATGAGTATACTTAGTGCCTAGATCTTGGCTTATGAATATCATTTTCCACTGAAGGGAACCAGAGCTCGTTAGAGAAATAGCTGATGCCAGGGCTAGGACTAAAAATGTTCAAGATGAGCCCAGGACACTTTTTGTGCCAGGAAGTAAGAAAACACTCAAATGGTTTCTAAATGGTATTTGGAAATGATTTCTAAATGATATTTCCATATGACTTCCAAATGATATTTTAAAAACCTAAAGACTCCACCAAAGAACTATTAGAACTGATAAACAAATTCAGTAAATTTGCAGGATACAAAATCAACGTACAAAATTGGTAGCACTTCTATATGCCAGCAAGGAACAATCTGAAATAAAATCAATAGCCACAAATAAAATTAAATACCTAGGAATTAACTTAATCAAAGAAGTGAAAGATCTCTACAATGAAAACTATAAAACACCGATGAAAGAAATTGAAGAGGACACAAAAACATAGAAAGATATTCCATGTTTATATATTTCAAGAATCAATATTGTTAAAAATGCCCACAATACCCAAAGCAATATATGGATTCAATGCAATCCCTATCAAAATACCAATGACATTCTTCACAGAAATATTTTTTTAATCCTAAAATTTGTATGGATTCACAAAAGACCAAGAAGAGCCAAAGCTAACATCAGCAAAAAGAACAAAACTGGAGGAAACACATTTACCTGACTTCAAAGTATACTACAGAGCTATAGTAACCAAAACAGCCTGGTACTGGTATAAAAACAGACACATAGACCAATGGAACAGAATAGAGACCCCAGTAACAAATCTACACATCTACAGTGAACTCATTTTTGACAAAGGTGCCAAGAACACAGACTGGGGAAAAGAAATGCAAACTATACATCCAACAAAGGTCTAATAGCCAACATCTATAAAGAACTTAAATGTACAAGAAAAAAAAATTAAAAAATGGGCAATGGACATGAACAGACATTTTTCAAAAGAAGACATACATGTGGACGACAATCATATAAAAAAAAAGCTTAACATCACTGATTACTAGAGAAGTGCAAATCAAAACCACAATAAGATACCATCTAACACCAGTCAGAATGGCTATTAATAAAGAGTCAAAAAATAACAGGTGTGGCAAGGTTGTGGAGAAAAATAAACACTTATACACTGTCGGTGGGAGTGTGAATTAGTTCAACCATTATGGAAAATAGTGTGGCAATTCCTCAAAGATCTAAAGACAGAAATACCATTTGGCCCAGCAATCCCATTACTGGGTATATATCCAGAGGAATATAAATCATAAAGACACATGCACACATATGTTCACTGCAGTACTACTCACAATAGCAAAGATATGAAATTAACCTAAACACCCATCAATTACGGACTGAATAAAGAAAATGTGGTACATATACACCATGGGATACTATGCAGCCATAAAAAGGAACGAGATCAGCTGAGCATAGTGGCTCACGCCTGTAATCCCAGCACTTTCAGAAGCCGAGGTGGGCAGATAACGAGGTCAGGAGATCGAGACTATCCTGGCCAACATGGTGAAACCCCATCTCTACTAAAAATACAAAAATTAGCTGCATGTGGTGGCACTCACCTGTAATCTCAGCTACTCGGGAGGCTGAGGCACGAGAATCGCTTGAACCCAGGAGGCGGAGGTTGCAGTGAGCCAAGATCGCGCCATTGCACTCCAGCCTGGCAACAGAGTGAGACCATCCCCACATTCTGAAGTGAACCTAGCTCTGGGGCCAGGCTTGATCGTCCTCCTCAAAGCCATCCTGCTCCTGCTGGGTGGGCTTCTGTGGCTCCAGGCACTTGCATCAGGAGTGTCTGCAGTGAAGGTCTCACGTCTGACCCTCCTGACCTCCTGAGCTGACCTCAACCTGTCCCACTATGTGTTCTCTTTTTTCAAAAAAAGAAAGGTCTGTTACATACATGGAAAGGAAAGAAAGGAGACCAGATCTGGCATTGCTTTTCTGTGAGTGAAGAACATGCAGGAAATCGGCTATCATAATCCCTAGGAATGTGCTTCTCCACTCATTGACTTGGGAAAGGAAACAAATGAAGAAAGGCCTCATAAAAATGAGTTCATGTGGGAGGAATTATATGCAGCTTCCTATCAATTACAGTAATAGGCTGCAAAGGGCGTGGCGGAGGAAAAAGAATTACTCAGAGGGTCACAACAACTGCCTTCTAGTCCAAGTCCCTCTCATTTACCAAAGACACCATGCTTTTAGTCCCCCTCATGCTGTTCAGGCAGCCCAACTTGCCCATTTCTATCTACAAAATTCCACTTGTCCTTCAAGGCTCAGATCAAATATCATGTTCTTCATGAAGCCTCCAGTGCCCTAGGCCAGGAGAGGGTCTTCTTTCCCCTCCAGAGTTCTCCAGAATGCAAATTCTGTGACAGTCCTTTTCATGCTCTGCTTGGCATCAGTCAAGTGCACCCCAAATGCTACCCCAAACAGGACTGTTTGTTCTTAAGTTGTATAAAAGATCCTGTTTATCCAAATAACCCCATCCACAGAAGAATCTATCACAGCACCTGGTGTAAAACAATGACTCAGTACAAGTGTGCTGCTATAGCTAATGATGGTGACGGTGACAATGATGACAAGGACGATGACAGCAAACACTGGAGAAAGAACACTGATGACCATCTCCAAGAGATTTTGCCTTAACCCATTCCCTTTGTCTCCTTGATCCTGATCCCATCCAAAGAAAAAGAATTAAGTGTGTGCTTGTCAGAGCCCCAGGATCTCACTGGCCCCTATTTTATGAAGGGTGGTGTGCCTCACAGGGTCAGCATCTGAGATGAAGCTTCCTTCCTTTTTGCCTGGCCCTGAACAGTCTTCTGCTTGTGCATCTCTTGGAATTCCCATTTGGTCTCCAATCTCCCTCCTGCACAGTGTGCCTGAACCCACAGGTCTTCAACTCAGATGTGGGGCTGAGAGGGGGGAGCAATGCAAGCCTACACGATCTCACAACTCCCTTCCCCAGTGACCTCTATGATGCAGGTTACTGGGTGCAGCTCAGATACTACTACAGTGGGACTGAGAGCCCCATCTGCTGTTGCTCCTTGGGCCATCGGGGTTGGGATGATTGGCAGGGCAAGAATCAGCCTTTCCTGGGTCTCTGGCCATAAAACCACAAAAAACTCAACAGAATCTCACCTCAAGACTGTGAAAATGACATGAAGAGTTGACATCACTATGAAGAAATGTTCAATATGCATTTGCTGTAATGGTGAAGAATATAATGATTTGGCCCCATGGAAAAAAAAATGAACATGAAAAAAAAAGGGGGGGCAGCAATGGGTAAACATGAAAGACCTTCACCTAACCTTGCTCTATGCTGGTTTGTAAGGAGACTTTCCGGCTCACAGGCTTCTAAAGTCCAATGGAGTACATAGGGTAAGATGATTCTTCTCTTATGGCAAACGCCTTTCTAGATGGGCACCGGTCTTGGCCTGCAGGCTGCTTGCTTAGGGGTATGGGGAGAGAAACATTCCCTTTCTCATCCTGCACATAATGCAACCATAAAAGGTTCAGAAGCTTAGTCACTCTTACAGACTTGGAAGTGTAAACTCGATCCTATAAACACCAGAATTTTTATTTCTACTTCAAAAATAAATTGCTTTTTTGAAAAAAAGAAAAAATAACTTCATTACCTACATTAAAAAATCATTATTAAGGACCACTAATGGGGAAGTAAAAGTATCCTCAAGAATAATGAGAATAATAATAATATCTCCTATGTGGTCCTTTCCAAGTTCCACAATACTTTCACGCCCATACTGTCTCTGTTCAACTTGGATGCCTTCTTCACATCACAGACCACAGGTACATCCATTTAACAAAACAATCTGAGCTTGAGTGACTAGTATGTACCAAGCACCATTCTAGGTAGTGGGGGAAATATCAGCAAAAAAAGCAAAGTTTCTACTTTCACACAGCTGAAGTTCCAGGGCATGTGGTAGAACAGGAAACAAAAACAAATTTATAATACGTCAGATAATGGTAAGGGCTACAAAGAAAAATAAATCTACGTAAGAAAATAGAGACTGATGGGGAGTGCTACTGTAGAAGGGTTGTGTTCCAATTATCTATTGCTATGTAATTAAACCACTCATACTTAGTGGCTAAAAACAATAGCATGCATTTATTTTCGTTCATATTTCTGGGGGTGACTAGGCTGAGCTTGGCAGTTTCCCTGTAGGGTCTCTCACATGGTTCCAGTCAAACAGGGACTGGAGCTGGAGTCATCTGGAGGGTTCCTTCTCACCTGACTGATGGTTGGTGCTAGGTGTCCACTATGACCACAGTGAGGACTATTGCTGGAATACCTCTGTGCAGCCTGTCAATGTGGTGGAGGTTCCTCCCAGCATTGCAGCTCTGTTCCAAGGGCAAGCATCCCACCTATCACCTCTTATGACTAAGCATCACTGCCTTCACATTTAATTTGTTAGAAGTGAGTCACTTTGGTCAGTTTCAAGAGGAGAGGAACTGGACTCTAACTCTTGGTGAAAAGAGTGTCAAAGAATTTGCAGATATGTTTTAAAAACATGACAGATAGTTAGAGAAGGTCTCTCAAAACAGGAACTCACATGAAGAGAAGGAGAAAGTTGTGTAAAGGGCTTGAGAAAGTAGCTTCTAGGCAAGGAGAACAACAGGAGCTGAAAACAAAACTGGGAGCGTGCCTGGCATGATCAGGAAGAACTGTCAGGTATGAAAGGACTTTGTTATTCTGAGAGGAGAAACCTTTGGAAAGTTCCAAACAACATGTAAAATCATCTTAGCTATATTTTTAAAAGATTATCTGGTTCTTGGATAGAGAAGAGAGTATGCAGAGGAAAGAGTAGAAGCAGGGAGACAGCTGACAAAGTCTAGGGAGAAGATGGTGGATTGGACCTGAAGCCTTGGAGGGAGTGGGAGTTGTCCGTCTCTGTCAATATTTTGAAAGTAGGGCCAACAGGATTTGCTGATGGCTTAGATGTAGGGTATAAGAGAGTGACATCTAGGCTTTTTGGACTGAGCAACTGGGGCATTAGAGGGTCCATTCATTAAGATGAGGAAGAATTAGGTTTGGATGGTGGGAGGAGAATGAAGAGTTTGGTTTTGTGGTGGTAAGTTTGAGATGCCTACTTGATCTTTAAGTAGGTAGTTGTGAATATGAGTTAGAACTCAAGGGAGAAATCTACAACCCCCTGGAATCAAATAGCTCCTGGAGGTAGGAGTCAAGGATGGGAGGTGATATGGTTTGGCTGTGTCCCCACCCAAATCTCATCTTGAATTATAGTTTCCATAATCCCCACATGTTGTAGGAGGGACCCGAAGGAAGGTAATTGAATCATGGGGGTGGTTACCCGCATGCTGTTCTCATGATAGTGAGTTCTCACAAGATCTGATTGTTTTGTAAGGGGCTTATCCCCCTTTGTTCAGCACTTCTTCCTGCTGCCATATGAAGAAGGACATGTTTGCATCCCCTTCAACCATGATTGTAAGTTTCCTGAGGCCTCCCTATCCCTGAGGAACTGAGTCAATTAAACCTCTCTCCTTTATAAATTACCCAGTCTTAGGCAGCTCTTTATAGCAGCACGAGAACAGACTAATACAGGAGGTAAACGAAGATTCTACCACCTCTCTCCTCCCAATCTCTATCTAAAAGCTCTCCTACCACCTTCTGAAGAGACTGCACTTTTTGACTAGGAAGGGAAAACATGAAGCTCTTGGGTTTGCTACCATTTCCTGGTCTCTGGCCACTCAGATGATAGAACAGAGCTACGGCTAGTGTATGTGGCAGCAAAACTATTTGCTCTTCCTGAAAGCCAAACTGCTCCTCCCAAGTCGCTCTGCTTCTCAGGGCACAACACATATACTACTCATGCATTTCCATCCTCCCTCTCCCATTAGTTTAAATTCTCAGTGACAAAGAATATTGCCTGTTTTCCCGGCTTCATAGCCAATTTTTATGGAGTTTTTTTATCAAAACATATTGATCCTGGGAATGCGTTGGACAAGATGGCTCTCTGGAAGTATATCCTTCCCTGAGATCTTACAGAAAACAGGCAGGACAGGAATTCAAAATTGTGAGAGGCCCAAGTGAATTTATTTGGCTTGGAGAATTTCTGGCAAGTGAATTCAGTATAATTGCAATTGGTGGCTCAACAAACAGCTAGAGATCATTGCCTATGATGGGAGAAGCAAGATTTGCTGATGGTTTGGATGTGGGGTATGAGAGCAGGAATCATATCATTCATTAAAATAAGGGAGAGGCCAGGTGCGGTGGCTCACGCCTGTAATCCCAGCACTTTGGGAGGGCAAGGCGGATGGATCACCTGAGCTCAGGAGTTCAAGACCAGCCTGACCAACATGGTGAAACCCCGTCTCTACTAAAAATACCAAAAATTAGCCAGGCTACGGCAGGCGCCTGTAATCCCAGCTACTCTGGGGGCTGAGACAGGAGAACTGCTTGAACCTGGGAGGCGGAGGTTGCAGTAAGCCAAGATCGCACCATTGCACTCCAGCCTGGGCAACAAGAGCAAAACTCCATCTCAATCAATCAATAAAGGAGAAATAGATTTTGAGGGTGGGAAGAAAACGAAGAGTTTGGTTTAGTGTGTGATGTATGAGATGCCTATTTGACCTTTAAGTAGTTTTTGTTTGAGACAGTGTCTTGCTCTGTCACCTTGGCTGAAGTGTAGTGACACAATCTTGGCTCACTGCAGCCTTGACCTCCTGGGCTCAAGCAATCCTCCCACCTCAACCTCTTGAGTAGCTGGGACTACAGACGCATGCCACTATGCTCAGCTAATTTTTCAACTTTTTGTAGAGATGGGGGTCTCATTATGTTGCCCAGGCTGGTCTTGAGCTCCTGGGCTCAAGTGATCCTCCCACCTCAGCCTCCCAAAGTGCTGGTATTACAGACGCGAGCTACTGCACCCAGCCTAAGTAAGTTATGAGTTAGAATTCACAGGAGAAATCTACAACCCACTGGAATCTGGCTTTCCCCCACTATGCCACTGAAACTGCTCTCACCATAGTGCCTTCTAATTGCTGAAACAGGTAGAAATCCAGGTCTTTCATTCAAATATTTACTGTCTCCTATTATGGAGTAAAGAGCCTGTAATTGGCTGCAATGCCCTTAAGTGGCCCTTGCTAAGGGAAGGTTAGTCTACACCCAAGCAGAGGCTCTTTGTGATGCAGAGGCATTGGGGCAGGGACCTACCTGACAGGAACCAAAAGCAGCAGTGCTGGAGCCAGGGTGCCTCCACAGGGACCACCTAGTTTGCTTGATACAGAATTGCAGGCCCCTGCCCTGAGATTAGACTTCAACAGCTCTTGACTCTGCTTGACAATACTACCTTTACCCCCAAGTGATCTCTAGTAAAACTCCTTTGTTTTCTAGGAACTAGGTGGAGACTTTAAACTCTGCAGGAAACAGGTCCAGTCCATGGAGTTCCAGTCCTTCTCTCAATAGCTAAAATATCTAATTGACATATTATCCTGAATGCTAAGAACAGTGATTCTCAGCTAAAGTCGATTCTGCCTCCCCCAGGGGACGTCCAACTATTTGCTCTTCCTGAAAGCCAAATTGTTCCTCCAGAAACATCTTTGATTGTTACAGCCGGCAGGTGCTACTGGCATCTGGTAGGTTGAGGCCAGGATTGCTGCTAAATATCCTACAATGCATAAAACAACCAGGACAGCCGGGCCGTGCCTCAGCAGGACGGCGGCTCCCAGCGCAGACTCCGGCCCCAGGTGGCAGCGGCGACTGGAGGAATCAAGTTGTGCGGTCGGTGATGCCCGAGTGAGCGACAGGCCTGGGCCTCTGCCCTTAGGAGACAACTCCCAGGCAGGCCGCAAAGGCTGGGAGCCTTCGTTTCAGTTTCGCAGCGGCGGCGGCGTTGTTGGCTGAGGGGACCCAGGACACCTGAATGCCCCTGGCCCCAGCTTCTCTGACGCGATGGGGAAAGTGCTATGCAAAATCTTCGGGAACAAGGAAATGTGGATCCTCATGTTGCGCCTGGATGCGGCCGGCAAGACAACAATCCTGTAAATGTTGAAGCTGGGCCAGTCGGTGACCACAATTCCCACTGTGGGTTTCAACGTGGAGACAGTGACTTACAAAAATGTCAAGTTCAACATATGGGATGTGGGTGGCCAGGACAAGATCCGCGCTCTCGCGGCATAACTACACTGGGACCCAAGGTCTGATCTTCGTAGTGGACTGTGCCGACTGCCACCGCACCGATGAGGCTTGCCAGGAGCTGCACCACATTATCAATGACCGGGAGATGAGGGATGCCATAATCCTCATCTTCACCAACAAGCAGGACCTGCCCGATGCCATGAAACCCCACAAGATCCAGGAGAAACTGGGCCTGACCTGGATTCAGGACAGGAACTGGTATGGGCAGCCCTCCTGTGCCACCTCAGGGGACGGACTCTGTGAGGGGCTCACATGGTTAACCTCTAACTACAAATCTTAATGAGCATTCTCCACCCATCCCCTGGAAGGAGAGAAATCAAAAACCCATTCACAGGATTATCGCCACCATCTCCTCTTTCAATTGCCACTTTTCTTTTGAATTTGAACTCTGGAGTTACTGTTCTACAGTTTGGGGGGAGAGGGCTTGGGGGTCTTCTGTTTCCCGTTCTTTTTCCTTTTTCGGCTTTGCGTTAGGATGCTCTGAGATTTGACATGAACACAAAGTTGCTAGATGCTCTTGTTGACTTCCAGCAGATGGGATGGGGGATATACAGCAGTTCTTGGTAAAGTCCTTTGTAATAATTGATTTTTTTTATTTCGAGAGAATCTTTCATTTTCCTGTGTATGCTTTTTTCCTTTTTTGTCCAGTTTCCTTATCACTTGCTGTAGATGGCTTATTTTGCATTCATGCAGACTATGTTGCAAGTCTGTTTCATCTAGTAAACTGAAAATTATTGCTTAATCAAACTGTCATTTGTCTTTTATATTTAAGGCCTTTCCCCCCTTTCTTATGAGTTCTAACTTAGTAATTTCAAATGTGACCTTTTATATCTAAGACCAGTATAGTAAACTTAGCCCACAGTGGCAAATGATGAGTAATATCATTGTAATATGTTCCAGTTGCACCTCAGTATGTTAAACAGGTAATGTAAGAAGTTCTCTGAAATGTCAGCAAATAAGTTCTGAAACATACATCATGCACGAGCAGGAATAAAACCCAAGTTCCCCATAACGTAGCTAACTTAACACTGCATAAAAATATGAAAGTGTAACCCATGAAGGACACACTTTTTTTTTCCACTGCAAAGTAGTCACTTTGCTGTTTTTCCTCTTTTTTAAACTTTAAAAAAACACTCTTCCCAGAAATTGGAGCAATAATGGGGTACACCACACATAGATTAAATATTTGTAGATATTTTAAGTGACTTTTGGGCAAAACTAGAATGTATACTTTTACCTTGTTACAAACGCCTAAGACCAGTAATTTAAAAATTACTAACAGGTTTACTTTGTTCATTAATAAAGCATGTAACCATTCAAATTATATGCACCTTTTACCTAGTTGAAAAAAATACACATTCCTGTTTTCACATTATAGCAACTGATTAAGCTGAAGCTATAAGTCATTTTTTATAGATGTGTGATCCACACCTCCATCAATTAGAACACTGAAAAATATGTTTTATAAAAAAGGTATTTAATTTTGTTTGTAGGATTAACTCATGCAAATAATAAAAAAGATACCCTGTTGGTTCAATAGTACACTGTCTCCTTTAAGGAAGGAAGCATGATGAATGAATGATGTGTAGACTTGAGGGATGGACTATTAAAGTGGATGGAGGATGAGGACAAAGAACCTACAGATTACAATGAATGTAAACTTAATTTTTCTTCATGTGTAAGCAGTGTGCTCGCTGATGATATCTAGATCCTAACAAGATTACTTGGTTAGCTGGCTAGGACCAGTAACTGGATTGCAACCACTATGATAATATTTTGAACCAAATGTTAATGCTTGATGCAGAATTGTAAAGCAGCATCTGGCTCCTATATAGCCTTAAGGAATAATTTTAGTGATCCTCAAGGAATTAAATAGGGAATTTAAGAAATGTAGACTGCAAAGGCAGTATACAGGAAAAGGTGGAGTGGGTTTTGTTTATGAGTGTGTCTGAAAACTAAAATTAAGCGGGACATCTTGGTATAGTTGGACAGTATTGGTCCTTCACGCTTTGGCCATATTGTATAATGGAGCTTTTACCAAAGACGTATGAGAAGTGTAAGACTATAAAAAAAATGAACTATTTAAAGTAAAACTCTTGACAAACATTTTACTTAAAGCAGATGCAAAAGGTTATTCTCATGTAGGCTCCTGTTGGTGCAGAGGGATTTTTGATTTCAAGATGCAACTAAAGTACGAAGTTCTCAGTTTCACTTTAGTAGAAATAGTTCTAGAAATAAGGCTAATAAACACATCTAAGAACACTGGTTGCTTTCTAAAATTCCCAAAGTTCCACCATAAATGTAATCCTTAGTGTTTTAAATGATTGCATTTTAAGGTATATAAATATGGGTTATCCAACATCAATGCTATAGTAACATCCTGAAACAAAACAAGCACAAAGGTATAAATGCCTAAACCGGAGGAAACTTGAAACCCTCATGTTAAATCTTTTTTTTTTTTTTTTTTTTTTTTGAGATGGAGTCTCGCTCTGTTGCCCAGGCTGGAGTGCAGTGGCGCGATCTCCACTCACTGCAAGCTCTGCCTCCCGGGTTCACGCCATTCTCCTGCCTCAGCCTCCCAAGTAGTTGGGACTACAGGGGCCCGCCACCACGCCCGGCTAATTTTTTGTATTTTTAGCAGACACGGGGTTTCACCATGTTATCCAGGATGGTCTCGATCTCCTGACCTCGTGATCCGCCCGCCTCAGCCTCCCAAAGTGCTGGGATTACAGGCATGAGCCACCGCGCCCAGCCCATGTTATATCTTCAATGTAGTATTTCTAACTTGTGAAGACAGATTGGTAGGCAGCCACTTTTTTGTGTCTTAAAATAACTGGGAGCATAGTTAAAATTTTATACATCAAGTGATTGCTATTATTGAATGTTGCAGGTGAGATGTGGTTATTTTTAGTTTATTTGAAATGTCTGACTGGAAATGGGGGAGGGGGAAGGAAATATTTGAAATTTGGAAAACTCTAAACCTTTTGGTAAGAAATTGTAATTTTCACTTAAAATTTTCTTTAAGGATATAAGAGGTTTATAATTGATGTAGTTAAATTGAACAATAATCATTGGTGACTGGAGCAGGTAATTATAGCCTGCAGAAAAAAATTATAATCTAAGAATTGAAAAAATAAGATCCTGAAGTTGTTTAATTGCATCAGTTTCTGTATTTATGTGAATTTATAAACTGCAGTATGTTTTGAATGAGGTTAATCTTGTTTAATATAAGTAAATGAGTCTGTAGACTATGATCGCCCCAAACTAAAAAGTACAGTACCTGAAACTGTGTTCTTTATGGTTGTAGTGTTAGTAAAGCACTAATATGCAGAAAATAAAGGAATTACACAGTGAAAAAAAAAAAAACCAACCAGGACAGCTGCCAACAGAGAATTATCTGGCACAAAATGTTAACAGTGCAGGGGTTGAGAAACCCTGGCAAAGTTTAAGAGCAAGTACCTGCTACAGAAACATGTTGCTACCTGTCATTTTCCCTGTCTCAGAAGTGGATTAAGTCAATCTGTACTGTACAGAGGGAGGGGACTTGAAACCAGCTTATTATTATTATTATTACTATTGAGACAGAGTCTCGCTCTGTCACCCAGGCTGGAGTGCAGTGGCATGATCTCGGCTCACTGCAACCTCCGCCCCCCGGGTTCAAGTGATTCTCCTGCCTCAGGCGCCTGCCACCACGCTTGGCTAATTTTGTTTTGTTTTGTTTTTGAGACGGAGTCTCACTCTGTCCCCCAGGCTGCAGTGCAGTGGTGCGATCTCGGCTCACTGCAAGCTCCGCCTCCCGGGTTCACACCATTCTCCTGCCTCAGGCTCCCAAGTAGCTAGGACTACAGGTGCCCACCACCATGCCCAGCTAATTTTGTTTTTTTATATATTTTTAGTAGAGATGGGGTTTCACTGTGTTAACCAGGATGGTCTCAATCTCCTGACCTTGTGATCCACCTGCCTCGGACTCCCAAAGTGCTGGGATTACAGGCGTGAGCCACCGCGCCTGGCCAAATTTTTGCATTTTTAATAAAGACAAGGTCTCACCATGTTGTCCAGGCTGGTCTCGAACTCCTGGCTTCAGGTGATCCGCCCGCCTCGGCCTCCCAAAGAGCTGGGATTACAGGCGTGAGCCACCGCACCTGGCTGAAACCAGCTTATTTTTTAAGAAACAAAGGTTCTCCTTGCCTCTCAGCTGGGATAAAACAGGTACTGAAAGTATTTTAAGCATAATCAGCCTGCAGACAACACCCATAGCACACACTATGACATGGACCAAACTTTCTTGATGAAATATTTCCCCAGGACAGACCTTAGGCAGTTACCTGGTTCTACCACCACCCAGGGGAGAAAACAGAGTTTCTCTTGCAAAGGACAACAGCCTCCCTCATTACCCAGCAGCACGGCACATGCAGCCAGACACTGAAGGTGTACAGCATCATCACAATGTGAGGCAACCACAGATGCCTTGTCATACAAAAGGAGGCCCATCTATGAGTTGACCAAATACCCGTTTGACCTGGAGAGTCCCGGTTTACACCACTGTCCCAGCATAATAAATAGCACCCACTTTCACTCTCAAAAGGGGCAGGAAATACGGAACATTTGCCTGGAACATCTTGTCATGCCAGAAAGCAAAGAAGCTGTCAATGAGAATTAGGGTTATGTCAAAAGGATTCAGGAGCCAAGGTCCAGGGGCCTCCACTGGTCAAAGGTGAAATAATTTGAGCATCAAATTATAACTCCAGCAGACTGATCAATACCAAGTATGTTTAAATCCATGAGTGCAGGCCAGGTGCAGTGGCCCACACCTGTAATCTCAATACTTTGCAAGGCCAAGGAAGGGGTAGCACCTTAGCCTGGCAGTTTGAGGCTGCAGTGAACTACAATTGCACCACTGCATTCCAGCCTGGGTGACAGAGCAAGACTCTGTCTCAAAAAAACCAATAAAAGCAAAAAGCTATGAATGCATTGATTTCTACAGACTTGACTGCCTTTACAGGAAGCAAAAAGTAACTAGCTCATTATTCTGAAAACAGGCAAATAAAGAGGAGGATCAAGCATTTTCTTGCCTTCCCTGTATGAACTATATCTAAGGGTAACCTAAGTTAATGAAGGGAAATTTCTTACAATATTCCAACTACTAAATGATGAAGCATTTACAGAACTAACGAAAGAAGCAGATCTAGGCTTCTAAAATCATATGAAGAGAAACAGGGCATGTCACAATCTATAATGTGTTCTTGCCAAAATGTGAAATATGAATCTGATTACACCACTAAACACTTCTACATTTTTAGATAATACAGAAGGCAGGGAAATATGTTAAATCACGCCATGGGTATGCAAACAGAAAATGCAGAATGATTAGCTGGGCATGGTGGCACATGCCTGTAATCCCAGCTACTTGGGAGGCTGAGGCAGGAGAATCGCTTGAACCCGGGACAGGGAGGTTGCGGTGAGCTGAGACTGTGCCACTGCACTCCAGCCTGGGCAACAGAGCGAGACTCCAGCTCAAAAAAAAAAAAAACAACAGAAAATGCAGAATGTAAAAAACTCTCCAGGATAAATGATCGAGTTTTTTAAAATGAATAAATCTCAAGAAGAAAAGGATAAGTACTACAGATTATAAGCCTTAAGAGACAAAGCAACAAATTATATTATATTGAAAAATTAGGTGGGTTCTTAAAATTCACTGGATATTTTGACATTAAGGAACTGTTTTGTTTTGAGACAGGGTCTTGCTCTGTCTCCCAGGCTGGAGTGCAATGGCACAATCAGGGCTCACTGCAACCTCAACCTCTTGGGGTCAAGTGATGCCCAGCCTCAGCCTCCTGAATAGCTGGGACCACAGGCATGCACCACCCATGCCCAGTTAATATTTGTTTGTAGATGAGGTCTCACTATGTTGCTCAGGCTGGTCTCGAACTCCTCTCAAGCAATCCCACCTTGGCCTCCCAAAGTGGTGGGATCACAGGTGTAAGCCACCACACCCAGCCGCCCTTACCTTTTACAGGTACACACTGAAATGGTTATAAACAACACTTGGGATACACTTCGAAACTTCAGTGGGGGAGGAAGACGGGGAGGAAGGAGTGGACAGAGATGAAACAAGATTGATTATGAGTTTATAATAAAGTCAAATGATAAATACATAAGGATTTATTTATATAGGTTTGAAATTATCTATTATAAAAAAATTTCTAAAGAATAGAAAAATACAGAAAACAAAATATTTCTTAACATTTGAATAGATATGAAAAATCAGACTACCACAATCCCATGGGAAAAACCCCCTACTTAGAGGCTTTTCTGAGACACTGTCCTAAGCTCTTGGCCCCACAGGAGATAGGGAAGAGGCCAGATAGGAAAGTCAGCAAGGCCCAGCTCCTTCTGAAGCTTAAGATATGCCAACTTGCTGAAACCCAGAGGAATGCTGGCTGTGTATGACAAAAGAGCATCTGTGATTCAGGTAATGACAAGCAGCCCCCCGAGGCCTCCCCAGTCCCCACCTGCCTTTGGAAAACCACCCTCTGGGGAAGGCCACACTCAGGCCAGAAGCCTCCCACTGAGTCTGCCTGGCTGTCAGCCCTGCCTAGCTGCTCTGATAATTACGGGGGAAAAAAAGCTGATTTTGCATGTGGACCTCAGTATTACAGAGGAGCAGCAGCAGCCCCGTGTGGACATCTCAGATACATTTACGACCCAGTCAGTGCAGCCTCGTGGGCACAGCTAATGAGCCAGGAAGACCAAGGAGCGTCATTTGCTAAGCCAAAATTAGACACCATGCTGCCTAACAAGAACAGGTGATAAAACCACGTTTCAAAGTGGGCTGAGTAATACAGCTTTGTGTTAGTCATTACCATTTACCTTATTTACAATGGAAAATGAAAAAAAAAAATCTCAGTAAAAGAATCTGGTATTAAGAGGCATCAGAAGACAAACCACATTTTGCAATTATAGGACACTATCAACAAAGGACAAACTCACTCACTCAGCCAGGGTTCAAAGGCACAGCACAATGACACAGCAGTCAGTCCACGCTAGTTATGCAGCTTCCAGAACTTTAAACAGAAATGAAACCCTTAAGTGATGGCACAATAAGGAAGCTTCAACAGTTTACAAATATTGCATCTTCTCATTTTTAAAGAAATGTATTTTTTTTTAATGCCTACAAATATCTTTATTTTTCCTGACTTGGCACTCATGCAAAACAGGTCGCTACCAGCTCATCATCCCCAGTGGGTGTCCAGGACCCCTAGTGCCTTGGATGACAAGGGTCTGGAGGGCAGAGACCATTTAGTAACAAGAGGTAGGTGACAAATGCATTTCAGGGCAAGATGCTGACAAAGCAATGAATACAGGCCCAGAGGATTTGCAGGAATATCCACGGGTTCTGAAGATCAGGTACATCCACGAGACATAAGCTCTACGAGGTCAACAGCTTCTCCCCCTATTTTATTCATGGATGTGTCTCAAGCACCCAGAAGAGTTCCTGACATGTTTGTTACAGGGCCTCAATAAATACTTGGGAAATGGGTCCAATGAGAATGGGGTGAAATTAATTTTATGAACTATAAAGTGCCATCAAATATAGGGCATTAATACTAGAGTTCATCTTTCAGACTCATTTTAATTATAACAGTTCTTTCTAGAGAACTGTTTTTTAAAATACTCTGATGTTTATTCAGTGATCAATAGCAAAATACTAACTTCCTAATAGTTGGTGTGTTGACAGTTGTTATAGTGCAAGGAATAATGGACGGGGAAGTTTTACAGATGAGGATAGAATGTTATAGCCTGACACAGATGAGGCTCCAAATAATGTAAAATTCACACAGTTGCCTGGGAGCAGATCCCAGCTGGGGAGGGAAGATCCAGCACGGGGCAGGAGGGCAGGAGTGGTCATGGGAAGATGTTCTCACGGGCACACAGCACAGATACCCTGAGAATGCCTCGGGTCATGGGCTGTCGCATGCATCCCCAACGCACAACCCCCAGAGGCATCACGTCTAGTCTCTCATTCACCACGGCATTCCCACGGCCAGGTGCTCAGAGGATGTTCAATAAATGTTTGTTCAATGGAAAAGAGAGGGGGTGGGGGAAGAGTCTGAGCTATGACCCTGCAGGCAAGACAGAGCCCTCAGGAAGATGAGGTCCCAGCTACCAACACGTGTCAAGGTTTTGCCTTTACTCCCAGCTTTGTTCGGCAGGGGGACACAGACAGTCCACTGAAGGAGAAAATCTCAGCCTGAACTGAACCGCAGGAGACTGCTTCCCTCAAACATTGGAAGAAAAATTGTTTAGCACCACTTGGGTAAGAGATGGAAGCAGCTATGCTCTCTGGAAGCTCTAAGTAAGCCAGGCCTTGCCTTTCCCGCGTTGGCGAATGGGTGGGAAGGCGATGGGACCAGTGCTTTCCTGCAGCCATCACCTTGCACCCCGCAAGGCCCTGCAGTGAGAAAGATGAATGATGGTGCTGCCTGCCACCTGCTATGCTCACTGCACCAGCGGCTCCTGGCGGTGCTGGGTCTTCTGGTGCCGGTTGAGGATGGACCTCTGGTTGAAGCTTCGCCCGCAGGCAGGACAGTGGTAGGGCTTCTCCCCTGTATGGATTCTCTGGTGTCGGACCAGCCGCTCCCCTTTGCTGAACCGCTTCCCGCACACCTGGCACCCATATGGCTTCTCGCCAGTGTGGGCACGCCGGTGCACCGCCAGATTGGCATTCCTGCTGAAGCTCTTGCCACACTCGCAGGTGTAGGGCTTCTCCCCGGTGTGCGTCCTCCGGTGCACCTGCAGGTGCTGCCTGCGGCTGAAGCTCTTCCAGCAGTCCCCGCACTTGTAGGGCTTCTCCCCAGTGTGGCTGCGCTGGTGCACCTCCAGGTGGTGTCTCTGGCTGAAGGTTTTCCAGCACTCGCTGCACACGTAGGGCCTCTTTCCCAGGTGGGTTCTCTGGTGCTTCATCAGGTATTCTCTCAGGGTAAAGCCCTTCCCACACTCCACACAGCCATAAGACTTCTCTTCGTGGGTTCGCTGGTGCCTGACGAGATTGGAGCTCCGACTGAATCCTTTCCCACACTCAGGGCACTGGAAAGGCTTCCAGAAGGAGCTGTGGGTTTTGACTTCGTCAGGCAGGGGGATGGCACCGTGCTGGGGAGGAGGAAGCCCAGGCGCACTGCCTGCAGGGCCACCAGGCTCCTGCTCACAGACCCTTCCGAGCCCAGGGCCCTGGAGAGAGGCTTCCCCAAACCTCTCTGATGTCAGTGCCACCAGCGCCCCTTTCAGGTCTTCCTGTGGGGGTTTTGCCTCCTTTTCCTTGCTCCCACCGCCTACAGGACAGGAGGAGATAAAGATTGATTCTGTGGTAGCCGCAGGACATTTACATGTTAGAACTCTGCTTCACAGGGGTCCCATTCATGGTTCCTTCTCTTTTTTCCTTTGACCAACAACCTCAACTCAGGCTTTCCTTACTTCTTTTTCCTTATTTCCACCTCCATGTCTTTTTACAGAATAGTCTGCCAAATTCCAGTGCCCGCCCACTTATCTTGCTGCTAATCTAGACCTTTACTTCTTACAAAATGTAGCTCAATAATTTCCTCTAAGACACTCACCACGATTATTCTCTTACTCTGGGCCTCTTCAGCACTGTGCACCTAACTAGCACTTTATTATTCTGTACCTATTTACATGTGACTTTGTTGGAAATGCTGTTTCCATTCATCCAGATGTCCTGCGCCTTCCCCAAACGATTCT
Organism: Homo sapiens; assembly: GCF_000001405.40. NCBI lineage: Eukaryota > Metazoa > Chordata > Mammalia > Primates > Hominidae > Homo > Homo sapiens. The sequence continues at coordinate 99,628,766 of NC_000007.14, read as the reverse complement.
ACACCTGCTGTAGCACAGGGCAGCACACAGCTCTCCAGACCTTCCAGGTGCCTGCTCAGTCCCCTGTCCTGCCCACATGCTCCCTCTGCCTAACCAGGTTCATTCATCTGGGTCTCCTAGGAGCCTGGCAGGGGACTGACTCAGGGAAGATGCTTGCTAACTGCTGGCTGAATGAATGAAGCAGGCTTCACTGAGGCTCCTGCAGGAGAACGCCCCTAGGTAGCATATTTATCAGGACTGAGACCATGACGCTGCTGAAATGCTCAGCTTCACCCTTCCTTCATCCTCACTCTGATCCTTCTTATATTCTCTCTAAATTAACGGAACAGGTGTTTATGGAAGAGTAACAGAAAGGGGAGGAGAAAAAAAGAAAAGAAAAGGTATTGGGGAACAAAGAGGCAAAGAGAAAAAAAGAAAAGGAGAAATAAGTGGTGCTTAAAGCGGAAGAGTCCTTTTAGGCAAGATGACTAGAAGACAAAAAAAACCTGACAGTATATGCCTCCTGGTTTGATAAAATATGAAATACATACTTATCAGCTTGGATTTTGTTTTGTAAACTTTTCATGAAAATAAAAGTGTACAAGCCATTTATGTTTTGTACACGCAAAGATTTTATTTTTATTTTTTTGGATCCAGCGCTGGCTAAAAAATGTCACGTTACCCTTTTTTTCCTTTTTGTGGAGATGGGGGCCTCACTATGTTGCCCAGGCTGGTCTCGAATTCCTGGGCTCAAGTGACCCTCCTGCCTCTGCCTCACTGAGTGCTGGGATTACAGGTGTGCGTCACCACACACTATGCAAAGAATTTTCTTAACGAACCCAACCACGTAAACAGCATTCAGTTCAACAAACAGAACATAACCAGTCCCTAGAAGCCCCTTTTACATCTCCTCCATCACTATACCCTGCATATATATACTATACATATACAGTATATACATATACAGCATATACATGTATACAGTATATACAATATACATATACAGCATATACGAGATATACGTATACAGCATATACGATATACGTATACAGCATATACGAGATATACGTATACAGCATATACGAGATATACGTATACAGCATATACATGATATACGTATATAGTATACATATATACTATACCAACGGGAACACATTGTCTGGACTTTTTTGCCTGTTCTTGAACTTCAGGTAATTGTCTCACACATTGTTTCTGGCTTCTTCTACTCAATATCATGTTTGTGACGTTCACCTATATCATGGTGTGAAGCTGTAGTTTATTCTTTTTCATTGGTATACAGTATTCCACTGAGTATATGTATGTGTGTGTGTGTATGTATATATAGATAGATATACAGATACAGATAGACTGCAACCTACTTATTAATTTGACTGTTGTTCATTTGGGTAGTTTTCAGTTTTGAGGTGTTATGAATAGTAAGATTAAAACTAAATGCAATGCACAAACCACAACTAGATCTTGGGGAAAGCTGACTATGCACTAGATGTTACATATATCGAATTTATGTTTATTTTCTTAGATGAAATTATGCTACTGGGCTATGTTGGGAATGTCATTGTTAGACAAATGCTGAAGTATTTACAAATGAAAGATTGAGATGCCTCCAACTTCCATATCATTCCAAAACAAAACACACATTATACAGCTAAATATGGCAAATGTTAACAATTGGTGAATGTAGATAAAGACCTAAGTGTGTTCCCTGTACTAGTCTTAGCTTTTCTGTATGTTTGAAAATTTGTATAATAAGAGTTCAAAATATAAAGCTGGGGGAAAAATAAATACAATGATACCTAAGTATAAACAGAGACACTGGGAGAAAGACACAGTAGTGGAAGAGAAGGGACCTAGCAGTGAGAAACCCGTTTTGAGTGCTGCACTGGCTGCTCAATTGCTGTGTGATCATGGGAAAATCAATTAACCTCTCTGAGCCTTACATTCACCACCTTCAAAATGGATTGTACACTCATGAAGTTTACTGCACACATGGAGCAGGAATGCAATGGTTCATGATATTATTTTAACTCCCAGACCATGTACCTGACTTGCAGCTACTTCCAGGGACCATCCACTTAGATCTCAAAGTCAACAAATGGAACTTTCCATTCTTCCTCCCTCTTAGGAAAATGCTTCCCTCTCTTTCTGACAGTAGTAACATAATTTTTCCAGGCCCTTAGCCAGGATCCTAAGACGTAGACTCCTCTCTGACTCTTCTCTTTCCTCCCCTCTGGCCAATCTGTGGCCCATCCTTGGAAGCATATTTCAGTAAACCCCCTTCTACATGACCACTGGCCTGGTTCCTGCTCTTACCCCAGTGCCTACACTATTTCAACCCTCCAGACTGGCCGTACCCTGCCGTCAATCCAATTTTCCTCAAGTAAAACCTCCATCACATTACTCTGCGCAGAAAAAATTTTTAAACAAGGACCCAGAGTCCTCACGGACTCCTCAGCGGCCTCACTCTACTCACTCCTGCCTCCTCCTTACTCCTCTGAGCACTCATCTTTCACTCCAGGACCCTCACCATCCTGGGAACCAGCCTGCAGAGTCCTGCATTCAGGTTTCTGCACCTGCTACTTTTTGCCTCTGTGATTCCAAATCCTGTTGTGAGTTCTTGCTCCAGTCCTTGTGGACATTACTGCAATTACAACCCAGACAACAAGGTCTGCACCTCACCGTCTGCTAATGAGAACAGACGAACAACTGGAAGTGATCTGGGCAGCCACCTAGCTCAACCCTGCCCTGTGCATTCAGTCTCTTTACAGGTGAAGCAGCTCAGGCCCAGCCCCAAGCAGCTGTCAGTACAAGCACCAGGACAACCCGAGTGTGAATCCCAGGAAGACCTGAAAGCTGGGACAGCAAGTGAATGGTACACTTGGGAAACAGGCCTTCGTGTCACCTGGCGGCAGAAATGTTCAGGTATGGGCTTGAGTTGCTCTGAGTTCTGAGACACTGAGCTGGTGAGGGGACAAGGACAGAACCAGTCTCCAGAACAGTCAGAAATGGCCAGGAGAGCATGAAAATCTTCTGAGAATGGGGGCGAGGGGCTCCTCACCCCACACAGCAGCATCACTGGGAGGGGAATATCCCTGAGGGGGACCCTGGCACCAGGACACTGGCACCTTTGTCTGGGGCTCATCACTCGAGCCCCTGCTTTGTTCTGTCATCCTCTGCCGTTACAGCAATCACACATCTCCACATAAAGTATGCTGACATCTTTCTGCCACTTGCATCACTGCCACACTGTGTCAACCGTGCCCTGGACCCAGGTCTCCCAGGAGACCAGTGCCCCTTACCGTATCCCACTATTACATGCACATGGCCTCTTCCCCTGAACTCTAAGACCCCACAGGCAAGCGCCTTTATTTTTAACTCTTCATAGTGACCAGAACAGCAATGGCCACAGAGCCAAGTCCACCTCTGTGGTGAATAAATGAGTGAAGGCTGAGGGCTCCTACAAGAATCCCTTAGTAATACTTACAGCACTAACTAAACAATCTAACACTACCATGGTCACCACACATTTAGATATGTCACCTCCCTTCATCCTCATGGCACCATGAGGACAGGTTCCATGAACAGCCCCATTCCACAACAGAGGAAACTGAGACCTGGAAAGCTCAAGGGAGATGCTCAAGGTCAGGGTCAGCAAGTGGAGGGGCAGGATGGATTCTCTTACGTCCTGAAGGAAGCACAGGGATAATCTTGCTCTTCCTTCAAGGCATTTCAGGATAAGGAAAGGCTAGGTGGGGTCGGTACAGATGGGTGGTCAGTGTACAACTCACAAAGAAGTTATGAAACAAAAAAGAAGAAAATCAAAGAACAAGGACAGGCCGCTCCAGCCACAGTGTTTCCTCTCCCCGCCGGCATCCTGATTCCACGCATGCAGACTCTCCATACTGTCCCTTGCCCTGGCAGCCCCAAAGCCCCGCAGTGCGCTCTGCTGGCAGCCCCTGTGGGCTCTCTCTCGCTGCTCCTCCTCCCATGAGCTGCTGTCACACACAATGGCCGCATCCCCCCAGGCTCTGAGCCCAGGTCAAACCCAGCCACCACCTGAGTCCCAGCGCAGCTCTGCTTCCTCTGTGACTCGGGCCACTCCAACCTCTCCCATCGCGAAGCCCCCTCGTGCCCTCCTACGTGCACACCGTGAGCTCCAACGCTTTCGTGCACGTTAGTCCTGCCCACTTCCTGCCGCAAGAGAAAACCACTAACACAGGGCCCACATGCAGGGAGCACTCAATAAATATCTGAACAAGCTCAGATGCCCCATCTTTTGCTGTTCGTATCTTGTTCTCAAGCCCTCAGTGTCTTTAATCATGGACACAATGTAGGTGTTTGGGGGTCCTCATGACCGACCTGTCTCCATACAGCCAGAATAATGGCCTCATGTTTTCCTGCTCCATCATTTGGCTCCTCTATTGACACAGGAAAGCAGCTCCTCGTGCCCCATGGTCCGTGCTGGACCCATTTACCCGCCTGCCATGAAGTCCCCTTCCTTTGCCAGGAGCGCCAGAGCTACGGCAGGACCCCTGACCTGAGCTTTCAGAACTCCCCAGTTCCTCACCTGTGGGTGGAGACAGTCTTACCTGGAGAGACCCTGCAGTCCTGCGGTTCCACATACTCCCCAAAGCAGTCTATCTGGGCTGGGGTCACATGCCTCCACTCCTCCTCAGGGAAGGCCAGGGCCATATCTTTAAATGGCCCCAACCCCTGCAACAATAGGAGATTGCTATGAATAAAGAAAGAATCCTAGGCCAGAGACAGTGGCTCATGTCTGTAATCCAACTTCCTCCCAACCAGCTTCCTCCCAACAGTTGAATGGGAGTAATCCACTTGTTTGAGCCACTGCAGTTGTGAGCCTCTGTGGCTGGGGCTCAGCTTGCCCCTAACAACTAAGTCACCTCATTTCCACTCTGCAGCAGCCTCCCACTCACACCTCATGCTTGACAGAGCCTGGCAGCCGCTATTTACCTTCTCATCAAGAACAAAGTTCACATTCGGCCAAGCCCTGTCTTAAGAACAAGGCTGTGATAAAATAAATGCATCCTCAATTTCTCACTCACTGCACCACGAAGAACTATTATGGTACAAGGGAGGATCCAACCAAATTAAAAAGCACTGATGTCATTCCTCATCCCCTCCAAAGTACATCCTTGGAGAACAGGAAAAGGGAAATGATGCTGGCATCCAGCCTTGCCCAAATACGGCTTGAGCAGGACCAGACTTGATCCCCTTCTTTTTTCTGCCAAACACCTTTTCTTCTTCAAAGAACTCTTTTAGACTCGCCTCCTTGAGGAAGGTGCCCCACTGGAAAGCCCCCACCTCCCTGCTACTAGTGCTCAGCACCCTGTGGAAAAGAGAGCACCCCATCTATGCTTCAGTTACCTCATTTGTGGCAGATGAGTAATGTTAACGAGGTCCAACTCCTAGTGTGGCCTGTATGGCCAAAGAGACCACCCTGCTCAATGCTTCTGAAAGCCCCAACCCTGAGTCAGCCACATTCCTGCTGAGGTTAGGGGACAGGAAAGTTTCCAAAACAGAAAAATCAGCAGCAGAAGTACCCATAAACGGCACCCACAAAGGGTTATCTCGGGGCCAATCAGCACAGCCTAGATAGCCCTAGGGGGTTTCTATCTGTAACAGTTGTAAGAGTCCATCTGTGGCTGGGCGCGGTGGCTCATGCCTGTAATCCCAGCACTTTGGGAGGCCGAAGTGGGTGGATCACAAGATCAGGAGATCGAGACCATCCTGGCTAACACGGTGAAACCCCGTCTCTACTAAAAATACAAAAAATTAGCCAGGCGAGGTGGCAGGTGCCTGTAGTCCCAGCTGCTTGGGAGGCTGAGGCAGGAGAATGATGTGAACCCAGGAGGCGGAGCCTGCAGTGAGCCAAGACCGTGCCACTGCACTCCAGCCTGGGCGACAGACATAAGGTTCGATGTAAATTAACAACTGCGGCTGATGGTTCAGTGGAGGAAACCACACCATCAGGTCCACCGGGACTAGGAAGGGAGAATGACTCAACTTGGGGCGGGAAGGGAACACTGTTGTGCAGAGAAACCTTGGGGAAGGTGAACCTCAATCAAAGCAACGGTCATGATTTCTGCAAAGGGAGTCAGAGCTCACCTGCGATCCAGCAGTAAAGAACCCAGCTGCCATCTCTTGGTCTCTGGGATTCACTGCGGGGAGGCCAGGACCCGCCTGCAGAACAGGTAGTGCTGAGCAGGGACAAAAAGCATGAGAAAGATCAGAAGGATCAGTGATGTTATGCTGTTAGCTCGTTCAAATGTGTCCCCTACCAGATGCTCACAACCTCAGGAACCAGAAGACTCCAGACAGAATCCCTTTTCACTCTGGTACCACACTTTCCCATGCACAGGGGCCTGGGTGTCCCTTGCCCTATTCTCAGCTGGGGCCTGGGTGTCTCCTGTTCTCAGCTGGCAAGATTGTCCCGGCCCTGTCCGTCCAGGGCTACCCATGCTACCCAGTCACACTCTGGGAATAACCTCCTATGAGATTCAATAACAAAATAAAGCTACGTGGGCTGGGCGCGGTGGCTCATGCCTGTAATCCCAGCACTTTGGGAGGCTGAGGTGGACAGATCACGAGGTCAGGAGATCGAGACCATCCTGGCTAACATGGTGAAACCCCGTCTCCACTAAAAATACAAAAAAATTAACAGGGCATGGTGGCACATGCCTGTAGGCCCAGCTACTTGGGAGGCTGAAGCAGGAGAATTGCTTCAACCCAGGAGGCAAAGGTTGCAGTGAGCTGAGATCGCGCCACTGCACTCCAACCTGGGTGACAGAGTGAGACCCCATCTCAAAAAAGAAAGAAAGAAAGAAAGAAAGCTACATATTACTTTGGGGGATATGGTTTATCTGCCTACTGAAAAAGTATTCCTGCAAGTCAGCTGAATATTTCTTGGTAGTTTCTAGAAGGGATCTGAGGGAAAGAAAAGAGAAATAATAAGAAAGCATGATCCCAGATATCCCCTCCAGACACCAGAGGGTAAAGGGAGAAGAAACAATTTCACTTCATCTATTTCCTAAGGTGGAGGAAGTAGCCAAGAAAATTCACAATTACACCTCGTGGGTAACTTAGTTGCTCCATTGCTGGGTTTCTGAAGAGAGTTGGCTGCACAGCACTGTTTCCTATGACCTGACATCCCCACTATCTGCGTCTTACTCACCTTGCTCCTGGAAGGCCCGTGTCTCATCTCCAGGGTCCTGACTGAGCTGCTCCTCGGTACCTGGGTCTGGACCTTGAACTCCTTCCCCAGGGGGCATCCCCCATTCAGGCTTGACCTCCACTGGCCCCAGCTGGATGCCTGGCTCCCAAGCGCCTCTGCAAAGTGCTGTTTCCTCCTGCTCTCCCTGCCTGTGGCATGGAACCTAAGAACAGTTCCCAACACCGATTAGAATGAGGCCTGGGCAAGGCTGTTATGAAGGGAGTTGAACTAAAATCTAAAAAGAGAACCAAGAAAAGAACCATTCCAGCTTCAGGGGAGAGGAAGGAAAAATCAGCTGAGCTCTTCCCCAGGACATTAGTGAGGAAGTGAAAAGGAAGCTAAACTCATGCATCAGGCCCTGAGCAACTTTTATCTGTCCACGCCATTTGACAAGGGTCCCCTCTACCTGCCATCACCAAGCCCAAATATTATCCTGCTGAGGATTTTAACACAATATACTCACTACTAGAAAAAAAAATTCCTAATTGAAAAAGCTGAAAATAAAAAATGCAAAGCCTAGACCCTGCAGTGAACAGGCCAGTGAGAAATAGTTGCTTTAAAGAGAGCCAGGAAGCCTGGGCAACATGGCGAGACTCCATCTCTACAAAAAATAAAAAAATTAGCCAGGCATGCATGCCTGTGGTCTCAGCTACTCAGGAGGCTGAGGTGGGAGGATCAACTGAGCCAGGAGCTCAAGGCTGCAGTAAGCTAGGATTGTGCCACTGCACTCCAGCCTAGGCTGTTGACTGACCCTGTCTCAAAAATAATAAATTAAAAAGAGCAAGAAAAATCAGGAGGACTCTCTCACTGAGAAGTACTCACAAAAACAAGGCATTTCTGGGTCCACTTTTAAGCTCCTGAGTTGAGTAGGAAAAAATTCTCTTAGGATTCTGAAGACAGGAAGTCAGGGTGACGAGAGTGTGCACGGGAGGCTGAACTACAGAAGGACGGGGGCTTGTGAGCAAGACGGTGTCATCAGTCCTGCTCTCCTTTCCCAGTCATCCATCAGGGGGCTGTACCACAAAGTGACCGAAATATGGCTGGAACCTCAAGGAAGCACGTGCGGTGCCAAATCACTTGGTGTCATTAGAGCAGCACCAGAGAATTGTTACAGGAGCCCTATGAGCCACAGAGAAACAGTACTGCCATGGACAACCCTTTTCCGGAAAAATATTCCCCAGGTGGGATTCTCTGCCTTCCCAGAGGCATCTCTGTCCAAAGCAGGGTCAGGTCTATGAGGGACCCCAAAAACAATCACAACTGCCTTCTTTTTGCCTGATGCCCACAAGGGAAATATGGCCAGGCCTCTGCCCTCATGACCAAACAGAGGCTTCAGGCCCTTCTGCATGGCAGCATCTCCCCTGGGAATGGCCTTTCTTGCTGAAAACGCCACTGCTCTCCAAAAAGAACCTCAGGGAGTCTGAGGGCAGAGGAGGGCGGCTCCACACCTCGTCCACTCCTACTGCTTCCTCAAATCTTTGGATTCTTTAACATTCCCTGCCCACGCCAAGGGCGCCAGACCTGGATCCCCTCCTCACCCACCGCCTTGGCCTCCAGTGCTCTTTCTGTCAGGTCCTCCACCATGGCGGCCAGGGCCTTGCCACTCTCTGGGCCATGCTCCCGGATCCAGGCGTAGAACTCGCGGGGCAGGATAGTGAGGAACTGCTCCAGCACCAGCAGCTCCAGGATCTGCTCCTTGGTGTGCAACTCGGGCCTCAGCCACCGACGACAGAGCTCCTGGAGCTCCCTAAGAGCTTCCTGGGGTCCAGCTGCCTCCTGGTAGCGGAACTGCCGAAACCTCAGCCGAAAAGTCTCTGGACTAGGGTCCTCCCTTCCTCTGCCCCATGGCAACTCTTTCTCCAGTTTCACCACAGGAATACCCAACTGCTGCTGAGGAGCTTCCGCCATCTCTGGATGCTCTTTAAGCATCTTCAGACTCCCTCCGAGGAGACTGAGAATGACTGCATCAATGACCCTTTTGAGAACAAGAGACACATGAAAGGTCAGCCCATCCCAGTTCTGTCTCTACATCAAGGAATATTCCACTGGAGAACACAGTAATTACCTTTTACAAGGCATTTTCAAAAGACTGAACACAGATCCCAAAAGTCAGGTCAATTCAACATAGTAATCATTTGCTAAGCAACTATTAGGTACAGAGACTAAACAGAAAATGTCTAAGATTTTGCTTTTATACCCACAAATAACTTAGGATCTCACTGGAGAATAACACTACAATCAGAGAATAATATATAATGGGTTATAACTGGGTGAGTCACCAGGGCCTACTCTTCCAATACTAAAGGAAACATACATGCAACACACAAACACACACATATACACACACAAGAGGCAGGCAGAAACAACAAATAAAATAGAAAACAAGACACACTGGGAGCTTACCCTCCTGAAACTCATATGCTGGTACAGCAGACAGAAAAAGTCAAATGGAAGCAACTCTTTTAAAAACTGCAAGTGGAGACAAGTTCTAGAAAGAAAATAAGTAGGGTGCTCTGTTAACAGGGGGCAACTGACTTGAAGAAGGCTTTTCTAAAGACATGATACCAGGCTGACTCAAGGATGAGAATGAGTCAGTCATTCTAAGAGCATTCCAGGCAAAAGCCCTGAGGCTAAGAAATTACTCTGGGTGTCCAAGAACAAGCCATATCCCAGTGTGGCTTCAGCAGTGACGAGCAGAGCTGCACCAGAAGAGGTGGCAGAGGCAGACAGAAACCAGATCACCCAGAGCCTGCGCCACAGAAAGAATTATGAACTTTATTCTTATTTCTTACTTTAGCGAGGAACTACATGTTTTATAAAAGTCATTCTGCCTGTGTGTTGACAGGGAATAGGCTAGAGGTGGCAAGAGGGAAATGGCACTTACAGTGATTCAAGCAGATGATAAGGGCTTAGATCAGGGTGGTGGCAAAGAGTCAGACAAAATCAAGACGTATTTTGGAGATTAAAACCAACAAACTTGCTGATGGCTTAGATGTGATGGTGCGCTCAACCTGAAAAAGACAATGGAGCAACATATATACCATTATGACAAATGACCTAAAGATTTCTAACTTGTACAGGCTTTACTCTTTAGAAAGCATGTGAACACATATTTCATCTAATACTTAAAACACTTCTGTAGGATGAGTGCTACTCCTCCTACTTCTCAGAAGAAAAAAAAGAGACTAGATGATAACTGCCTCCCAAAATACATGGTACAGATTGAAAAAAAAATGTGAAGTCAAAAAGAGAGAAAACTAATCTAAGTCCAAGTACTCAAGGAAAAGAAGAGGCTTGAAGTAGACTGGAGAATGAGTCCTATTTACCTCCAAGTGGATTATGCGGAAGACCTAGACTGGGAAGACAGACTTGGAAGTCCAAAGCACCAGGGGAAGGAGATCCTGCTTGTCAGAAAACGGAAAGATCACCTGACTGGAGCAGAGAATGGGCAGCTGGCAGGAGGCACACCCCAAAGCTTCTGCTAAATATTCTATTGTGAGTTTGTGTATTTATCTACCCCCACTTAAACCAAGTTTATATTTTCAGTCTATTCATTGACTCTGCAACATTGAGATTTCTCTTTCATTCCTTTCTAGCTATTGCATTGGTTCACTCCACTAGTGCATTTAATGCACTACAGTGCAAATGTTTACCCATGTGTCTCCCTCTAACAGATTCCCTGGAGGCAAGAAAGATCCTCATTCATCTTTTATCTCTGCCATTTGACAAATAGAAATTGCCCCATTGCTATTCTTTATCTCCCCCCACCCATTGTGACTCTTTTGTTTTGTTTCTGAGACAGGATCTCAGGGTTTTATCACCCCAGCTGGAGACCAGTGGTGCGATCACTGCAGCCTTTGCCTCCTAGGATCAAGCGATCCTCCCACCTCAGCCTCCCGAGTAGCTGGGACTACTGGCGAGTGCCACCATGACCAGCTAATTATTTATTTTTGTAGAGACAGGGTCTCCCCATGTTGCCCAGGCTGGAGTGCAGCGGCATGAATGTAAGTCAGTGCAACCTTGAACTCCTGGGCTCAGGCGATCCTCCTGCCTCAGCCTCCCGAGTAGCTGGGACCTCAGGCGCGTGCCACCACGCCCGGCTACTTTTCAATTTTTGTAGAGACAGGGTCTCGCTATGTTGACCAGGCTGGCTCATCACTATTCTTTAAATAAGTGTCCTATGTGATTACTTTCACTTTGCACAGAGTTCTGCTTTGGTTCAAGATCTCTTCGGGTTCGTGGCCAGCCCTGCACTAAGCCAAGCCTGGCAGAGCGGGATCAGCCTCGCTCCTACCTGAGCCTACAGCGCGGCGGCCCCTCAGCGTCCAGACCCGCAGGGCCTCGGGGCCGCTGAAGGCAGCTCCTGAGAGACTTGCCGCCCTCAGCCGGGGCTGAGCGGAGGGAGACGGGCTCTACTGCAACCCCGCTGCCGCCGAGCCCCGTAGCGGCACCAAAACCCGTCCCCGCGCCCGTTTACCACTTCGCCCGCCACCCGCTGCGGCCCTGAAGAGGCTCTCACCCGCCGCGGCCCTGAAGGGCCTCTCACCCGCTAGGGTCGCCAGTGCTATCCGCGGTCCGGAAGTGAGCTGCGGACGCTGTTAGACAGGTGCGTAAGGAAAGACTCGCTTCCGTGTCCTCTCTAGGATGCTCGGAGGTCTCGGCGGATGCGTCTCGATGGTTGCTGATCCCAGCCTGCTGTTCCGAACCCGGCGAGGCGAAGACCACCAGGGCTTCCCCAGGATTGACTGCCCAGCTCGAGGCGCTCTGTGGCTAGGCCCCTTCCACTTCCGTGCCATTTCACCTGCTTGCCCTCCGTGGAAAGGACTCGGTGCATCGCCAGATACACTACTGGACACAGCACCTGCCCCAAGGGGCTTTAGAGTCCAGTCGGTCAATGCGCGACTATTCCGGCTGCGAGGGCCTTGCGCGAGGCGTAGGGGCAGAGGAGATAGGGGGCGCACTGGATCTAACCGGCTCACTTAAGAGGCTCCTGACCCCGGGTAGTGTGCGTGCGTGTGTGTATGTGTAGTCAGGGAAGGCTTCCTGGAGGAGCCAGCATCGGAGCTGTTTTTTGTGGGGGGTTTTTGTTTGTTTGTTTGTTTGTGTTTTTTGAGAAAGAGAGAGAGAAGTCTTGTTCTGTCTCCCAGGATGGAGTGCAGTGGTGAGATCATAGCTCACTGCAACCTCGAAGCCCTGAGTTCAAGCAATCCTCCCACCTCAGTCTCCTGGGTAGCTGGGACTTTTTTTCAATTTTTTGCAGAGAGGGGGATCTCTCTATGTTGCCCAATCTGGTCTCCAACTTCTGGACTCAAGCGATCTTCCCCCCTTGGCCTCCCAAAGTGCTAGGACTGCAGGCGCAAGCCACCGCGTCCAGCCTGAAGGCAGTCTGTCTCAACTGGGTGGCCCAGTGTTACTCCAGAATCCACTCAGGAAACAGGAAACCCTCTTGTCTTACTCTTCTCCAGCACTTTGCAAAGTGTCTGGTACAATATTTGCTAAAAATATACACTTATAGAGTAAATGAACTCCTAGAATATAACATAGGTGTTAGACCATCTCACTTTATCCTCCATGTCTCTGTCCCACTTTCATATTTTTCTTGTCTGCCCATATTTGACTTGGGTTTATGTCTTCACCTTTTTATTAATAATCCACTTTTCAGCTGTTTCTAATGTGCTACAAAATCCACAGTTGTTGTTTTTTTGTTTTGTTTTGTTTTGTTTTTTAAGAGACGAGGTCTTGCTGTGTCACCTAGGCTGGAGTACAGCGGTGCTATCATAGCTCACTACAGCTTCCAACTCCTGGGTTCAAGCAATCCACCTCAGCTTCCCAAATAGCTGGGACTACAGGCATGAGCCACCACACCCAGCTAATCTTTAAAAAATGTTTTGTAAGGACAGGGTCTCACTATGTTGCCCAGGCTAGTCTTAAACTCCTGGGCTCGAGCAATCCTCCCCACTTGGCCACCCATATTTTTGTTTTAATTAATATATTTTTTCCATTTCTAGAATTTCTATTTGATTTTTTCCAAATATTCTAGATCGATCTTTTAAAAGAATTTACCGATATGTTTAAGCTTTTCTTTGTACATAGTAAATATAGTTGAGCCTGATAATTCTGAGATCTGAAGTCCCCTCAGATATCTTTCTGTGATCTGCTATTTCCACTGTTTTTGATGGTGCCACTTCCACCAGCAGTACCTAACAGCATCCATTTCCCATATCTCATCATCTCTGCCATTATCCAGCTTTAATTTTTGCCAATTGACAGGTGAAGTAAATGTTACCTCATTTTTTAATTTGCATGTTCTTCATTATAAGTGAGGTCAGTCATTATTCCTACTTTCATTAACTTCTTGCCTTCCCTTTTCTGTGAACGGACTTTTCTTTGTGTTTCTATTAAGCTGTTTATCTCTTTCTTATTGATTTATGAGTTCTGGGGACATTATATAATGTCCCTAGAGCATTAAATAATGTCCCCAGGACATTAATTGGGGGCATTCCTCAAACATACCTTCCTCGAACATACCACAGTACCTTGTTTCCTTGTGTGACAGGCTGCTCATTTTCCTTGGAAACATTTTTGTGAAATTTCTTTGAGTTCCAGGATAAAGTGAATTTATCTAGAGAGGGTTGATATTGTTTTTCTTCCATGTAAATTTTTTTCTTGTCAGCATCACCAGTCCAAGGTCATTGTAAACCAAATTTATAATTTGAGGATTTTTGAACCATGCTATAATAGTAATATGAATTTGGGCTGCAAATATTGAGGGGTGATTTGTGGTTGCAACTTCTCAACCACAAATCTTTGTGGTTTTGTGGTTGTCCAGCGTGGCACTAAGACAAATTGCCTTGCTGGCTCCTGGTGGTAGGGGTACGGGAGAGGAGACTTATCTCTCACCCTTACATTGATAACCCAGCCCTTGTCTATGGCCATACCACCCTGAATGTACCGGATCTCTTCTGATAATCCACACTTTTGCAGTCCTTGGTTTATGGGGGGAAAGCTCTCTTATCAGATGCTCTTCCTTGAGTAAACTTTAGGCATAGTTTTAAAAAATCAAATCTCTGCAAGATGATTTCTCTAGGTATTATTCTTTACTTTGATGTTATCTTATAATTCATTACTATTTTGTTACCTGATATCTTTAGATTTTATTATTTATTTTATCATTTCTGTTGTTTTTGGCAGACGAATCAGCCCAACTATTTAGTCTGCCATGTTATCAGATGTAGGATGTCTCCAGGCTTCTTTATTTATATGTTTTTATTTCTTCCAAATAGGACACTTAAAATTACATTTTTACTGCCTGTATAATATTCTGTCCTCTGAATACACTATACTTTTAAAAATTATTTCAACATGGGGGAAATAATCTAGAATATACTCTTTTATTTTTGCTATTATAAATAACCTGGAACAAGCATTCCTTTGTATAAATACTTAACCTCACCCCTGGTTATTTCCTTAGAATAAATTCCTAAAATTCAACTTCTGGGCCACCAGGTATGAATATTTTTAAACCTATTAATGCATATGCTATTATAAAATGCTTTCCAGAAAGTTCATGCCAATTTACATTCCCATCAAATGTATATGAGAGTGCTCAACTCACCAAAATTGGCTAAGACTGGTTTCTAATCTTTGTGGATTTGATTTTCATTTAATTTTTTTTATTTGACCACTTTTATAGGGCTTTAGTAAAAATTCTTCCCAAGTTCTGGCAATAAATCCATCATCAATCCTAGCTTTCACTGGTGGCATGAATTTCCATTCTTTGTGTGTTTGTTTGAGACAGAGTCTTGCTCTGTCACCAGGCTAGAGTGCAGTGGCGCTATCTCTGCTCACTGCCACCTCTGCCTCCTGGGTTCAAGCGATTCTCCTGCCTCAGCCTCCCAAGTAGCTGGGACTACAGGTGTGCGCCACCATGCCCAGCTAATTTTTGTATTTTTAGTAGAGATGGCATTTCACCATGTTGGCCAGGATGGTCTCGATCTCTTGACCTCGTGATCTGCCCACCTCAGCCTCCCAAAGTGCTGGGATTACAGGCGTGAGCCACCACGCCTGGCCGAATTTCCATTCTTTTCTGGTTATTTATAGGAATTTGGGTGAGAAGATGGGGGAGGTGAGTCATGGACTACTGGCCTATTCTAATTCTAAGCTGAAATAACTAAGTCAGGCTGATTCTTAAATCTTTCCCTCTACAGGCCCCAATGCCCTTTCCATGTCTTCCACCCCTCCCCAACACACATCCCACCATGTTTGTTCTCTATTGCATTCATAGCCATTCCCTCTTAGGGTGGGTCCTTCTCAGGCATCTGAGGGTTGATATTTGCTAATGATTTGAAATTTGCTACCCCTGGAACCCCTATATGTTCTCTAATCTGCCCTACTGTGCCCACCAAGCCAGTCTCCCATCTGTGGCTTCCCAAACTGGTTATGCTGGATTAGGGTGGTTTGGGCCACAGATACATAAGTTGGAGTTTGTAGATGTTCTCTATTCCTAGTTTCACTGACAATTACAGTTCCTATGGTTTCTTTTTTAAGATGGAAAAGTGAGACAATTTGGAACTAGGCTGTAATCGTATCCCTATAAGAAACTCCCAAGATACCTTTTGGAGAGAAATGTAATAAGAAATTCCAGGCTGGGCGCGGTGGCTCACGCCTGTAATCTCAGCACTTTGGGAGGCCAAGGTGGGCGGATCACGAGGTCAAGAGATCAAGATCATCCTGGCCAACATAGTGAAACCCTGTCTCTACTAAAAATACAAAAATTAGCTGGGCATGGTGGCACACGCCTGTAGTCCCAGCTACTCAGGAAGCTGAAGCAGGAGAATCGCTTGAACCAGGGAGCCGGAGGTTGCAGTGAGCCTAGATCGTGCCACTGCACTCCAGCCTGGTGACAGAGTGAGACTCTATCTCCAAAAAAAAAAAAAAAGAAATTCCAAAAGAATTGGTTGTTCAAGTGTGTATGTCTTAGTTCCTCTGCTTGGGTGTTTGCTTCTAGGAACAGGGACAAATTCTGAAATCTCTTTGTACCCCAAGGTGTACCACATGAGTTCACCTTCAATGAATGCTGTTTAATCACCAGGGAGTCCATGTGACTCTAGCCATGTCCATTGTATCTCCTCTCCCAAAAGACATCCACAGCTCCCTGCACTTGCTTTAGAAGTTGCACTGCTTAAGTGCTAAGAGCTTTTTCTGCACATTTGTTCTTTGGAGAGAGAAGTGGGAAGCCATTGGTAGGTGGTATCTTTGAGATGAAGGATGGAGATTCATATGGTTTGGCTTTGTCCCCACCCAGATCTCATCTTGAATTTGTAGCTCTCATAGTTCCCACGTGTTGTGGGAGGGGCCCAGTGGAAGATAATTGGATCATGGGGGCGGTTTCCCCCATATTGTTCTCGTGGTAGTGAATAAGTCTCATGAGATCTGATGGTTTTATAAGAGGTTTCCCTTTTTGCTTGGTTCTCATTATCTCTTGCCTGCCACCATGTAAGACATGACTTTTGCCTTCCACCATGATTGTGAGCACCCCCCCGCCACCCTGAGCCACATGGTACTGTGAATCCATTAAACCTCTTTTTCTTTATAAACTACCCAGTCTCAGATAGGTCTTCATCAGCAGCGTGAAAACAGACTAATATAGAGATGAAGCCAGTGGAGGGCTTGGATCACTGTTCTAGCTGCCCCACTGCCCCACACATGTGTTCTTCCCAGCTACACCCATTCTTGCTAGGAGGCTGAGTGCTCCCTGTGATGCAAGCACCATAGGGCTGTGAATGGAGCACACTGGAGGAGCACTCGGGAGGCCTCTGGCTATAGGGAAATGATGGAATGCCAGATATATTGATTGGCTAATGTGCAGTCCTAATTATGGAAAAGGAGTCAGGTTGGTGTGAGGAGGGGAAAGCAAAAAGAAGAAGCAGATAAGCTACAAGTCGGCCTTTCTTCATGGTCCAGGACACGTAGCCCTCCTGTGCAAATAACTCACAATCTTCCTGCGCCCAAGCTATCACCAGACACCTGCAAGTTAGCTCACTGCAACACTGGCATTATCAGTACTGCACAAAGCCCTCTTCAGCATACAGCATAAACACTATGCCATCAAATCTCCAACAAGTCTTTGTTTCCTTTCAGTCAGCTCCTCTTCTGCTGGTCCTGCCTGTTGCTCCCTGGCAATGTACTTTTTTTTTTTTTGAGACGGAGTTTTGCTCTTGTTTCCCAGGCTGGAGTGCAATGGCGTGATCTCGGCTCACTGCAACCTCCACCTCCTGGGTTCAAGCAGTTCTCCTGCCTCAGCCTCCCGAGTAGCTGGGATTGCAGGCATGCACCACTACACCCGGCTAATTTTGTATTTTTAGTAGAGACGGGGTTTCTCCATGTTGATAAAGCTGGTCTTGAACTCCTGACCTCAGGTGATCCACCCGCCTCGGCCTCCCAAAGTGCTGGGATTATAGGCACGAGCCACCACGCCCAGCCCGGCAATGTACTTTTATACTTCCTTTAATAAATCTGCCTTTCTTTATCTACAACCGTCTTGGTAAATTCTTTTACCCCTGTGCCACCAGCCCAAATAGTTGTCATTCCCCCGAGTATATTCTGTATTCTGTACGGTTTCTGTTTCACAAAATCCCATTTCACTTGGTTATCTTGTAATATTCCTCCCTCCCCTCCTGCCCTGCGGACTTGGTTTTTGAGATATGGATGAACAAAGTAGCCCTTCTTTTTATTGAAAATACCTGCAAAAACGTCACTTAGGAAGCTCAGAAGAGTTGAAAGGACTTTTAGCAAATTTCACATACAAGCAAGATAGAATCACTGTGAGTATGGGGAGGTGGAGAGTTGATCTGACACGCAAGAAGCTCCTCAAAGGCACAGATACTGGCAGAGAGGGTGGGGAGGACTACAAACAGCTACATGTGTACACTCACATGGCTTGAAGAAGGGTAAAGAAGCCATGTCCTGGGCTAGATGACTGTTTCTGCTGTCACCTGTGTCTCCTTTTGTACTGAGCTCGGTTCTCCTCCCAAACTCTCCAGATTGTCCAGGTACAGGCTCCCGTGGTCCTCCTCCATACTCTGGGAAGTGGACAACAAGTGCCAGCAAGGGCAAACCATTTCTTGAATGAGGCAGATGGTACCTAGGGAACAGCCAACGTTTGGGTCAGGTCAGAGAAAGTCCAGAGCTCCACGCCCTAGAGGTCAGGTCCCTCTAGCTCCAGAGCTGCCCTCCCTCATTCTGCCCCCCAATCTAGAGTATTACAGAGAGAGATTACAGACAGGATGCGTCAAAGGACAAGAAGTACAAATACATGTATAAAATCACAGACCCATGGTCAGCACCTAGAAGACATCTCAGCAATCATGTAGCCCATTAATGGGTGAAAAAAAAAACTAAGGTTTAGAGAAAGGAAGTTCCAACACAAAACCCAGGCCCAACCCAAGACCTTCAGTGAAGTAAAAGATAGACAACTGACACGAATAAGAACAAACGAGGGATGGACGTGGTAGTTCACGCCTGTAATTCCAGTGCTTTGGGAAGCCGAGACAGGAGGGTCTTTTGAGCCCAGGAGTTCGAGACTCATCATGGGCGACATAGCAAGACCTCGTGTTTACCAAAAAAAAATTAAAATTAGCCAGGCATGATGGCATGAGCCTGAAGCCCCACTGACTTGGGAGGGTGAGGCAGGAAGATCACTTGAGCCCAGGAGGTCAAGGGTGCAGTGAGCTATGATCACACCACTGCCCTCCAGCCTGGGCGACAGAGCAAGACCTTGTCCCTTTAAAAAAAAGAACAAGTGGCCGGGCGCGGTGGCTCACACCTGTAATCCCAGCACTTTGGGAGGCCGAGGTGGGTGGATCACAAGGTCAGGAGTTCGAGACCAGCCTGGCCAACATGGTGAAACCCCATCTCTACTAAAAATATAAAAATTAGCCAGGCATGGTGGTGCATGCCTGTAGTCCCAGCTACTTGGGAGGCTGAGGCAGAATTGCTTGAACCCAGGAGACGGAGGTTGCAGTGAGCCGAGATCATGCCACTGCACTCCAGCCTGGGTGACAGAGCAAGACTCCATCTCGGGAACAAAAAGAGACAACAAATGGAGATATCTTGAGTAAATGATCAATGCTGTGTTAAGATGAAGACTAAGATAAAAGACATCTTCTATTTTCAGCATTATAGCAGACTACTCTACCACTAAAAGCCACAAAAATTTTAAATAAAATGTGAGAGAACTTCAAAGAATTCATGGAAATCATGGAAAAATGGAATTAAAAGGTTAAAATATAAAATATTGTAACTCTATTTGGTGAAGGGGAAATTAAGAAATAAAAGCTTAAATATGTGGTTTTTTGTTTGTTTGTTTTTTTGAGATGGAGTCCCGCTGTTGCCCAGGCTGGAGTGCAGTGGTGAGATCTCAGCTCACCGCAACCTCCACCTCCTGGGTTCAAGTGATTATCCTGCTTCAGCCTACTGAGTAGCTGGGATTACAGGCACGCACCACCATACCCAGCTAATTTTTGTATTTTTAGTAGAGATGGGTTTTCGCCATGTTGGCCAGGCTGGTCTTGAACTCCTAACCTCAGGTGGTCCACCTGCCTTGGCCTCCCGAAGTGCTGAGATGACAGGTGTGAGCCAGTGCACCTGGCCATATATACACATATATGTGTGTGTGTATATATATATATATATATACGTGCACACACACACATATATGTATGTCTATATACATATATACACACATACATATATATGTGCATATATAAATATGTGTGTGTGTGTGTGTGTGTGTGTGTGTGTATATATATATATATATATTTTTTTTTAACTAGCTGGCCATGGTGGCACATGCCTGTAGTTCCAGTGATTCAAGAGGCTGAGGCAGGAGGATCGCTTGAGCCCCAGAGTTGGAGGCTGCAGTTGTACCACTGCACTCCAACCTGGGCAACAAAGCAAGACCCTATCTCTTAAAAAAAAAAAAAAAAAAGGTAGAGACAGAAATAGATAGCCTAAGGAACCAGGATGGTGGAAGGGAGACTATAAAAATTTGAAAGAGTTTAGTTCTAAGTCAAGAAGGATAAGAACAGGAAGGCCAAGGATGGGGTTGAAGCTCCAGAGCAGTGCTGTCAGGTAGAACGTTCTGCAGAGAAGGAAATTTCTCTGTCTGCACTGTCCAATATGACAGTGTCCAATAGCCACTGGACATATGTGGTTATTGAACATCGGTGATGTGGCTAGTATGGCTGAGGAACTGAATTCATAACTTTTTATTTTATTTTAGAGATGGAGTTTTGCTCTGTCACCCAGGCTGGAGTGCAGTGATGTGATCTCGGCTCACTGCAACCTCTGCCTCCTGGGTTCAAGCGATTCTCCTGCCTCAACCTCCCGAGTAGCTGGGATTGCAGACATGTGCCATCACGCCCAGCTAATTTTTGTATTTTTAGTAGAGATGGGGTTTCACCATGTTGGCCAGGCTGGTCTCAAACTCCTGGCCTCAAGTGATCCACCCATCTCGGCCTCCCGAAGCACTGGAATTACAGGTGTGAACCACCACATCTGGCCAATAACTATTTTAATTAACGAAAGTTAAATAGCCACGTCTAACTGGCAGCTGCGGTTTGGAACAGTGCAATTCTAGAGAATCCAAAGGGAGGGCCTCCACAAGACAGGTTCCTAAATCCAGACCGAGGACAAGAAGCAGGGCACTGTTCCCTGGACACTCACCAGCCACTATGAACAGAAAGATGCCGAAGCCCAGCACGTAGTAAGGCCACAGCACGGAGAACTGCAGGGGGCCGAGCTTCATCCTCAGAGCCTTGATCTCCAGGGCATGCAGCACCAAAGCCAGGAAGGCACAGGCCCCTGGAGGGTCACAGGGAGACACCCTCGGTCTCCTCCCATGCTACCCGCCTTCCCTCCAAACTTCACCCCCTGTGGCTCCTGCCTGGAGGCTCCTTCATCCTTGCCCCCTCTCTGAAACAAAACTCCTACCCAGATGCCTGTCCCTCCCTCCTTTCTGACTCATCTTCAAAGCCCATGTGCTTTACCTTCCAGGGAACCATCATCAGAACTCCCTTTCCTAGCACCCTCTGCATCTGCCCTTAGCTCACCTCTGCACCTTAGCAGAGGGTGCAACACTTTGGATTAAATGCAATCCCATTTTCCTACTGCTCTACCTCCACCATTTGCCTAGGAGCCTCTCAGGGTGGAGCCTGGGTCACCCTTTATAAATGTCAAAAGGGGCCAGGTGCAGTGGTTCATGCCTGTAATCTCAGCAATTGGGAGGCTGAGGCAGGAGGACCGCTTGACACCAGGAGTTCAAGGCCAGCCTGGGCAACATAGCGAGATCCCCATCTCTACCAAAAAAAAAAATGTTTAAATTAGCCAGGAATGGTGGCACATGCCTAGAGTCCCATCTACTTGGGAGGCTGAGGTGGGAGGATCACTTTAGCCTGGGAGGTTAAGGCTGCAGTGAGCTATGATAGCACCACTGCACTCCAGCCTGGGTAACAGAGTGAGACCCTGTCCCTAAAAAGAAAAATTATGCCTCTTTTGACATCACAGAGACTGAGCACCCCTCTTTCTCTGGACTCCTCCCCAGGCCCTAGCGAAGGTCAGGGATCACCTAGCTGTTCCACACCTGTGAAGAAGCTGATGCAGGCTAACACAAAGTTTTGCTTCCAGGTCCTCGGGAAGAACTCGGATGCAAAGGGCATCATGATGAAGGTGGTGACGAAAGCCAAGAAAACTGCAGAGAGCAGGAAAACCCGGCCGAGGATGATGTAAACTGCAGGGGAGGGAGAAGTGGGGCTGAAGCTGGGAACCCTGACCCGGAAAGGTCAGAGTCCCTCAGAGCCTGGGCAGGGCTGGCCCCCGGAGCCTCCACCACCCTTAGATCCCAAAGCATGGCCTTGGGACCAAGGTTGTGACCATGCCACTTTGGCCCCAAGAATGCTTTGGCCCCACAATTTGATTCCCAATGGCATAGAAATATAGGAAAAAAAATTAAATTGACAATGTCAGACACTGAAATCACCAGTTCTTAATAAACATATTTTTTCTTTTTTTGAAACAGGGTCTCCCTCTATCGCCCCAGCTGGAGTGTGGTGGTGCAATCTCAGCTCACTGTAACTTCGACTTCACAGGCTCAAGCAATCCTCCTGCCTCAGCCTCCAGAGTAGCTGGGACCACAGGCATGTACCACCACACCTGGCTAATTTTTTTATTTTTATGTTTTGTAGAAACAGGGTCTTGCTCTGTCGCCCAAGCTAGAGTGCAGTGGCACCATCATAGCTCACTGCAGCCTCAACCTCCTGGGCTCCAGCGATCCTCCCATTTTGGCCTCTCAACGCGCTGGGATGACAGGCGTGAGCCACCGTGCCTGGCCTTAACAAATGTTATTATGGGAATTTGGTTGTACCAAACCATGTATCATCCACTAGGGGAAAATGGTGGTTTTAAAAAGCAACACAAAATCAAACTCTTGTGATAAAATTTGTTGCACATGCAAATGTGAAGAATCACACCTGTATTGGTTACCCTGAAGTAATTCGCCTGTGGAAAATCAAAACTTTGTGAGGTCAAAATGTTCTGAACGCTGAGGGAATCCCCACATCTTTATTTAATTTTCCTAGTTAATAGGAGTGAGACTGGGTGCAATGGTTCACGCCTGTAATCTCAACACTTTGGGAGGCTGACGTGGGAGGATTGCCTGAGGCCAGGAGTTGGAGACCAGCCTGGGCCACATAGTAAGACCCCATCTCTACAAGAAATTTTAAAAAGTTGGGCACGGTGGGGCACACCTGTAGTCCCCGCTACTTGGGAGGCTGAGGCAGGAGGATCACTTGAGCTGAGGAGATGGAGGCTGCAGTGAGCTATGATCACACCAGCCTGGGCAACAGAGCGAGATCCTGTTTTTACAAAACCTAAAATTAAAAAATTAGCTGGGAGCTGTGGTGCGCACCTGTAGTCCCAACTACTCAGGAGGCTAAGGTGGGAGGATCGCTTGAACTCAAGAGTTGGAGGCTGCAGTGAGCTGTGATCACACCAGCCTGGGTGACAAAGCGAGATCCTGTTTTTTACAAAACATAAAATTAAAAAATTAGCTGGGAGCTATGGTGAGCACAGGTAGTCCCAACTACTCAGAAGGCTGAGGCGGGAGGATCGCTTGAACTCAGGAGTTGGAGGCTGCAGTGAGCCATGATCACGCCACTGCACTTCAGCCTGGGCAACAGAGTGAGTCCCCATCTGTAAAAGCAACAACAATAACAGAAGTAGTGAAATAGACCAAAATTAGCAGAGCCAGAGTCTGATAACAGGGTGATTTGTTCTCTGACTGCTGGCATGATGCAGACCCATGTGAAAATGAGTTTGCATACCCTCCTGAGCTGGCAGAGGTGGGCAGCTGGCAGTGGGATAAGGAGTCAAAGTTGCTGTTGAAGCCCCAGATATCCCAGAGTCTACCCTTGGGTTAACCAAGCCTGGTTAATTTTTTGTGTTTTGTTGTTGTTGTTGTTGTTGTTGTTGTTGTTGTTGTTTTGAGACAGGGCCTCACTCTCACTCCCAGGCTGGAATGCAGTGGCATGATCACAGCTCACTGCAGCCTCGAACTTCTGGGCTCAAGCAGGAGCCCTCCAACCTCAGCCTTTTGAGTAGCTGGGACTACAGGCACATGCCACCATGCTCAGCTAATTTTCTCATTTTTGTAGCAACAGGGTTTGGCTATGTTGCCCAGGCTGGTCTTGAACTCCTGGCCTCAAGCAATCCTCTCGCTTCGGCCTCCCAGAGTGCTGGGATTACAAGTGCAAGCCACCGCATCCAGCCCTGAGCTAATTAGATTTTGTCCTCTCTGCTCCCACCCTGTTCTTTCACCCCCCACCTCTGTCCCAACACTGGCCCCATCTCCCTCTCTCTCCTCCCCGCCTCCATCCCTCCTTACTGGATAAGGGTCGAGGCTTCCAGCATTTGGCATTGAAGCAGTTCTCAAATAGGCCACTGAAAAAGACTTCGTGGGACTCCTCGTTTGTCAGTCGCACCCAGAAGGGAAAGATGGAGACCACCAGTATAATCAGGTAGCCTAGGGAGGTTAAGGCTGGGACTATGGCCCAGGAGAATCCCTTCATGTCCTTGTCCTCTAACGTCAGCATCACCTGTGTAAGAGAAAAGTGATCGTGGAGGTGGGACACCGACCCAAATTCTCCTGCAGCACAGAGGGAAGGAGACAGTGGCTGGGGAAATGTCAGTGCTGTGTGTGGCGCATATGTGAAACTCAGTAAATGATGATTTCTTTGCTTAACTTTACAGCCTATACACCTCTGCAGCAGACCAAAAAAAAAATGCATAAAATGCTTTCTGTCGCTAAATCACTGGGTGATCTTGGGCATGTCAGGTTCCCTCTCTGAGCCCTCTTCCTCTGGTAAACTGAGGAGGTTGAACTGGGCCATTCACAAGGCCTCCTCAGCTTTAAAGTTCTCAACTTTCAGCTGGGTGCGGTGGTTCACACCTGCAATCCCACTACTTTAGGAGGCTGAGACAGGCGGATCGCTTGAGTCCAGAAGTTCAAGACCAGCCTGGGCAACATGGCGAAACCCCGTCTCTACCAAAAATTAGCCAGGCATGGTGTTGCACACCTGTAGTCCCAGCTACTCAGAAGCCTGAGGTGAGAGGATCGCCTAAGCCCAGGAAGGTCAAGGCTGCAGTGAACCATGATCACACCACTGCCCTCCAGCCTGGGTGACAGAGCAAGACCTTGTCTCAAAAAAAAACAAAAAAAAAAATTAAATAATTTAAAAAAAAGAAAAAAACTAAAGTTCTAAGCTTTCAATTCTTTTTTTTTTTTTTTAAGATGGAGTCTCGCTGTTGTCAGCCCAGGCTGGAGTGCAATGGCACCATCTCAGCTCACTGCAACCTCTGCCTCCCAGGTTCCAGCAATACTCCTGCCTCAGCCTCCTGAGTAGCTGAGATTACAGGCGCCCGCCACCACGCCCAGCTAATTTTTGTATTTTTAGTAGAGACAGCGTTTCACCATGTTGGCCAGGCTGGTCTCGAACTCCTGACCTCAGGTGATCCACCCGCCTCAGCCTCCCAAGGTGCTGGGACTGCAGGTGTGAGCCACCATGCCTGGCCCTAAGCTTTCAATTCTATCAACAGCCACCTCTACTGGCCATCAGGACAACTCCAGCCTATTTTGCAGTCAACTGTCTTCCTTTTGGGATTTCAGACTGAGAACCAAGGGGAGATATTCAGACCAGAGCCTTAGGTGCCCTTATTCAGTGACTGGCCTTCTGACCACAGGAACTGTGGGTTTAGGTGGGGAGAGGTCCATGTGCACAGGAGGAGCCCCTGCTGAGAAATGAGCAGGTCATGTACAAACAGGAAGTTTTACAAAGAGTTCTGGTGTTTCATAGAGCCTCCTGCAGCCTGGGCCCTCAGTGAAGGATCCCTATCACGTGGAGTTCCTCCCCCAAACCCATCTTCTCTTTCATCACCATCTGTCACTAAGATGTCTCCTTTTGTGGCCAGTCACTGGTGGCTCATGCCTATAATCCCAGCATTTTGGAAGGCTGTGGTGGGAGGATCGCATGAACTCAGGAGTTTTGAGACCAGCCTAGGCAACACAGTCAGACCAGTCTCCACAAGAAATTGTTAAAAATTAGCCAGGCTGGGGGCATGTGCCTGTCTGTAGTTCCCAGCTACTTGGGAGGATGAGGCAGGAGGAACTCTTGAGCCCAGGAGTTAGAGACTGCAGTGAGCTATGATCATGCCGCCGTACTCCAGCCTGGGCAACAAAGCAAGACCTTGTCTCTGAAAGAATAAAAATTTTCAAAAGATGTCATCTTTTGAATGAGTAGTTACACCGTGGTGGGTAAGTGCTGGCTGGTCTTGTCTCAGCTTCATCACTTCCTAGCTGTGTGATCTTGGGGAAGTTGCTCAGAGTCTCAGGACCTTGCTTTCCCCATCTGGAAAAGGAAGGATATAACACCTGCCTAAGGATAAGGAAGGATATATTATAACACCTGCCCAATGATAAGAATACAACACCTGCCACTGAGAGGACCAAATGAAATAACGCATACCAAAGTGTCCAACACAGTGCTGAGCACTCAGGTGCTTGGTTAAAGTTGGGAGGGCAGGGATGGAGGGCAGACTTCTAAAATTCAGATATCCCTGTGGGAGAAGGGGCTGGAGGCCACACCCAACTTCAGGACAAATTGTTTCAACGAATCTGCTTTCCCCTCTGTCTGTGCTGAGCCTGGCAGCTCTGAGGAATGAGAGTTATCCAGCAATGGGAAGGAAGGAAGCAGGGACGGTGATTGGAGCTGCAGGGAGGGTGGGCCTGGCCAGAGGCCTCCAGGTGGCACTGTGATGACCCTCGCTACCTGGCAGTGCAGAAAGGGGGCATCAGGTGAAAGGAAGATGTGACAAGGGAGGTGCACCCCAAGATGACAGTCTTTCTTTCCAAGTCCTACCCAAAGCCAGACCTGGGGACCCTTGCCTGTGCCAGGCTGGGCTTGGCAGCATCACGGTTTTCAAGCTGTGCCTGGGCAGTAGAGAGCACAAGGCCCTCGAAGTGAGCATGCTTTCCTCCCCTGCTCCCACACCCTGTGCAAACCTTGCCCAGTGCAGACACTGGGGCCTCTACCCAATCCCCATGCAGACCCTCACTGCAGCCAGGGAAGGGGGCGTCTTTGCCCATGCAGACACTTGCTGCAGCCAGGGAAGGGGGCGTCTCTGAGAGCTACCAATGGCTATGGCTGAACAAGCCTAATGGCAGAGGGCAGAGGTGTGGCTCCCTTCCTGTACCCCCCACACCCAAGTACCCTGGTTATAAACAGGTAAACACATGTTCATCTTCGATGCTGTCAGAGTGACTTGAAAATGTTTGTACTTTCTCTTCCTTTCTGACATTCTCTAGTTTCTCTTCTTCCCACTTGAAAAATTGAATTATTCCCTTCTTTCCTTATTATATTTTGTTTTTAGATACAGGGTCTCACTCTGTCACCCAGGCTAAACCTCCTGGGCACAAGTGATCCTCCCACCTCAGCCTCCTGAGTAGCTGGGACTACAGGTGCGTGCCACCACGCCCAGCTAATTTTTTAATTTTTTGTAGAGACAGGGGTCTAACTATGTTGCCCAGGGTGTCTTAAACTCCTGAGCTTAAGTGATCTTCCTGCCTTGGCCTCCCAAAGAGTTGGGATTACAGGCTTGAACCACCACACCCAGCCCTTCCCTCTCTTTAAATGTCCCCTTTCCATCTCCCATCCACTCTCCAGGTCATACAAGTCACCCCAACCTCAGGGCTTCCACTTCCTTCTATCTAAAATGATGAAGTCTGTTGGACCAGAGGGCATTGAGGCATCCTTCTAGTATTAGAACTCAATGGGAAGGAGTCATGGCTGCATCTTGATCCTGTCCTCTGTATAGATGGGAGTACACTGGGCATTCTCATTTGATAGGGGGCACCTCTTCCTGTCTACCCCATCTCCACCTGTATGTGACTAGAAGTGATCTCTGTCTCCTTTATTTTCTACCTTTTTTTCTCTCCTTCACCCAAACCCTAGCCTTGAGCTCATGCTGGTTCTTCCCTCTCCCCAACCCCACTTCCATCTCATCAGCCTTCCTCATCTTCTCAGTTTTCCCTTCATAAAGTTCCCCAACCTTCCAACCTTCCTGTCCCCACGCCTGCCACGTCTCCCTCCACACCTGGAACATCACCGTCATCCCCAGGCTCCTCTGGCCTCTGTACCTGGTGATTTGGTTTGGCTGTGTCCCCACCCAAATCTCACCTTGCATTGTAATAATCCCCATGTGTCAAGAGCAGGGCCAGGTGGAGATAATTGAATCACGGGGGCAGTTTCCCCCATACGGTTCTCGTGGTAGTGAATAAGTCTCACAAGATCTGATGGTTTTATAAGTGGAAGTTCCCCTGCTCAAGCTCTCTCCTGCCAGCCACCATGAAAGATGTGACTCTGCTCTTCATTCGCCTTCAGCCATGATTGTGAGGCCTCTGCAGCCATGTGGTGCGAGTCAATTAAACCTATTTCCTTTATAAGTTACCCAGTCTTGGGTATGTCTTTATTAGCAGCATGAGAACAGACTAATACACCTGGGTTCCTTCCTGGGGGCGGGGGTGCCTGTTCTGCTCCCCAGATTTTCCAAACCCCACTCCCCTGAAAAGTGCAGCTTGGTGCTGTCCACTCCACGCAGCCCTCCCAGCCACTCCCTCAGCAAAAATTCACTGTGCACTTACAGGTCGCCCCACTCCCAATGTAGGCCAATGGTGGGGATTCAGAGATGAAAAAAGGCAGGAACTCAGAGGCTCTTGGAACTGCTAGGGAGAGAGACACAGAAACACATCATGTGATGCAGTGCTTTTGTCTTCACAGCCCGGGGTTACTTTGGGGCCAGGTATACCCCAGGGCACTACCCCTTATCTGTCCCATTCCCACTGCCCCCTCCACTCTCCAGTGATGAGGACCTTGTCCTCCTTTCCCTGGGCACCAGTCCAGGTCCCTCCCTGAAGCAGCCCTTAGTGCCAGCACTGGACAAGGTTACATCTTCGGATACACAACTTCAGATCCGCACGGATATAGGCCAGACTGAAAGGTCATAGATATTTGAATATAAGAGGGGATTGGTAGATCCTTTTGTACAGAAGCAGAGATGGAGAGCTGGAGAGAGGGAATGACTGGTGGAGGATTCCACAGCCCATCAGTGCTGGCACAGGGACCAGAATACTGCATCACTGCCAGGACAGTCTCACCAGCCACCAATGGCCGGCAGTTCAATTCAGTGATTCCCAAATCTGGAATTCTGTGGATCCAGAGAATGCTTTCTTATAGGCATGTGCATGTGTGAGAAAGAGAGAGAGAATGGGGGAATATACGACTGCCAACTTTTTATTTTGCCAAGAGCATTAAAAACAAAGCAACTTATCTACTGTCACTGGTTTGGTTTTTATTCAAATTTTTGTTGTTGTTCTTTTTTGAGACAGGGTCTTGTGTCACCCAGGCTGGAGTGCAGTGGTGCATTCATGCCTCCTGGGCACAAGCGATCCTCCTGCCTCAGCCTCCCGAGTAGCTGGGACTACAGGTGTATGCCATTACACCTGGCTAATTTTTTTTTTGAGATGGGGTCTTGCTATGTTGCCCAGGCAACCCCTGGGCTCAAGTGATCCTCCCACCTTTACCTCCCAAAGTGCTGAAATTACAGGCATGAGGCCCCACGTCTGGCCAAATTATTATTTTTTAAAGGACCCATGGGCCGGGTGCGGTGGCTCACGCCTGTAATCCCAGCACTTTGGGAGGCCGAGGCAGGTGGATCACGAGATCAGGAGATCGAGACCATCCTAGCTAACACGGTGAAACCCCGTCTCTACTAAAAATACAAAAAAAAAAAAAAAAAAAAAAATTAGCCAGGCGTGGTGGGGGCGCCTGTAGTCCCAGCTACTCAGGAGGCTGAGGCAGGAGAATGGCGTGAACCCGGGAGGCGGAGCTTGCAGTGAGGCGAGATCGTGCCACTGCACTCCAGCCTGGGCGACACAGCCACAGCGAGACTCCGTCTCAAAAAACAGAAAGGACCCATAACACCAGGAGGTAAGAAAAGCTGTGTACCCCGTGGTGGTGCCTGGACCAGCGTCTGAGGACCACTGGCTTGGCAGGAGGTTCCTGGACCCTAGGCCCCCTTCAGCGCCTGAGCTGCAGCCCCGCACCTCCCAGGCCCTGGCACTTAACAGGAAAGTCGGCAGCTGCTCTGGGGATGAAGGAAGTGGGCGACCTGAAGGGCATCCTGGTTTGGAATGGGAAAGAGACCTTCCCTTCCCACTGTTTCCTCCGGTCATTTGTGGCAACTTGGACTGCACATTGACCCAGGGTAGGGTCAGAGGTTCCTTCCCGTTGACAACCGTCCTCGGCCCTTTCCCCTGAATGCCAGGACTCCGCCCTTCTGTGGCCCCAAAGCCATAGGGATATTTTCAAGACCCCAAGCTGGGCCCTAACCAGGCCATCCGCCCCCAGCCCCTGCCCCGGGCGTCCCACAGCCAGTTAGGCGATGTTCGGCCTTGGGTGGGTAGGGGGACTTCCCCACATCCTCTCCCAACCTGTGGGGCCACCTTGCTCTCCCCCATACTGGTCTCCCCTCTACCCTTCCCTCCACCTGCGGCACCGTCGTAGGCGGTTTCGCGTCCCAGAGCTGGGCTGCCCTCCAGGCGGGTCACGGTGGGACCCTCGCCCTCCACTCCAGGCTCCACCGCGCTCCTGGAGCTTCCGTTGGCCCCAGAGGCCCCGGCGGGGGGTTGCCCCGACCCGGGGGAGGAGCCCACTGAGCCTGGGCCTCTGAGCGGAGCTCCAGCTCCAGCTCTGCGGAGGAGACGCGGGCTCACCTCCCTACCTGCCGCCCCGGCCACCGCAAACCTGGCGGGTGGAGGGTGGGGAAACCAGGCCCTGGCGTCTGCCCACAGTACCGGCTTCGCTCACGGGTGTGTGGGGGCGGAGGAACAGAGAGCGGGAGGGATCTGAATTCAAATCCTAGCTCTGCCATTACCAGCGTGGGGACTTTGAATAAATTTCCTGTGTCTCCTTCCTGGGTCCTGGGCTTCTAATCTGTAAAATGGGAATAATAATAGTATTAATAATATGGTGTTAATAGTATTAACACTATTATATTAATGATATACTATTAACACTATTATATTAGTAATATAGTGTTGAGTGTTAACACTTATATTAATAATATAGCGTTAATAGCATTAACACTATTGTATTAATAATATAGGGTTACTATTAACACTGCTATATTAATAATACATGATTAACACTATTAATCATATAATAGTGTTAACACTATAATATTAACAATATAATATAGTGTTAACACTATTATAGTGTTAACACATATTATATTAATAACACTATTATATTAATAATAATTGTTAATAATATAGTGTTAACAGTATTATAATTATATTAATAATTAATAACACTCGTATATTAATATTATAATTAATAATAATAAAGTGTTAATAGTATTAACACTATTATATTAATGATAATAGTGTTAACACTATTAATAATGTAATAGTATCTACACTATAATAATAATATAGTGTTTCATAATATAGTGTTAGGCCGGGCGCGGTGGCTCACGCCTGTAATCCCAGTCCTTTGGGAGGCCAAGGCAGGCGGATCACGAGGTCAGAAGATCGAGACCATCCTGTCTAACACGGTGAAACCCCGTCTCTACTAAAAAATACAAAAAATTAGCCGGGCGTGGTGGGGGCGCCTGTAGTCCCAGTTACTCGGGAGACTGAGGCAGGAGAATGGTGTGAACCTGGGAGGCGGAGCTTGCAGTGAGCAGAGATGGCACCACTGCACTCCAGCCTGGGCGACAGAGCAAGACTCTGTCTCAAATAATAATAATAATATAGTGTTAACACTATTATATTAATAATATAGTGCTAACACCATTATATTAATAATATAGTGTTAATAGTATTAACATTATTATATTAATAATATAGTGTTAACACATATTAGTAATGTAGTGTTAACACTATCATATTAAAAATATAGTGTTAGTAGTATTAACTCTCATATTAATAACAGTGTTAACACTATTATATTACTAATATAGTGTCAATAGTATTAACATTATTATATTAATAGTAGCACACTGTGATATTACTAATATCTGTAATGTTAATGATATTCAGTGTTAGCACACTGTGGTATTACTAACATCTATGATATTCATAGTATTCAGTGTTAGCACACTGTGATATTACTAATATTTGTGACATTAATAATATCCAGCGTTAGCACACTGTTAACACACTGTGATATTACTAATATCTATATTATCTATCATATTAGTGATATCCAGTGTTAGCACACTGTATTAACACACTGTGATATTACTAATATCTGTGATATTAATAATATCCAGTGTTAGCACACTGTGCTATTACCAATATTTGTGACATTAATAATTTCCAATGTTGGCACACTGCAATGTTAATAATATCTATGATACTAAAAATATCCAGTGTTAGCACCCTGTGTTGTGTTAATAATGTCTATGATATTAATAATATCAAGTGTTAGCACCCTGTGATGTGTTAATAATAATATGATATTAATAAAATCTAGTATTAGCACCCTGTGACTTGCTAATAATAATATCCAGTGTTTGCACCCTGTGTTGTGTTAATATCAATGATATTAATAATATCCAGTGTTAGCACACCGTGATAATAATATCCAGTGTTAACACAGTGTTAGCACATTGTGATATTAATAATTTATATGATATTCATAATATCCAGTGTTAGCACACTGTGTTAGCAAAATGTGATATTAATATCTATGATCTTCATAGTGTCCAGTGTTAGCACACTGTGATATTAATATTATCTATGATATTCATAATATCCAGTGTTTGTTAGCACACTGTGTTATCATACCATATTATTCATAATATCCATGATATTAATGCTGATATCCAGTGTTAACACACTATGTTAACACACTGTGATACTATTCATAGTATCTGTGATATTATTACTAACACACATTAGATATTAATACTAATATCCAGTGTTAACACACTGTTATATTACTCAGAATATTCATGATATTACTACTAATGTCCAGTGTTAACACACTGTGATATTTTTCATGATATCACTAATATCCAGTGTTGACACACTGTGTTAACACACTGTGATATTATTCCTAATATCCACAATATTACTACTGATATCCACTGTTGTTAACACACGGTGATATTATTCATAATATCCAGTGTATTACTATTGATATCCAGGGTGTTAATACAATTAATATCCATGATATTATGAATAATATCACCCTGTGATATCCAGGATGATATCCTGATACTGATCCACTACTGATACCCAAGATGTTAACACATTGTGTTAACACCCTGTGATATTATTCATAATGTCTATGATGTTACTACTGATATCCAGGGTGTGAACACACTGTGTTAGCACCCTGTGATATTATTCATAATATCCATGATATTACTACTGACATCCAGGGTGATAATGCAGTGTTAACACACTGTGTTATGTTTGTAACATCATCGATATCACTACTGACATCCAGTGTTTCACACTGTGATATTAATGAAATATCGCTGTTACATTTATAATATACAGTGTTTCCACACTGTGCTATGTATGAAATATAGTATCCAGTGTTTCCACACTGTGCTATGAATGAAATATTATACTATCCAGTGTTTTCATACCGTGCTATGAATGAAATATTATAATATCCGGTGTTTCCAAACTGTGCAATGAATGAAATATTATACTATGCAGTGTTTCCAAACTGTGCTATGAATGAAATAATATTCAGTGTTTCCACACTGTGCTATGAATCAAATATTATAATATCCAGTGTTTCCACACTATGCTACGAATGAAGTATTATAATATTCAGTGTTTCCACACAGGGATATGAATGAAATATTATATTACGCAGTGTTTCCGCACTGTGCTATGAATGAAATATTAAAATATCCAGTGTTTCCAAACAGGGATATGAATGAAGTATTAAAATATCCAGTGTTTCCACATAGGGATATGAATGAAATACTAAAATATCCAGTGTTTCCACAAAGGGATATAAATGAAATATCGCTGTGATATTTATAATATCCACTGTTCCCACACAGGAATAAAGTTGAAATCCTGCTGTGATATTTATAATATCCAGCGTTTCCACACAGAGATATAAATGAGATATAGCTGTGATATATATAATATCCAGTGTTTCCACATAGGGCTATAAATGAAATATCGATGATATTTATAATATCCACTGTTTATACATAGAGATACAAATGAAATGTCCCTGTGATATGTATAATATCCAGTGTTTCCGCACTGTGATATGAATAAAATATCACTGTAAGATGTATAATATCCAGTGTTTACACACTGTGATATTAATGAAATATCGGTTCTGATATTTCTCAGTTTACACACTGTGATATTAATGAAATACCCCTTCTGATATTTTTCATATCATGGTGTTTACACAGAGTATTTACACACTGTGATATTAATGAAATATCGCTTCTAATATTTTTCATATCACTGTGTTTACACAGTGTTTACACACTGTTATTAATGAAATATCGCTATTTATCATATCATAGTGTTTACACAGTGTTTACACACTTTGATATTAATGATATATCGCTTCTGATATCATATCACAGTGTTTACACAGACCATTCACACACAGTGATATTCATGAAATATCGCTGCTGATATATCACAGTGTTTACACAGTGTGATATAAATGAAATATCACTTCTGATATTTTTTATATCACGGCATTTACACAGAGTGTTTACACACTGTGATATTAACGGTATATCGCTTCTGATATTTATCATATTACAGAGTTTACACACCGTGATATTAATGAAATACCGCTTCTGAAATTTATCATATCGCAGTGTTTACACACTGTGATATTAATGAAATAACGCTTCTGATATTTATCGTATCAAAGTGTTTACACAGAGTGTTTACACAGTGTGATATTAATGAAATATCGCTTCTGATATTTATCAAATCACAGTGTTTACACAGAGCGTTTACAGACTGTGATATTAATGAAATAACACTTCTAATATTTATCATATCAAAGTGTTTTCACAGGGTGATATTAATGAAATATCTCTTCTCATATTTATCAAATCACAGTGTTTACATACTGTGATATTAATGAAATATCGCTTCAGATATTTACCATATCACAATATTTGCACACTGTGATATTAATGAAATATCCCTTCTGATATTTATCATATCACAGTGTTTACACACAGTAGTATTGATGAAATATCACTTCTGATAATTATCATATCACAGTGCTCACACAGAGCTTTCACACACTGTGATATTGATGAAATATCGCTTCTCATATTCATCATATCACAGTGTTGACAGAGGGGGTATACACACTGTGATATGGATGAAATATCGCTTTTGATATTTATCATATCACAGTGATTACAGGGGGTTTACACATTATGATATTGATGAAATATCGCTTCTGATGTTTGTCCTATCATGGTGTTTACAGAGGGTTTACACATATGATATTGATGAAGTATCGCTTCTGATATTTGTCACATCACAGTGTTTACACAGAGTGTTTACACACTGTGATATTGATGAAATATCATCTCTGATATATGTCATACCAAAGTGTTTACACAGGTTTACATACTGTCATATTGATGAAATGTCGCTTCTGATATTTATCATGTAACAGTATTTACACAGAGTGTTTACAGTGGGTGTATATACTGTGATGATATTATTCATAATATCTAAAAGACATTACTCCTAATATCACAGTGGGTGTACACCATGTGATGATATTATTCACAATATCTAAAAGATATTACTCCTAATATCACCATGGGTGTACACCCTGTGATACTGTTGACAATATCCAAAAGATATTCCTCCTAATAAAACCGTGGATGTACACCCTGTGATATTATTCACAAAATCTAAAAGATATTACTCCTAATATCACCGTGGGCGTACACCCTGTGATATTATTCATAATATCTAAAAGATATTACTCCTAATATCACCATGGATGTACACCCTATGGTGTTATTTATAATATCTAAAAGATACTACTCCTAATATCACCATGGGTGTACACCCTATGGTGTTATTTATAATATCTAAAAGATATTACTTCTAATATCAACGTGGATGTACACCCTGTGATACTATTGAAGATATCTAAAAGATATTCCTCCTAATAAAAACGTGGATGTACACTCTGTGATATTATTCACAATATCTAAAAGATATTACTCCTAATATCACCGTGGGTGTACACCCTGTGATATTATTTACAATATCTAAAAGACATTACTCCTAATATCACCGTGAGTGTACACCCTGTGATACTATTGACAATATCTAAAAGGTATTCCTCCTAACAAAACCATGGATATACACCCTGTGGTATTAGTCACAATATCTAAAAGATATTACTCCTAATACTACCGGGGGTGTAGACATTGTGTGTACAAAATGTGACATTACTCATAATATCTAAAAGATATTGCTTCTAATATCACCGTGGGTGTACACTATGTGTGCACACCTTGTGACATTATAACATCTAAAATGTATTACTCCTGATATTACCGTGGGTGTACACCCTGTGTTATTATTCATAATATCTAAAGATATTACTCCTAATATCACCGTGGGTGTACACCCTGTGATATTATTCATAATATCTAAAATATATTACTCCTAATATCACCATGAAAGTACATCCTGTGTGTACACCCTGTGATATTATTCATAATATGTAAAAGATAATACTCCTAATATCATTGTGGGTGTATACCCTATGATGATATTATTCATAATATCTCAAAGACATTACTCCTAATATCACAGTGTGTGTACACCCTGTGATGACGTTATTCATAATATCTGAAAGATATTACTCCTAATAACACTGTGGATGTACACCCTGTGTTTACACCCTGTGATATTATTCATAATATCTAAAATATATTACTCCTAATATCACCGAGGGTGTACACCCTGTAATCTAATTCACAATATCTAAGAGATGTTACTCATAATATCACCGTGGATGTGCACCATGTGGGTACACCATGTGATATTATTCATTATATCTAAAAGATATTCCTGCTAATATTACCCTTGGTGTGCAACCTGTGATATTATTCATAATACCTAAAAGATATTACTCCTAATATAAGCGCTGGTGTACACACTGTGATATTATTCATACTATCTGAAAGATATTACTACTAATGTGACCATGGGTGTTCACTTAGTGGTGTTATTTATAATATCTAAAAGATATTACTCCTAAAATCATCGTGGGTGTCTACTCTGTGATGTTATTCACAATACATAAAAGATATTGTAATATCACCATAGGTGTAGGCGTTGTGTGTACACCCTGTGATATTATTCATAATATCTAAAAGAAATTACTACTAATATCACCATGGGTGTCCACCCT
Source organism: Homo sapiens (assembly GCF_000001405.40). Classification (NCBI taxonomy): domain Eukaryota; kingdom Metazoa; phylum Chordata; class Mammalia; order Primates; family Hominidae; genus Homo; species Homo sapiens. The sequence continues at coordinate 99,591,455 of NC_000007.14, read as the reverse complement.
GTGATATTATTTATAATACGTAAAAGATATTACTTATAATATCACAGTGGGTGAAGACGCTGTGTGTACACCCTGTGATATTATTCATAATATCTGGAAGATGTTACTCCTAATATCACCGTGGGCATACACCCTGTGATGTTATTCATAATAAAAGATATTACTCCTAATATCACAGTGGGTCAACACCTGGTGATATTATTTGTAATATCTAAGGGAGACATTACTCCTAATATCACACTGGTTGTACAACCTGGGTGTACACCCAGTGATATTATTCATAATACCTAAGAAAGATATATTTGTAATATCTAAAAAAGATATTACTCCATATATCAAAGTGAGTGTACATCCTGTGATATTATTTATAAGATCTAAAGAAGACAGTACACCTAATATCTCAGGGGGTATATACCCTGTGTGTAAACCCAGTGATATTACTTGTAATATCTAAGGGAGATATTACTCCTAATATCACAGTAGATGTACTCCCTTTGTGTACAACCTGTGATATTATTTGTAATATCTAACGGAGCTATTACTCATAATATCACAGTTATTCTTTGTAATATCTAAGGAATATATTACCTCTAATATCACAGTGGCTGTATATCCTGTGTGTAAACCCAGTGATATTATTCGTAATATCTAAGGGAGACCTTACTCGTAATATCACAGTGGGTGTACACTGTGTGTAAACCCTGTAATATTATTTGTGAAATCTAAGGAAGATATTACTCCTAATATCACAGTGGGTGTACATCCTGTTATATTATTCATAATATCTAAAGGAGATATTACCTTTAATATCACAGTGGGTGTACAGGCTGTGATATTACTCATAATACCTAAGGGAGATATTTCTCCTAATATCACAGTGGATGTACACCCTGTGATATTATTCGTAATATGTAAGGGAGATATTACACCTCATATCACAGTGGGTGTACACCCTGTGATATTATTCATAAAATCTAAAGGAGATGTTACTCATAATATCACAGTGGGTGTACACCTTGTGATATTATTCATAATATCTAAAAGAGATATTACTTCTAATATCACGGTGGGTGTACACCTTGTGATATTATTTGTAATATCCTAGGGAACTAGTTCTATTAATATCACAGTGGATGTACACTCTGTGATATTATTCAATTATTTGTAATATCTAAGAGAGATATTACTCTTAATATCGCAGTGGGGGTACACCCTCTGTGATATTATTCATAATATCCAAAGGAGGAGATAATATTACCTTTAATAATGCAGTGGGTGTACACCCTCTGTGATATTATTCATAATATAAAAGAAAAAAGATGATATTACTACCAATATCACAATGGGTGAACATCCTCTGTAATATTATTTGTAATATCGGAGGGAGGAGATGATATTACCTCTAAAATCTCAGTAGATGTACAGCTCTCTGATATTATTTGTAATATCCAAGGGAGGAGATATTACTCCTAATGTAACAGTGGGTGTACACCCTTTGTGATATTATTCATAATATTAAAGGGAGGAGATATTACCTGTAATATAGCAGTGGGTGTACACCTTCTGTGATATTATTCATAATATCCAAAAGAGGAGATGATATTACCTGTAATATCACAGTGGGTGTACACTCTCCAAATATTATTCATAATCTCCCATGGAGGAGATGATATTACTCCTAATATCACTGGAAGTGTAAACCCTCTGTGATACTATTAGTAATATTTAAGGGGAGAGATATTACTCCTAATATTGTAAACATCCTGTGTGTACACCCTCTGTGATATTATTCGTAATATCCAAGGGGAGAGATGACATTACTTGTAATATTGTAAACACCCTGTGTATACATCCCCTGTGATAATATTTGTAATATCCAAGGGAGGAGGTGATATTACTCCTCATATCACAGGGGCTGTACACCCTCTGTGATTATATTCGTAATATCCAAGGGGAGAGATATTACTTGCAATATTTAAACAGTCTGTGTGTACACCCTCTGTGATTATATTCGTAATATCCAAGGGGAAAGGTAATATTACTCCTCACATCACAGGGGCTGTACAGCCTCTGTGATCATATACTTAATATCCGACTGGGGATTACTCCTCACATCAAAGGGGCTCTACACCCTCTGTGATAATATTCATAATATACAAGGGGGGAGGTGATATTGCTGCTCACATCGCAGGGGCTGTACACACTCTGTTATAATATTAGTAATATCCAAAAGGGGAGGTGATATTACTCCTCACTATGCAGGGATTGTACACCCTCTGCAATAATATTTGTAATATCAAAGGGCGGAAGTCATATTACTGCTCACAATGCAGGCTCTGTACACCTTCTGTGACATTAGGAGTAATGTCCAAGGGAGAGGTGATATCACTCCTTACATCACAGGGGGTGTACACCCTCTGTGATAGTATTTATAATATCAAAAGGGGAAGGTGACATTACTCCTTACATCGCAGGGGGTGTACAACCTATGTGATATTATTCGTAATATCCAAAGGAGGTGATATTACTCCTCACATAGCAGAAGCTGTTCACCCTCTGTGATATTATTCATAATATCCAAGGGGGGAGGTGATATTACTTTTCACATCGCAGGGGGTGTGCATCCCCTGCTATATTATTCATAATATCCAAGGAAGGATGTGATATTACTCCTCACATTGCAGGTGCTGTACACTCTCTCTGATAGTATTCATAATATCCAAAAGGGGAGGTAATATTCTTCCTAATATCCAGGGAGGGAGAAGATATTACTCCCAATATCACAGGATGTGTACAACCCCCCTGTGATATTGTTTTTAATATCAAGAGGGGACAGGATGATATTACTCACAATATCGCAGGGAGTATACAACCCCCATGTGATATTGTTCCTAATATCCACAGGAGGAGAGAATGACATTACTTCCAACAACTCACAGTGTGTACACCCCACTGTGATATTGTTCCTTATATTCAAATTTGGAGAGGATGATATTACTCCAAATATCACAGGGGGATGTACACCCCCGCTGTGATATTTTTCCTAGTATCTAGGGGGGCAGAGGATGATATTACTCCCAATATTGCAGGAGGTATACACCCCCACTGTGATATTCTTCCTAATATCCAGACGGGGAGATGATGATATTGCTTCCAATATCACAGGGGTTGTACACCGCCCTGTGATATTGTTCCTAATATCCAGTGAAATAGAGGCTGATATTAGGGGAAAGAGTATGACATTACTGCCAATATTGCAGGGACTGTACACCCCGCCTGCGATATTGTTCCTAATAGCCAGTGGGAGAGAGGATGATATTACTCTCAATATTGCACCCCACTGTCATATTGTTACTAATATCCAGTGGAAGAGAGGATGATATTACTCTTAATATTGCAGGGGATGTACACCCCTCTGTGATATTGTTCCTAACATCCAGGGGGAGAGGATAATATTATTCCCAATATCATAGGTGGTGTACACCCCCTCCCCATGATTTTGTTTCTAATATCGAGAGGGGCAGAAGATGATATTACTCCCAATATCGCAGGGGATGTACATCCCCCCTGTGATATTGTTCCTAATATCCAGGGGGGGTGGAGGATATTATTACTCCCATTATTGCAGGGGGTGTATTCCCTCCTTGTGATATTGCTCCTAATGTAATGGAGAGGAGACGACAATATTACTCCCAATATCGCATGGGGTATACTCCCCATGCTGTGATATTGTTCCTAATATCCAGGAACAGAGAAGATGATATTACTCCAAATATGGCAGGGGGTGTACACCCCCCTGTGATATTGTTCTTCATATCCAGGGGAGGAGAGAATATTACTCCTAATACCGCAGGAAATGTACAACACCCCCCCCCATGATATTGCTCCTAATATCGTGGGTGGAGAGGAGGATATTACTCCCTGTAAAGCAAGAGGTGTACATCCCCCTTGTGATATTGTTAACAATATTCAGGGGGAGACGATATAATGTCAATATCTCAGGGGGTGTACACCCCTCGTGTGATATTGTTCCTAATATCCAGTGGAACAGAGGATGATATTAATCCCAATATCGAAGGGGGTGTACATCCTCCCTGTGATATTGTTCCTTATATGTAGGGGGGGAGAGGATGATATTACTCCCAATATCGCAGGGGGTGTACACCCCCCGTGTGATACTGCTCCTAATATCCAAGAGAGGGAGTATGACATTATCCTCAATATTGCAAGGGGTTTACACCCCCTTTGTGATATTGTTCCTAATATATGCAGGGGGAGATAATAATATTACTCCGAATATCATAAGGGATGTACACACCCCCTGTGATATTATTCCTAATATTCATGAGGGGAGAAGATATTACTACCAATATCGCAGGTTGGGGGAATAACCCTTTGTGATATTGTTTCTAATATCCACGGAGGAAGAGGATGATATTAATCCCAATACCACAGGGAGTGTACACCCCCCTGTGATGTTGTTCTTAATATCCAGAAGTGGAGAGGATGATACTACTTTCAATGTCGCAGGGGGTGTACACAACCCTGTAATATAGTTCCTAATATCCGGGAGGGGAGAGGATGATATTACTCCCAATATCACAGTCGGTGTACAACCCCCTGTGATATTGTTTCTAATATCCAGGGTGGGGAGAGGATGATATTACACCCAATATCGAAGGGGGTGTAAACCTCCTCTGTGATATTGTTTCTAACATACAGCTGGAGAGAGAATAATATTACTCCAAATATCACAGGGGGTGTACGTCCTCCCTGTGATATTGATCATAATATCCAGGTGGGAAGAGGATGATAGTACCCCCAATATCGCAGGGGGTGTACACCCCCGGTTTGATATTGTTCCTAATATCCAAGGGGGTAGAAGATATTACTGTCAATATCGCAGGGGGTGTACACCCTGCTGTGACATTGTTTTTAATATCCAGAAGGGGAGACAATATTACGCCCAATAGCATAGGGGGTGTACACCCCCGTGAGATATTGTTCCTAATATCAAGGGGGGGAGAGGATGATATTACTCCCAATATCAGAGAAGGTGTACACCCACCCTGTAATATAGTTCCTAATATCCATGGGGAAAGTGGATGATGTTACTTCCAATGTCGCAGGGGTTGTACACCACCCCTGTGATATTGTTTCTAATATCCAGAGGGAGAGAGGATGATATTATTTTCAATATCGCAGGGGATGTATACCCTCCTTGTAATAGTCTTCCTAATATCCAAAGTGGGTGATGACAATATTACTCCAAATAGGGCAGGGGGTGTATACCCCCCGGTGATATTTTTCCTAATATCCAGAAAAGAATAGGAAGATATTATTTCCAATATCACAGGGTGTGTACATCCCCCTGCGATATTGTTTCTAATATCCACAGGGGAGAGGATGATATCACTATATCGCAGGGGGTGTACATTCCCCTTTTTATATTAATATATCCAAAAGGGGAGATGATTATATTACTGTCAATATCATAGCAGGTGTACACCACCCGTGTGATATTTTTCCTAATATCCAGTGGAAGAGAGAATATTAATCCCAATATCAAAGGAGGTGTAAACCCCTTCTGTGATATTGTTCCTAATATCCAAGGGAAGAGAGGATAATATTACTTTCAATATCTCAGGGGGTGTACCCCCCCTCTGTAATATTGTTCCTATTATCCAGTGGGGGAGAGGTTGATATTACTGGGGGAGTACACACACCCTGTGGTATTTTTCCTAATATCCAGGGGGAAGAGGATTATATTACTCCCAATATCGCAGGGAGTGTATACCCCCTTTGTGATATTGTTCCTAATATTTAGTGGGGATAGGATGATATTACTCCCAATATGGCAAAGCGTGTACACACCCCCTGTGATATTGCTTCTAATATCAAAGGAGAAGAAAATTGTATTATTCCCAATATCGCAGGAGGTGTACACACCCCTTGTGGTACTGTTCCTAATATCCAATGGGGAAGACAATAATATTACTGTCAATATCACAGGTGGAGTATACCTTCCCTGTGATATTGTTCCTAATGTCCAGAGGGAAAGAGAATGATATGACTTCCAATATCGAAAAGACGGTACACTCCCCCGTGATATTGTTCCTACTATCCAGTAGGGAAGAGGATGATATCACTCCCAATATCGCAGGGGGTGTGAACCCTCCTTGTGATATTGTTCCTAATATCCAGGGCGGGAGATGACAATATTAATCTCAATATAGCAAGGTTGTACACCCCAGTGTGATATTTTTTTCAATATCCAGGAGAAAAGAGGATGATATTACTCTTAATATCTCAGGGGTTGTACACCTCCCTGTGATACTGTTCTTAGCATCCAGTGGGAAAGAGGATGATATTATTCCCAATACCGCAGGGAGTGTTCACCCCCCTGTGATATTGTTCGTAATATCCAGGAAAGAGAGGATGATATTACTTCCCATATCACAGAAGGTGTACACCCCACTTGTGATATTGTTAATAATTTGCAGGTGGGGAGACAATTATATTACTGTCAATATCACAGGGTGTACATTCCCCATGTGATATTACCTCTAATATCCAGTGGAAGAGAGAATGATATTAATCCCAATATCAAAGAAAGTGTACACACACTCTGTGATTTTGTTCATAATATCCAGAGAAGGAGAGGATGACATTACTCCCAATATCGCAGGGGGTGTCCACCCCCTTTGTAGGTGTTCTTCCTTCCTAATACCCAGGAGTGAAGAGTATAACATTATTCTCAATATCGCAGGGGGTGTACACCCCCAGTGTGATATTCTTCCTAATATACAAGGGTGGAGAGGATAACACTACTCCCAATATCGTAGAAGTTGTACACCCCCACTGTGATATTGTTCCTAATACTCAGGTTAGGAGAGGATATTACTCCCAATATCTCAAGGAATGTACACCTTGCCTGTGATATTGTTCTTAATATCCACTGGGAAAGATGATGCTATTACTCCCAATGTCGCAGAAGGTGTACAACACCCCTGTGATATTGTTTCTAATATGTAGGGGGGGAGGAAATGATATTGCTCCCAATAGTGTGAGAAGTGTACACCCCCCATGTGATATTGTTCCTAGTATCCAGAGGGGGAGAGGATGATATTACTCCCAATATCGCAGGGGGTGTACAACCCCCAGTGAGATTGTTCCTAATATCCAGGAAGTAGAGGATATTACCACCAATATCGCAGTTGGTGTACACCCCCTCTGTAACATTGTTCCTAATTTCCAGTGGGGGAGAAAATATTACTCAATATCGAGGGGGTGTACACCCTCCCTGTGATATTGTTCCTAATATCCAGAGAGAGAGAGGATGATATTACTCCCAATATCACAGAGCGTGTACACCCCCCCACCGTGATATTGTTCCTAATATCTGGGAGCGGGGGAAATGATGATATACTGCCAATATTGCAGGGGTGTACACCACCCCTGTGATATTGTTTATAATATCCAGGGGGGAGAGGATGATATTGCTCCCAATATCGCAGAGGGTGTACACACACCCCTGTGATAGTCTTCCTAATATCCAGAAGAGGACAGGATGATATTACTTTCAAAATCGCAGGGGTTGTACACATCCCTGTGGTACTGTTTTTAATATCAAGGGAAGGAGAGGATGATATTACCCCAATATTGAAGGGGGTGTACACCCTCCATTGATATTGTTCCTGATCTCCAGGGGAAAAGAGGATATTACTTTCAATATTGAAGGGGGTGTACACCCCCGTGATATTGTTCCTAATATCCAGGGAGGAGAGGAAAATATTACTCCCAATATCGCAGGGGGTGTATACCTCCCCTGTGATACAGTTCCTAATATCCAGGTTGGGAGAGGATGATATTTCTTCCAATATCGCAGAAGGTGTACACCTCCCCTGTGATATTGTTTCTAATATCCAGGGAGGGAAAAGATGATATTACTCCCAATATCGCAGGGCATGTACATCCCCCTTCGATGTTATTCCTAATATCCTGGGTAGGAGAGGATGTTATTATTCCCAATATCCCAAAGGGTGTACACTCCCACTGTGATATTGTTTGTCATATCCACAGGTGGAGAGAATGACATTATTCCCAATATCGCAGAGGGTGTACACCCTCACTATGATATTGCTTTTAATATCCAGAAGGGGAGAGGATATTACTCCCAATATCGGAGGGGGTGACCACCCACTCTCTGATATTATTTCTAATACCCAGAAAGGGAGAGGATGATATTACTCCCAATATCACAGGGAGGTTATATTTCCCTTGTGATATTGTTTTTAATATCCAAGGGGGGAGGCGATGATAATACTGTCAAAATCGCAGGGGGTGTACCCCCCACCCCGTGATATTGTTCCTTATATGCAGGGGGGAAAGAGGATGATATTACTCGCAATATTGCAGGAGGTGTACACCCCACCCCATGATATTGTTTCTAATATTTAGGTGGGGAGAGGATTATATTACTCTCAATATCACAAGGGGTATACACCCTCCCCCATGATATTGTTCCAAATATCCAGATGGGGAAAGGATGATATTACTCCCAATATCGCAGAAGGTGTACACCACCCCTGTGATATTGTCCCTAATAATTATGGTAGGAGAGGATGATGTTACTCCCAATATCGGAGAGGGTGTACAACCCCCATGTGATTTTGTTCCTAATATCCAGGAGAAGAGAGGACAATATTACTTCCATTATCACAGGGGTTGTACGCCCCCACTGTGATATTGTTCTTAATATCCAGGAAAAAAGGGGATGATATTACTCCCAATATCACAGGGGGTGTACACCTGCACTGTGATATTATAACTAATGTCCAGGGTAGGAGAGGATGATATTACTTCCAATATCGCAGGGGGTGTACACCCCCCCGTGATACTGTTCCTAATATTAAGGATGGGAGAAGATGATACTATGCCCAATATCGCAGAGAATGTACACCTCGCCCCCCGTGATATTGTTTCTAATATCCAGGGGGAAGAGGATGATATTATTCCCAATATTGCAGGGGGTATAAACCCCACTTGAGACATTTCCTAATATCCAGGGGGAGAAAGGATGACATTACTCCCAATAGCGCAGGGGGTGTACACCCCTACTTTGACATTGTGGTTAATATCAGGGAAAGAGAGGATGATGTTAACCCCAATATCGCAGGGAGTGTACACCCACCCTGTGATATTGTTTTTAATATTGGGGGGGGAGACAATATTACTCCCAGTTTTGCAAAAGGTGTACACACATCCAGGGTGGTAGAGGATGATATTACTTCCAATATTGCAGGGTATCCTCCTTCTGATATTGCTCCTAATATCCAGAAAGGGAGACGACAATATTATTCGCAATATCGCAGAGGGAGTACACTCCCCTATCATATCGGTGTACTTTTTTTTTGTGGGGCAGAGGGGCGGGAAATGGAGTCTAACTGTGTCGCCCAGGCTGGAATGCTGTGGCACAATTTCAGCTCACTGCAACCTCCACCTCCCAGGTTCAAGCAACTGTCCCACCTCAGCCTCTCCGAGTAGCTGGGACCACATGCACACACCATCAGACCCGGCTAATTTGTTTTTCATTTTTAGTAGAGACAGGGTTTCACCATATTGGCCAGGCTGGTCTCAAACTCCTGACCTCAAGTGATCTGCATGCCTCAACCTCCCAAAGTGCTGGGATCACAGCCGTGAGCCACCGTGACTGGCCCCAACTTCATTTTCTTTAAATGGCCATACACCTGATAATGGTGGGACAGCAGACTGAAATCAAAATGTTATAAATCTTTTAACTTCCATTTCTCTTAACAGGTGGCTGACCTGTCCATTGTATCCACTCTCAGAGTTTATGCCTTGGGTAGAAAAATGCCACTTTCCTAACGATGAAGGAGAGTGTGAGTAGGACAAGAGTCCACTCTTCTTGTACTTGGCTCATGGGACATACTTGGCTGGGTTCGTGCATTTATTCATTCACACATTTACCTAGCTTCTCCAAATGCCAAGCAAGTTAACAGGTGCTGGTATAACAGATCCTCACAATAGAGCTAGACAGCACTGCTGCAGATTTGTTCCACACAGCGAGAGAGGAAACAGGCTTTACTGACATGGGCTACAGCTTGAGGTTACAAAGAAGAAAAAAACAAAATGTCATGGCCAGACACAGTGGCTCACACCTGTAATCCTAGCATCTTGGTAGGCCAAGGGGAGAGGATAGCTTAATATCAGGAGTTCAAGACCAGCCCAGGCAACATAGTGAGACCCTGTCTCTAAAAATAAATAAATAAATAAATAAATAAATAAATAAATAAATAAATAAATAAAGCCGGGCGTGGTTGTGTGGGCCTGTAGTCCCAGCTACTTGGGAGGCTGAGGTGAGAGGATCACCTGAGCCCATGAGGTCGAGGCTGCAGTGAGTTATGATCATGCCATTGCACTCCAGCCTGAGCAACAGAGTGAGACCCTGTCTCAAAAAAAAAAGGTGGGGGGTGGAGAAAGGGAAGGAAGAGAGGGAAGGAGGGAGGGAGGGAGGACAGAAGGAAAGAAGGAAGGAAGGAAGGAAGGGAAAAAAAAAGTCACTAGTCTTGCACCACAACGCTTCTAAGTGTAAGGCTAATCTTGTCCATCTGATCTGAGAGCATGGTCAGAGGGACAAATAAACTCTAAATTTTGTCTAAGCCACAAAGATCAGCCGGCTAGATTAGCTCCTCCCCCTTGCTCTTCCGAGGCCCCTGCCCTGGGGCGGACAAATGGAGTCTGGGGACCTCTCCGTGGGCTGGATCCAATCTCCGATGCTGCTGCAGCGCCAAAATCTCGACACATTCACAACACGATGCTAGAGACGGGCAGTCACTTCAGGAAAGGGAGAGAGAGGGCAGGTACAAGGGCAATGGTAGGCGGAGCTTTCCCAAGAAGGGTGCCCAACCGAGAAGGCGTTAGAAGCTGCGTTCTTTCTCCAGGAGGGGATGGACGAAAGCAAAGACCCCTGACCGTGACTGCAGGAACTCTGCCAGGCCCTTAGAAACCGGCGGCGGGCCCCGCCCCTGCGATCAGAAGCCCCGCAAGCTGGGCCCCGCCGCCAACTGCGTTTCCAGCCGCTACGGGGCCGACCCCTCCTCCGTTCTCCGCACTGGGGCGCACAGCTAGCCCACCCACCCTAGGGGGCGCATGGAAACCGCGTGGTCCGCTGCGCGCACTTCGGAGTCTCTGGGCGGCTCGGAGGCCTCATTTCGATCGCGGTCCCTCCAGGAGCCGCCCCGGTCCAGAGAAGGATAGGATGTGGACTCCCCAAGGGAGGACTGCAGGAAGATGGAACGGGATTTCTTCACCTGCCCTTCATCGCCTAAGTGGGCCTAGACTCTAACTGGCTGTCCCTTCCGTGTCATCGCCACGGTCCCCATGTGAACCCCGTTTGTCCTCCCCTCTTCCTGCCCTATGTCGCCTCCCCCCACTCCACCTCCTTTCGTGACCACTGGCCGGGTTGACCCTGCGGGGCCCGCGCTCTTCACCCACAGGCCAGCCTGTCCTCCTCTCCCTGTGTGCACCCCAACATCTCCCAGCTTGGCCTGGAGCGTGTATTAGGTTGGTGCAAAAGTAATTGCTGTTTTGCAATTTTTTAAATGGCAAAACCGCAATTACTTTTGCACCACCTATAAATAGGCAGGGGGAACGGGCAAGAAAAGCCTTAGAGAAGGGGCCAAGAGCCAACCACCTAGCCGGCCAGGAGTATGGGTTTGCCAGAGGCATGAGATGTATTGAAGCAGAAAAGGAAGAAAAAAGATTAAGGAGACAAATTGTTCGTGATAAGGGGTTTCCTGATAAACTCAGAAACAGCAACTACCAGTTATGGAGCACTTAAACTGACACTATCTCATTAATCCTCACAACGGTCCTGTGCAGGTGGTGGTTTTGTTTTTTACCATCCTAAATGCCAGAGCTGCACTTGGTATGTAACAAAGGCAGCATTTGAACCCTGGCCTGCTCATACCAGAGCGAGGGCATCTAACTGCACCCACAAAGGACAATGGAGGAAGACTGTGTCATTGTAATATGAGCAAATGGGGAAAAGACAAAACAAATGCTTTCATTATGCCCAGGTTGTAAATGTATAAACATAAATGAAACACACATACAAGAGGCTAACCGTTTTTGTTTTTTGTTGTTGTTGTTTTTTTAAAGGCAAGAGTCTCACTCTGTCGCCCAGGCTGGAGTGCAGTGGCGCAATCTCGACTCACTGCAACCTCTGCTTCCCAGGTTCTAAGCGATTCTCCTCCTTCAGCCTCCAGAGTAGCTGGGATTACAGCACCACCACGCCTGGCTAATTTTGTATTTTTAGTAGAGACGGGGTTTCACCATGTTGGCCAGGCTGGTCTTGAACTCCTGACCTTGTGATCCACCCGCTTCAGCCTCCCAAAGTGCTGGGATTACAGGCGTGGGCCACCACACCCAGCCATAGCTAACAGTTTTCTAAAAACAGAGAGTAAATAGGAAGTGTCCACAAAATAAAGCTTTAAATGTATGTAGTTTCTTTATTTGTAAAGGGTGCCATTTGTTTGAAATCGTTCTTACACTCTTGGATTAAAACACCGGTTCCTTCACACACTTGTATTTTGAAGGGAATATAAAATGTGATTCCCTCACACCTGTAATCCCAGCACTTTGGGAGGCTGACGCGGGTGGATTACCTGAGGTCAGAAGTTTGAGACAAGCCTGGCCAACATGGTGAAACTCCGTCCCTACAAAAAATACAAAAATTAGCCAGGTGTGATGGCAGGTGCCTGTAGTCCCAGCTACTCAGGAGGCTGAGGCAGGAAATACTTAAACCTGGGAGGCAGAGGTTGCACTGAGCCAAGATCACATCACTGCACTCCACCCTGGGCGAGAGAGCAAGATTCTGTTTGAAAAAAAAGAAGAAAAAAGTGGTTTCATATGATACAAATGTTAGAAAAAGGACAGATGTCAGTTTGCTGACTCCAGCAGAGTTACCTTTCGGGTGCTAGTTCCCACCACAGCCCAGGATGCCAATGTTTTCTCTAGTTACATGTTAAGATCTCCAAATCCAGGGCATCCCTCCTGAAACAATGCCAGTCCTACACTGCTAAATGTTTACTGAATGAATGGATGAATGAAGGCAACATTTTTAGATGTGGGAATCCTATAGTGCTTGGTTCTCTAATCCCTAGGGGCCTCCTTTGAACTTGGTTCTTCAACCTCCTCAGTTGCCCACATACTACATCCTACAGTGAGGCATTTCTCCATACCTCACTTATTACCTGGAAAGTGCCATACTCTCACATGCAGGCCTTGACATGCTAGCTCTTTTGCTAAAACTCTCCGTGCCCCTCTCCCCGTGTTCCCCACCTGTCATCTACTTCTATCCACCCTTTTGCTCAGGCCAAAAACCTAGGAATTTTCCCATTACCACTTTGCTCCACTGCTATAACCAGAGGTGATAGTGACTCTTAGCAAGGATACATGCCCACCAGCAAGTTCTGGTTATCAGAAAAATATTAAGAGTAAATTTGGTCACGGTGTAATGGAAATGCAAATCTAGTGATGGCAGCAGCGGTATCTTGACAGGACATATGAAATTTGAGAGCTTTGACCTGTGACCTGCCATTGTCAAAACTGTCCAACCCTGTTTCAGAGCAGGGGTTTGACTAGCTCCCTAAAAAAATCTCAGGATATTCTCTCCTAGTATCCCAGAGAGCTCTCGGAGCACTTGAGATCAGTTGCAAACTAATGACAGTGAGTCATCAGCGATGTACTAGGGAATGAAGAGCTATCAAACTTCTCTGGGTTTTGAGATCTGTGTAATACCAACATCACTTTGGGGTATATTGTTGTTTTTTGTTTTTTTGTGTTTTCTTGAGACAGAGTCTCACTCCGGAGTGCAGTGGCACAATCTCGGCTCATTGCAACCTCTGCCTCCCAGGCTCAAGCTATTGTTGCGCCTCAGCCTCCCAGGTAGCTGGAATTATAGGCACGCAACACCATGCCTGGCTAATTTTTCTATTTTAAGTAGAGACTGGGTTTCGCCACATTGGCCAGGCTGGTCTCCAACTCCTGACCTCAAGTGATCTGCCCGCCTCAGCCTCCCAAAGTGTTGAGATTACAGGCGTGAGCCACTGCACCTGGCCTGGGGTATGTTTACTAAAATATTCCTTTGTAAAATGAAGCTAGCTGCTTTGCAGAATTGAGAATAAAGTTTAGATATGTACAAACATACGTGTGTGTAGGTAGGTGGAAAGACAGAAGATAAAAGTGCCCTCTACTATCGTATTTCTCTTCTCTCCCCTTTCAAGACCAAAATGACTCAGAACACAAACTCATGTATCAGGCCAATTAAATATCTGCTTAAAGGATTGCCCTAAAGGACTATTTTGAGTCCGCCTTTTTTAAAGTGTTTTACTTATTTAAAAAATATGGCTGGGCACAGCGGCTCACGCCTGTAATCCCAGCACTTTGGGAGGCTGAGGCAGGCAGATTACCTGAGGTCAGGAGTTTGAGACCAGCCTGGCCAACACAGTGAAACCCGGTCTCTACTAAAAATACAAAAATCAGCCAGGCAAGGTGGCAGGTGCCTGTAATCCCAGCTACTTGGGAGGCTGACACAAGACAATCGTTTGAACCCAGGAGGCGGAGGTTGCAGTGAGCCGAGATCACGCTACTGCACTCCAGCCTGGGTGACAGAACGAGACTGTCTCAAAAAACAAACAAACAAACAAAAAGTTATTCCTAGTTCTACTGAAACCTCGAACTATTTAGTCTTATTTTATATACCAACAACTTCCCAATCAAATCCCCTTTAAGTCCCAAACATTCAGCTTTTGTTCCAGAGGTCTGTGGAAAAGCAAGCTTTGTTATCAATGCAAAGGAAAGTGATCCATTCTTGCTGTGAAGCAAGTTCCAGGGAGGAAAGGAGTTGCAGCCAGAGATGTGATTCCAACATTCCCAAACGCTTCTGTCTGAGACCTTCAGATTTTGTTTGAAACAAATTCTCAGAATACCAAACACACCTTTATTCAAGTGGAAGTACAAAAGCACATTCCTAAACCAAACGCATACATGTGATTTTTACATATTCTGCTTTTTAGGGATTACATAATCCTGTTTCAGTCACCATACGTGACTACTGGTCTCTATACATAAGGGTATACATGTTTGACAGGAAAAAACACATGCATTTTTCATTTGCTTTTACATTTAGATCAATTCATTTATATATCAATTTCATTTAGATTCCTACCTTGCCTTGATGAAATCCTACTCTTGCTGATGGCAAAGAAGTAAAATATAGTGGCAGAACTATCCTAGAGGTTAGCCATAGGAGGATTATAGAGTGAGCAACATATTTTTATATATTTGTTGAGGGTCCCTACTGAATATTATAACACTGAACTATGAAAGCCTCAATTGCTGGACTGACAACAAGAATTTTAAATAACATTTGTCTTACTCACAAAATGTTATAAAGCTTAAGATGGAAAAATACAAAATGTTTTGACATTACCTAAAGAATCATGAACTCTTGTTAGGTATATGATGGTGGCCCTGAACTTGAGCCAACATCTGTAATCACTTTTATCAGTCAAAAAGCCATGTTCTTTTATATAGCCTGTAGACTATTAAAATACAAAAATGTGGTAATGGATAAACAACTATACACAAAGCCCTCACACTTCAAATACTGTCCTGGATTGATGAGAGAGGAGCAGAATTCAAACATTTATCTGCAATCCTAATGGTTAAAATTTTACCAGGAACAGACCTGCCACTCTCTTGAAATACTGTCTCTGAGATTAACATACGAACAGCATCATCTCTGTTGGAAGGCTACATTCCCTTATGATGCTGATTTGTGTGTGTGTGTGTGTGTGTATGGTTTTTTGTTTTTGTTTTTTTGTGTTTTTTTGAGAGAGAGTCCTGCTCTGTCGCCCAGGCTGGAGTGCAGTGGTGCAATCTCGGCTCACTGCAACCTCCGCCTCCCAGGTTCAAGCAGTTCTCCTGCCTCAGCCTCCTGAGTAGCTGGGATTACAGGCGCGTGCCACCACACCCGGCTAACTTTTGTATTTTTAGTAGAGACGGGGTTTCACCATGTTGGCCAGGATGGTCTCGACTGCCTGACCTCGTGATCCATCCGCCTCAGCCTCCCAAAGTGCTGGGATTACAGGTGTGAGCCACCATGCCCGGCCTGTGTATCTTCTTTATGTTTACCCTACCAAGAGCAGACCTGAGCATTTTGCTGGCCGTAGAGGTATATAAAAGAACTCTAAGCTTAGGCATGCAGAATAGGCACTGGATGAATGTAGTGAGGCTATTAGGAGTCTTGTTGGCTCCCTGATGTCCTTATCATGTCTTCTTCGCAGACTGTGGATGCACACAAGACAGCTAAAACCTTGGGCATCATTTGAAAATGTTTGGCTGCCTGCTACAATCTCAGGAGAGAGAATCCTTCATACTTATATTGGACTGGATATATTGTCAATCAAATTCTTTTTTAAAAAAAGATGCTTCACTTTAGGAAATAAGACACCAGACCAGCAACATCAAGTAGGTATGGAATACTTGCTGGTGAAACACTTAAAACTAGGAAACTTCTAAATCTTCTAAAGGTGCTTAAGAGAATGGAGAAGTTAATCAACAGGAATCCAAGTGTTGTGGCTGTAAAGCAATACGACATAAGATCCCTAGTAAAGAGCAGGCCTAAGAGTTGGTTTTGGAAAGAACTTGGGCCAAGAACAGCAGAAAAAGCTAAATGAGCTACTTACGTCGATGTGTTTTAATACTGGTGCATTAGCAGTATCTTATGGAAGTTGTGAACACTAAGAACCAATTTCAAAAAATATAAAAATGTTTATAGGGCATATTAAAATAAAAACAGCTTAAATGAGTTCTATAAATAAAATAGGCCCAGCACAGTGACACACGCCTGTAACCCCAGCACTTTGGGAGGACAGGTGGGAGGATCGCTTGAGGCCAGGAGTTCAAGACCAGCCTGGGCAACAAAGCAAGACCCCATCTCTGTTCTTTTTAATATCAAAATTATAATAAAAAAGTAAAAATAAACGTACCTACTTAGAATACATATTAAATAAAGGAACTCCATGAGAAAATGTCACTGCATTTACCAAGTCAACCCTAGATTTTTGTGCAATGAAAAAGATTGGGACTATGTATTAACAATTTCATAAACAAATAATCAACAATTTTCTCTCCATTATTTCGATGTTGGGTAAAGCCTGAAATGTGGTGTCGAGTTTTTCCATTTGCGTTACATCAAATTCTTGTCTACTATGGATATTCTGATATGACAAAGACTAGTTAAACTCCTATTGAAAGATCTGCCATTTACTACACCCAAATAAGTTCTCTTAGGTATAAATTCTTTGATGTTGAATGAGCGTTGGGTTATGACTGAATCTCCTCACACACATACATGCTTATTACATTTATAATCTTTTTGCATGGCGTGAATTTGATACTAAACAAGGTAGTTTCTTTGACTGATGGCTTTTTCACATTCATTGCAGCAATGGAATTTTATTCCCATGTGAATTCTCCAAATGTGACTAAGGTATGAAAATACTAATAGCATGAAAAATTTGCCACATTCAATACATTTGTAAGATTTCTCACTGGTATAGATTTGCAGGAGTCGATTAAGAGTTTAACACTAATACCTTTTCTTCATTCGTCACATTCAGAGGGTTTCTCTCTGGTGTGAATTATCTGATGCTGAGCAATGGCTGAGCTATGACTGAAGGCTTTACCACATGCAGTACATACATGATTTCTCCCTGGTGTGAACTCTCAGATGCTGAATGAAGCCTGAATTTGATAAATATCTTCCCATCTTCATTACATTCATGAGTTCTCTTTGGTATGAATGCTCTGATGTTGAACTAGATGTGCTCTCTGACTGGAGTTCTTTTCCCATACATCACAATCAAAGGCTTTCTGTCTGGTGAGGACTTCTTGTTGCAGGATAAGATCTGAGCTATGACTGAAACTGCCCTCATACTCATTACATTCATACGATTTCTCTTTCCTATGCATTTTGTGATGCTGAATAAGGCATGAGGTTTGACTGAAAGCTTTTCCACATTCATTACATTCATGTGCTTTCTCTCCTGTGTGAATTCTTTGATGCTGAATAAGATGTGAATTCAATCTGAAGTCTTTTCCACATTCACTACACGTATAGGGCTTTTCTCTGAAATGAATTCCTTGTTGTTTAATATAGGCCAACCCATATTCATCATACTCATAGGCTTTCTCTTCATGATGGACCCTCTGATGTTCAAGTAGGTATGAAGTATGGCAGAAGTCACTGCCACATACAGTACACTTACAGGGCATCTCTTTGTGAATTTTCTGATGTTGAGTAAGGTGGACACTACGACTGAAGACTCTTTCACAACTGCTACATTTGTAAGATTTGGCTCTGGTGTGAATTTTCTTATGCTGAATTATGCCTGAGCTTGGACTACAGGATTTATCAGACGCTTCACAGGATTTATCAGATGCTTCACATTTGTAAGGTTTTTCTCTAGTGTGTATTCTTTTATGTCGACTAAGACTTGAGCTCTGACTGAAAGACTTTTCACATTCTTTACATTTGTAGGGCTTCTCTCTAGTATGGATTCTCTGATGTCTAGTAAGGGCTGAGCTCTGATGGAAAATTTTCCCACATACATCACATTTATAGGATTTCTCAGTGTTAGGGATGCTCTCCCATTTATTAAGGTGGGAGAGATCCATTAAGCTTTCCTTACATTCACTACTCTGAAAATCCTCTGTTAGATTTAAGTGTTCATGTTTACCAGAGGCTGAATTCTGGTTGAAGCTCATGTCATACTTATCATTGTCATCGGTATTCTGTATTCTAAGAACTCTCTGATCTGCATCAATAGTAGAGTCCAGACTGAAGCTTTTTTCGGGTTCATGACATTCATTGTTCTTCTCACTGGTGAAGGTTTCCTTGCTGATTGTTATTTGCCTAAACTCTCTCTCCAGGTACAGAAATTTCCTTAGAATTTCCTGAAGTCTTTCTAATCTGTCCTCAGACTTATACACTTCTCTAGTCTCAGGAACTTGGGTAATATCGTGTTTGAGTCTTCCTACTCTCACTTTGTATGAATGCACTTCTTCCGAAATTTTCTGCTTAGGAATCAACAGCTTGTTCTCTTCTCTGGTCTCTCCATCTGATACAATATATAAATAGAAAATGCAAATGTAATCTGTACCCTGTGCTTAGGAAAAGAAAACTCAGATGAGAAAACTAAACAATGTAGTATCTACAAGGACAAGAAAAGTTTATTTACTCTGAAAAACAGGCACAAAATCTCAACAGCAGAAGTTAAGGGCATAAACAGGAGCAGTGAGGTAAAACAGCGGACATGTTCAGCAGAGTAAGGAAATAATAGGGAAACAGCTGAAAGAATTTTAGATAAGCAACTTGATTGGGGTCTAGTACGACATGTGCACGGATACTAAACAAATGGAAAGGGTCAACCTAACTGAAGGGAAAAGGAAGGAACTCTCCATGCTAGGACACACACAGAGCTCTTCATTCTGAGTGCCAAAGCAGCTACAACTTGGCTCAACAATTGAACTTTACTTCCCTACTAATTCTATCTGATTCTGCCTTACTCACCTGAGCAGTCATCTCTTAAGACTTCTCTAGTCTTAGTTTCCAGATCAAAGACCTGTAGATCCTGTTCCAGCTGGGAGATCCCATCAGGCTTGGAAATTGGAAATCCTGCTCATAGAGAAGGAAATGGGATGTGGCAATGTATCCCCAGGTCCTACATCTGCCACTTTTTCTTTTAACTAATGATTAAGAGAGACAGAAGGTCGATTCTGAGAAGACATTAATTAGGAAGGTCTGGAGAGTGAAGAGGGCAAAGATCTACAAGGAGCTCAGATTTGTGCTCTAGAGGGATGTGTGTTAAGGGGCAAGTTGATGACTTGGGAGCAGAAGGATTCATTTAAATATTATTCAGACAACAGAATGTGTGCATGGGTTTGTCTTCACAGAAGTTATCATTATCACTCTCCATCTGTTACCTAAAGATTAATCTTCGGATTAGATCTGGTCTACAAGTATCAAAATGGAGGTCATCAAAATGTAATTCTGCTGGACTGGAGAAAGGTGAAACTCAAGCACCTGCTGCATGGTTAGCTAACCTGTAGCAAGAGAATCAGTGAAAACTGAATAAATATTCTAAGGACCAATCTCAAGAAACAATTTGTTTCAGTACACATAAGAAAACAAAGAGTAATATGACACATTCTTACCCATTAGGAGTGTAGCATTTATTCAACAAACATTTATGAAGTGCCTCCTCTATGCAAAGTATGCAGGGGATAAGAGGCCAAGAAGGTCCCTTCCCTCAAGGACCTCACACTCTACACAGAGACAGCTCTAAACAACTAACTACAATAAAATATAGAGAGGGAAGTGCAATCAGTGCATCTTCACATAAAACAGTCTTTCTATGGCTTGCATAATGCAATGCTTGGATATAAATCTCTTTTAAAGCTAAAGCAACAGGCAGTCTGCTTCCAAGGAGACAGAATTTTAATACTATTAGTATCAAAGGGCAGTTTTTAAATGTGTCCAGCCCAGAAAGCTTCTAATAGCACACATACAAGGTCTGGCTCAAGCCCCTCATCTCCAAAAACCTTTCTCTCCATTTACTGAATGTGTACAAAATTTATTAGTTGTTCCCTCTTATCCTGACATGTCACATATAACGGTGTTTACATAGATTTTTTTTTAAGTGGTTTCAGGTATTGTCATTCATACTTGATTTATAAACTCTTTGATAGAAGGGACCAGGTATCTTGTATCTTGCAATTCTTTTGATTAATTTACTTAACGGCTACTTATTGAGTGCCAACTCTGTGCGCCCAAGTATCAATGTATTAACAGCTACCCAATTTTATAAAAAGGGCATTGGGGCTGGAAAATATGAAGAACTGACAGCTGCCCCAAAGATTCCATGTGAGAGCCTATGAGCAAGGAGATCAGAATAGATAGAAGAAAGGTATTTACTGTGTTTCTGAAATCCTGTGGGACATTTAGAGTCAACTCTCCTTGTGGACATATATTTAATTAAGGTCCACCCTGTCAAATGAAATCGTTTCAGAAGTTTAAAAAGTAAAGTTAGTGTAACATGAAGCAGCAATCAATATTGTTCTCAGAATTCCAATAACATAATTTGCAACTTTTAACTCTGAGATATTTAAAGTGTCTGTCGATATTTGGTAACTGAAATAAATTCTGGCTGCTTACTCCATATCTACACTTAAAACACATATGCACAACAAAAAAGGTGGTCTTCATGTGGGATGAGGGGTTTGATTTTAGATGTGTGTTTAATGTAATGTACGAAGGTATAAGAGAAAATGCCCAGCAGATGAGTACGCAAAGGCATACAGAGTGATAAAATGGACTTCAGAGACTAAGAAGGGAAAGGGTGGGAGAAGGGACAAGGGATAAAAAACTATATATTAGGTACAATGTACACTATTCCAGTGACAGGTGCACTAAAATCTCAGAATTCACCACTATGTATTAGAATTCATCCATGTAACAAAAAACCACTTGTACGCCCCCAAAACTACTGAAATAATTTTTTTTAAAAGAGAAAATGCCTAGCAGGTAAAGATACAATATCACAGTTTAGAAGAGAGAACAGGGTATCATCAGTACCATCAAAATATTATTAAGTTTTACTAAGTACTTGGTAGGTGCAAAGTACCATGCCAAGAGCTCTCTAGGTTTTCACTCATTTAATACCATAAATTTAAAACGTAGAAACTATTATTATAGCCATTTTACAGATGGGAATACTAAGATTCAGAGTGGTTAAGTAGCTTGCCCAAGGTTACAATAACTGGTAATGCTTAGTTTTCAAACCTGCACAGTCTTATTTCAGAACCTAGCCTTTAAACAATCTGCTAGTAAAAAAAAAATTATGATTTTGCCTCCTAACAAGCCCTGAAAAAAAATAAATAATGACTGTGAACAAAATCCATCCCTTCCTCCAAATTACACACAGAAAGAACGTGTAAGTTTTCTTGGCACTAGCCTAAATGCCTATTTCCTAAATTTAACTCAAAACTTTGCTTTCAAAATATGCACTTGCTTTATTTACATTTTTCCTGTTTAAAATTAATGTATTAAAACTTTTTGATTTTATTTAAATCTTGAGTTTTCTAATATGATTTATAAAATATTGACAGTGAAGTAAAAGGTAAATACAAACAACAGAGAAAAAGTGATTAGAATAACATACGGTGAACCAGGATCCTAAATAATTGGAGTCGCAGAAGTGTTAATTAAAAGGGATCTATGGCTGGGCACAGAAGCTCACACCTGTAATCCCAGCACTTTGGGAGGCCATGACGGACAGATCACTTCAGCCCAAGAGTCTGAGACCAGCCTGGGCAACATAGTGAGATCCCACCTCTACAAAAAATACAAAAATTAGCCAGGCATGGTGGCACACGCCTGTAGTCCCAGCTACTTGGGAGGCAGAGGCAGAATGATCGCTTGAGCTCAGAAGGCCGAGGCTGCAGAGAGCCAAGATCACACCACTGTACTCCAGCCTGGGTGAGAGTGAGATCCTGTCAGTCAGTCAGTCAGTCAATCAACCAACAAACGAATCAAGAGGATCTATGGACCAGGCATGGTGGCTCACACGTGTAATCCCAGCACTTTGAGAGGTCAAGGCAGGAGGATCTCATGAGCTCAGGAATTTGAGACCTGCTTGGGGAACATAGTGAGACTCCATCTCTACAAAAAATTAAAATTAAAAATTAAAAGGGATCTAAAAGATGATTTATTATCAAGGAAATGGAAATCCTTTACAATAAAAATCCAAACCCCAGCCAGGCACGGTGGCTCGCGCCTGTAATCCTAGCACTTTGGGAGGCCAAGGCAGGCAGATCACAAGGTCAGGAGATCGAGACCATCCTGGCTAACACGGTGAAACCCTGTCTCTACTAAAAATACCAAAAATTAGCCGGGCGTGATGGCGGGTGCCTGTAGTCCCAGCCACTCGAGAGACTGAGGAAGGAGAATCGCTTGAACCCGGGAGGCAGAGGTTGCAGTGAGCCGAGATCACGCCACTACACTCCAGCCTGGGAGACTCCATTTCAAAAAAAAAAAAAAAAATCCAAATCCCTAGACAATAGTCCAAACAATAATAAATTTGAGGAAACTCCACTATAAATAAATAATTTGAACACACTCCTGAAATTTTTATTTGTATTAAAAAATCTGGTCTATGGCTCATATCGCTTGCTATTCTTTCCAAAATATTAAAGTAACTAGCACAAGGCAGGTACTTAATTTTTTTTTTTTTTTTTTGGCCGGGGGGTATGGAGTCTCGCTCTGTCGCCCAGGCTGGAGTGCAATGGCATGATCTTGGCTCACTGCAACCTCCACCTCCCGGGTTCAAGCGATTCTCCAGCCTCAGCCTCCTGGGTAGCTGCAATCACAGGCATGTACCACCATGCCCAGCTAATTTTTGTATTTTTAGTAGAGACGGGGTTTCACCATGTTGGTCAGGCTGGTCTCGAACTCCTGACCTTGTGATCCGCCCACCTCACCCTCCCAAAGTGCTGGATTACAGGCGTGAGCCACCGCACCCGACACAAGCCAGGTACTTATATGCATAATCTAATTCAATCCTGTACCCAGAAGGTAGACATTATTTTTCATGTTTTATAAACCAAGAAAATGAGTGTCAGATTAAATAATTTGCTCAACATACTACAGCTGGTAAGTGGAACCCAAGCTTGATCCCAGTTTATATTCTTTCCAACCTATCATACTGCCTATCAAAGAAAGCATTAGTAGCAGGTTCTCTTGACATTGACGTGAATGCTTTTTTTTTTTTTTTGAGACGGAGTTGCACTCTGTCACCCAGGCTGGAGTGCAATGGCACGATCTCGGCTCACCTCAACTCCACCTCCTGGGTTCAAGTGATTCTCCTGCCTCAGCCTCCAGAGTAGCTGGGATTACAGGCATGCGCCACCATGCCCGGCTAATTTTGTATTTTTAGTAGAGACGGGGTTTCTCCATGTTGGTCAGGCTGGTCTCGAACTCCCAACCTCAGGTGATCCGCCTGCCTTGGCCTCCCAAAGTGCTGGGATTACATGTGTGAGCCACAGCACCTGGCCGACTCTATGCTTTCAAAATATGCACTTGCTTTACATTTTTTCCGTTTAAAATTAAGTTATTAAAACCTTTTGATTTTAAGGCTGGATGTGGAACACATGAGGCCAAGAGTTCAAGACCAGCCTGGCCAACATGGCAAAACCCCATCTCTACTAAAAATACAAAAATTAGCTGGGTATGGTGGTGCATGCCTGTAGTCCCAGCTACTCTGGAGGCTGAGGCACAAGAATGGCTTGGGCCTGAGAGGCGGAGGTTGCAGTGAGCTGACATTGTGCCACCACACTCCAGCCTGAGCGACAGAGCAAGACTGTCTCCAAAAAAAAAATTATTTTATTTAAATCTTGAGAGTTTTCTAATAAAATTTATTTTAATCTGGTCTTCAAAAATAACAGTTAAAGCTGAGCATGGTGTTGGCTCACATGTGTAATCCCAGGACTCTGGGGAGCTGAGGCATGCAGATCACTTGAGCCCAGGAGTTCAACAGCCTGGGTAACATAGCGAAACACCTTCTTTACTAAAAATAGAAAAAAATTAGCATGATGGTACAGGCCTATAGTCCCAGCTACCCAGAAGGCTGAGGTAGGAGGATCACCTGAGCCTGGAGGGAAGTCCAGGCTGCAGTGAGCTGTTATCATGCCACTGTATTCTAGCCTGGGCAACAAGAGGGGACCCTGCCTCAAAAATAATATTTAAAATTTGCCTTATCATATGGTTTGCTGCTTTTACTACGGCTATGCTTTTAGCCATCTGAAAGCTTCACGCTTTTCTTCCTGGTCCTTAATACACAAATAATATCTCTCCTTAGCAATATCATTCTTTTGTAGATACCTGTTGGACTGGAATGTGTCCCTAGAGAGTTTTACTTTTTGAATGCATGTCCTTTCTGGTCCCAAACTATATACTGGCCTGTCTGTCCAATTTGTCATGGCATTTTGAATTTTTCTTGTCATCAGAGTACACACAACTCACTAAAAATATTAAAAACTCCATGTGTAGTTGAACTTATTGTCCTAAGGGCACAAAGTAGTGAAAAAGTGCAGGGGCTTCAGAGGCAGATCTGGGTCCCAAGCCTCTCACTGATCCTGCAAAGATCACTTAACTTCTCTGAGCCTCAGTTTCCTCAGATATAAAATAGGAGCAGTGTCATCTGCTCACAGGGTTATGGTAAGGATTAAATGAGATATATACACATATCCTTTATATATATATATACACACACACACACACACACATATAAATGTCCTATGTCTGTGTGTGTGTATATACATATGTGTGTGTGTGTGTATACATACATATATATAGTACCCAATAACATATTGGCTGCTCAATAAATACTAAATAGCTGTGACAATGGAAAACATTCTGTGCAAAATAACTGTAGTCCTTCATGACATCAAGTTAAAAAAGCAGAGAGTATGTGCCAAACATTCCCAATCTACTGACCCAGTTAATATCAATTAGAATTTTAACAAGCATGCTTCTGAGGCCATCATCTAATAGGGCACCTGCCACACTTACCCATGTGAAAAGCAACTCGGTCCCCTTTATGGGTCTTAATCTACCACACTAAGTAACAGGTAACTTCCCTATGGATAGTGACCCAGAGGCAAATTGTTCATTCATCATCAATGGAGTATGTTCTTTTTTCAATTATGTGGTAACGAAAATTACTTATTACCGACTTCTTTACTCAGCTATTTGTACTCTGTATATTTACTGCTGCATAGTGGAAGCACTTAAGCAAAGGACCAACGTTCTAATGTCTGTGACAAATACAATCTGGAGGCCAGGCGCAGTGGCTCACAACCTGTAATCCCAGCACTTTGGGAGGCCGAGACAGGCGGATCACGAGGTCAGGAGATCGAGACCATCCTGGCTAAGATGGCAAAACCCCATCTCTACTAAAAATACGAAAAGATTAGCCAGGCATGGTGGCGAGCATCTGTAGTCCCAGCTACTTGGGAGGCTGAGGCAGGAGAATGGCATGAAGCCGGGAGGTGGAGCTTGCGGTGAGCAGAGATGGTGCCACTGCACTCCAGCCTGGGCAACAGAGCAAGACTCCGTCTCAAAAAAAAAAAAAGTCTTACAACCCTAAAAAGTTAAATTAATAAATGTATAAACTTAACCCAGTTATGCTGGAGGTTGCAATTTTTGTTAAAAATCAGACCTTGGCGATGACCTTGAGCAGCGGGACATAAATAATTCCCGCAAGCTTAGTGTTCCAATAATGGAACACTAGGCATAAATGGGTTAATTTTCAGATGAAGTCTGCTGAACCCAAAAATATGAAAATGATTTCCCAAGGATTGTAAAAATAACTGCTAAGGAGATGCTGCTAACTTGATCACAAAAGCAAGATGAGTAGAAGGCTTTCTTGCACTGTGCGTGTCTCTTGTATGTGTAAAAGTGTGTATGCATGTCGACTGCATGTCGAGTGTGCAGTGCAGAGATAAGAGAGGAAATGGGATAAAGTTCAGTCTATAGCATACTATGCTATTAGACTGCATTAAACTGCTACAAAGTTTCTTTACTCCAAAAAGTAGACAGGTTAACTGTTGGAAACTCTGTAATTATTAGATAAAATTAACAGTACTTTACAATTATATGTATGTCACTTTACAGTTTACAAAGTTATTAAGTAGATATTCAATTTGATGCCCTGAAATAAATTTAACTTCTTTGCCCTCCCTTCTCCCCTCCATCAAGGACAGAGTAAGGAACACTTAATCAGGAAAGGCAATATAATTGCATCAATCTGTACAGAACCACAAAGAATAAAGGGTAGGAAGGTAGGACCTTGAAGAGGGCCACAGGGACTTCAAGGAAGGAGGAAACCAGAATGTTAAACATGAGGGAAGCCCAGGGTTCACAGGAGAGTTAGGCACCATACGGGGCAGGTTGTGTTCGCCACATAAAAGGAGGGGCACACAGCATAAGTTTCACATTCTAAAATAATATGAAAAGACCATAACTGAAGAGCTGAATTTGGAATTTCTGGTTTTTCACAATACAAGTAGATGATGACCACCAACCATGGTTTCTGAATGAACTGGGTTCAAAACATATCTGGTTGCAACAGAGGGCTTCCTTGGACCCTAACATTTGAAATTAAACAGAGGTAATTTGAGGAGCTGCGATTTTACACAGTGGTGGCATCCTGGGGAGCTTCTATTCCATCAGTCAATTTTAATATCTCACAATCGTGGAAAAGGAGTTTCCGAGCAGGGACGAGCAATATCGATGGGAAGCCGATACTTGGGCCATCTCTTGGAGATTCCTGCTGTAAGGACGGCAAGTGTTTCTCCAGAGAAAGCACTTGCCTGGGTATGACTCAGGGCCGGGCAGGAATTCACACTATGAATCCGGGTGGTGGGAAGGCGGAGAAGTATGCCTACAAAGATTAAAGAGCCAGGAATGGAAAACACACTAAAAACCGTCCCAGTGGGCAGCCTGCCTCCCCACAAATAAGAAGACCTTGAATCCTGAGCATAATCAGGGAGACAAAGCAATGCCCTGGATGCCACCAGCATAGACAAAGCCAACGGAAAAAAAAAAAAGAAAAGAAAATGCATGATTCAGTATTTACACACACAAAAAGAAGAGTGCAGAAGCAAGCAAGAAACTAAAGAAAAAGGAGGCTGGGTGCGGTGGCTCATGCCTGTAATTCCAGCACTTTGGGAGGCCAAGGAAGGTGGATCACTTGAGGTCAAGAGTTCGAGATCAGCCTGACCAGCATGGTGAAACCCCGTCTCTACTAAAAATACAAAATTAGGCGGGCGTGGTGGCCCATGCCTGTAATCCCAGCTACTTGGGAGGCTGAGGCAGGAGAATCGCTTGAACCTGGAAGGCAGAGGTTGTAGTGAGTTGAGATTGCACCACTGCACTCCAGCCTGGGCAACAAGAGTGAAACTCCATCTAAAAATAAAATAAAATAAAAAATATAATATAATATAAAAAATAAACTAAAGAAAAAGGAACAATGCTCACACCAAGGGAGCTGCCGACAAACCCCACTGATGCTTCCCAGCAGCACTACAGCTTGGCTAATCCCAGCTTCCCACTGTACCTTTCAAAATGACAAGGGAGAGACATGAGTTAAGCATTGACCCCACCTCAGCATGGGGTAAACATCTGAGATTTCTGCTGCCCTGGGTGTGGTTACGTGGGATTACCATTCTGGGTGACTCACTGAAATGTACTCACAGTGAGTCATGCCTTCAAATGACATCTCAAGTTCTGCCTGCTTGGAGATACATCTGGGGATCTTAAGGGGTGAGGGACTACTCAACAAGAAGGAATTTAGCCTGTCTTTTTAAATAAACGGCATTTCTTTTTCCTAGAAAAATGGGAAATTCTTCAATTCTCTAATACAGGGACACTGAGATAACAAAGAGGAAAGTGTCTGGTTGGAGGTTGGGAGGCCACCCTGGGGTCTCTCCTACAAAAATGGAAAAGAAAAGAACGGTGAGAAATCAAGCAAAGCACAAGAAAGTTTCCCTTTGCTAAAAGGGAAAAGATGCCCCACAATGGCCATAAACATGAACTGGGGATAAGGAGGAGAATGTCTCTTCTTGGCACCCCCAAACAAACGTTAATTACCCCTCCCGGAGAAGACGATGTGAAAGATAAGGATTCAGAGGTTCTAAGTCCTGGAATCTAAGCCACACTCTACAGACCTTCTCAGAGACCTTATACTTAGGAAGAAACAAGAAAGTAAAGAAATTCAAATAGATAAACCGAATAATAAGGAAGTCCTTACCCAGTGAGACCACGTTCCCATAATTCTCTAACATCACTTCTCTGTAGAGGTCCCTCTGAACAGGGTCCAGGTATCCCCATTCCTCTCGAGTAAGGTGCACAGCCACATCCTCGAATGTCACAAACTCCTGAAATAACACATCCTGGCTGCTCTGAGGAATGAGAACACTGTAGCACCATGGCCAGAGAATGAAGATCATAGAGAGGGTATCCACTGTGTACTTACGTTGAGGAGGAGGGAGAACAGATTAGAACCTACGGAATAAAGCCCATAACCCTTAAACATCTAATAAGCACCCATCACACAACCATGGACAAAGAGAAAACAGAGTTTGCTCATGGCACTGGGGAGATGGGAAGTTGGTTTATGTGAAGTCCAGGTCTCCGAAGAGGATCAATTCCCAAACTGGAGTCTGCTATTGAAAAAAATTCCAGGCAAGGTCTACAGATGGGATGAGAGAGAGGCCACACTCCATCAGTAGCAATAGTCCCTGAGGAAAAGCAGAGGGTTCCTCAGCTCACCTGGTACCTGGCTGTCAAGAGCGCAGCTGCCTGGTCTCCTGGGCTTCCCTCACGGGGAAGAGCAGGCACCTGAGGAACAGGTGGAGCTGAGGGAGGAGAAAGGAGTGAAGAGTGAGAGCAGCCCTTTCCCAGGGCTCCCTTTCAGAGGAGGCCTCTCCAGCCCAAGGGGTGTCAGCAGGACCCTCCTCAATACTCTAGTAAAACCAATGAACATTTTTCAGGTATTGGGTGTGTCTACTCTGCTTCGTCTCAGTACTTGCATGCCTTATGCGTGTTTTGACCTGTGATACAGGATTTTCTTAGGAAAGCTTGTATTTCACTTTATCTTCATCACATGACAGTCCTCTTACAGAAGAGTAAGACTATACCTGTTTTGCAGATGGGCAAAGCAAAGCATAAAGACTTGTGGGGACTTGTCCTGGGCTAGGGTTATTTAGCAGACTTCTGACCCTTTCCAGGCACTGTTCTAGACACTTGATCAGCGTTTCTCTTGTGAATGGGTGCTGTCTCAACCAGTGTGTAAGGCCCCCAAGAACAAGAAAGGGTCATCTGTTTCCTCGAAATCTTTTCCACAGTCCCACAATCCCCCACAGCACTCTACACATTGTGGCACTTGATCTGTGTGGGTGACACACAAGTTATTTCAGGCACTAGAGTTAACCACAGGCAATCTAAGACACAGCTCTTATAAAACAAAGGAAGAAAAAGACCAACCTACCTATACGATACAGCAAAGTGTGACTGCGTAGTCAAAATACAGTATATATACATTCATACAGGCATTGTGTTCAACCAAGGAATTAAATGGTTGCTTCCTTGACCAAATTTAGTCTAGTCACAAAACACTGCAGTTACAACAGAATGGATGGCAGGTGACAAAGCAAAGAAAAACTAAGTGAAGGGAACAGGGGAAAGAAAGGTCCTGAACCTAAGAGGAAGTGAGAGCCAGGAAAGGACTGTGAGATGTGGCAAAAGCAGCATATCTTAGAAATTATTCTGGATGTGAGAACTGGGATGAAGTGAAGGTTGCCTGAAGGAAAAACCACCACAGCGAGTAAGCAGCCATCACTCTGCTTATTTGAGAAAGATGAGCTATCCTTAATAAAGGGGCTCAGACTAGGACTGAACTGAGTCACATCTGCCCCCTCTTTCATTCCTCCCTCTAGGGACCATGTTCTTATTCCAGTTCTTGGCCTCTCTCAAACCAGGCCCAGGAGCCCCCTCGGGAGCCCCTCCGCACTCCCACTCTCCCAGACGGAAGTGCTTTCTCTGCCTTACCCCCAGTGAGTCCCTGTTCCATGTCGGTGTCCTGCACAAACTGAGGCTCTGGGGACAGACACTCAGACTGGGTCTCCAAAGACTGAAACTGGACCCTTGGTGACCCTGCTGCTTCCTGGGCTGGTATTTCCTCCATCACTGCTCTGGAGGACAATGACCATCACTGCAAGGTAAGATTAAGAGAAATTACTGTAATAAGTTAAAGCATTTCATCATTTTATATCGTCAGGACTTTGCAAAGGATCTTACACACTATGGATATTCAATAAAAATTAGTTGATAATGATTAACCACCCTAAATAAGTAACAGAAAAATGGGGCCAGGCGCAGTGGCCTGTAATCCCAGCACTTTGGGAGGCTGAGGCGGGAAGATCACTTGAGGTCAGGAGTTCAAGACCAGCCTGATCAACATGGTGCAACTTCTTCTCTACTAAAAATACAAAAATTAGCCAGCGTGGTGGTGCGGGTCTGTAATCCCAGCTATTCGGGAGGCTGAGGCAGGAGAATTGCTTGAATACAGAAGGCATACGTGGCAGTGAGCCAAGATTGCACCACTGCACTCCAACCTGGGCAACACAGTGAGACTCCGTCCCAAAAAAAAAAAAAAGAAAAAAAAGAAAAAGAAATATGGATATGCTTCAGCTTTAAATACTTAAGAACCAAATCATAGAAGAGTCTCTAATTTGGAATTTGTGGCATTAAAAAAATTAACACGGTACAATTTAATAGTGTAAAGCTTTCTGTGGAAACTTTAAAATATTTAAAATTGGCCACGTGCGGTGGCTCAAGCCTGTAATCCCAACAGTTTGGGAGGCACAGACGGGTGGATCCCTTAAGCTCAGGAGTTCCAGACCGTCCTGGACAACATGGTGAAACCCCGTCCCTACAAAAAAAAAAAAAAAAAAAAAAATTAGGTGGCCCAGGCCTGTAGTTCCAGCTACTCCAAAGGCCAAGGCAGGAGAATCGCTTGAGCTTGGGAGGTAGAGGCTGCAGTGAGCTATGACTGCGCCACTGCATTCCAGCCTGTATGACAGCGTGACAGCCCACCTCAAATAAACAAAACAAAATATTTAAAATTTACAATCGTCTTTGGAGGCTCAAGTTGGTGCCCAGAGAAAAATGCTAGTTATGATTGCTCATTTTATTTTAATTTTGTTTTAGCAGAGATGGGAGTCTCGCTATGTTGCCCAGGCTGGACTCGAACGCCTGGCCTCAAGCGATCCTCCCACTTCGGCCTCCCAAAGTGCGGGGATTACGGCGTGAACCACCGTGACAGGCCCGCGTTTACGTAAATAAACTCATTTAAATAAATAAAACAGCAGGCCCCCTAGGAAATGTCTTGGTAACACCGTCAGCCCACTCCGATTTACTACACGGGCTTGGCGAATAAAACTCCACTTTTGGGGTCAGGCCCTTCGCTAACTCAGACCAGCTAGACCGGCCTTTTCCCGGAATCCTGAGAGCAACGCAGGTAAGAGCTGCGGTTCGAACAGGTTTGAGCGGCGTCCTTCAGGCCCAAGGACGCATGAGGGTGCCGTCCCCCTCCCACCACCCTCGCCCTGGGCCCCTGCCCGGCTCCCAGCTCGGTCCTCAGAAGGCCTTGCCCGGCGCTGCCCTCCTCCCACTTCCCTTTTAGGCCAAGGCAAAGTCCCAAAAGGACCAGTGAGGACATACAGACCAGCTCGCACCAGGGCACGGTCGCCGGCTCCTGACGGCGGGGCCCTCGGTCCGCGAGGTGAATGAACCAGGGCTGAAGAGAAACAGGCCCTCCTCGCACCCGGGCCTCCGCGCACTCTCGGGGAAGCGAACTACCGTCGGCCGCGGCCGGACGCCGCCTCCTTCTACTCCCGTGAAGGCAAAACAAGCTGCCACCCCGCTGCGACCCCAAAACGGCTTCCGGGTACTCACCGAGGGGAGGGGCGGGCCTGGCCGCTGTCCTGTCACCTACACACTCGCGCTCGGGGCCACCACAGCCTCTCCCGGGCCGCTGTAGACAGCCCCGAGGCCGGCGCTTCTCGGTGGCACTTCCGGCGACGGAGTGCAGGGTCCCGAATGAGGGCCCCCCCTCCTCCGCCCAGGCATGAGGGTCCCGGATGTGGGTGAGAGCCCCGGATGAGGGTCCCGGATGTGAGTGAGGGCCCCGGATGTGAGTGACGGCCCCGGATGAGGAACTCGGAGGAGGAGCTGGGCCCGCGCGTCCATGATTCGAAGGCTCGTTTTCGCAGCTTTTCCACGTCTTTTTCCGGTCCCACTGCCCTCCATGCTAACTCACTGGGCGTCTCTAGCCGTTATACCAACAATGACTGCGACCAGTGTTGGGAAAGCGCCCCCTGGGCCCCTCCCTGACGCCAGCCCATCCTTGAGACTCCCTGCAAGGAGGCGGCCCGACCCAGTGGGTGCGTGTCGTGGGGTGAGGAGGAATGGCCGACCTAATGGTCCCGCTTCCGTGAGTAGCACAGGGGTGCCTGCTCAGAGTGTAGTACAACGCTGACAAGTAGAAGGCGAGGATTGCGGGGCCTGGGTGAGATGGGACCCACTAAGTTGTGGGATCGAAATCTCAGTAGGTCCTTGGGGAAAGCGGGGACGGGAGGGGAGATGAGCAGATTGGAATAGAACCGAGAGAGACGGAGGAAACTGACAGTTGCGTCCCTGGTGGGAAGACTAAAATCTATGCAGAAACAGGGATAGGCAAAAGCATTGTGCACAAGCGGGACAGGCAGAGCGCCGGGACAGAAACCCTTAGGACATTCTGACACCTTGCTGAACCTGGATCCTTACAGAATATGTCTTGTAGGTGAAGCTAGATCTGCAAGGCATAGGCAAGCCTCTTAGAGAATCAGAAAAGTGATTTGGAAGGAACTTCAGCTGTTACTACTTTGTTTAAGCAAATCAAATGCTGTTCTTTAATGTTACTGGACGTTTCAAATTAAACACAAGAAAACCTGAAGTGTGGCATTTTATATATTTTTTCAAAATGTATCAGCTTCTTGGAGATTCTGATATTCCTTTCCTCTCTTTATCCCTAAGTATCATTTATCCAACCTAAATTCATACTAGGACACAATCTCTCTAGTCTGCAGTGCCCGTCACAGTGGAGTCAGGATCGGAGAAAGAAAATGCACTGCTTAGTCCATTTCATGCTGGACAGCTCCAATTAGAAACTTTTCCTTGTGTTGAACAGAAATACACCCCTGGTGATGTCTATCTATTGTTCCTGTTGACAGGTCCCCAGGACAATAGATGACACAGTACTTCTTCCTCTTCATAACGGCCATTTTAATATCCTAGGAGAGCTAAAGGTTTGGAGTTCTTCCTGAGTTGCCATTTCCCCACCTAGAACCCTTCACAGGTTGTACCTATTAGCAATGTGATGGGAAACCATTTCAGCAGCAAAGGTGAGTGAGCTATGGCAGTGAGGCACATCGCGTCCAAGTTTTAGCTGACTCAGGCAATTGGCTCCAGTGAGAGGACCACAAAAGGTACCCACTTAAAGAGGCCACTTCCCACCAGTACTCATCAAAACATAACAAAGTGTTAAGAAACAGCAGCTGCTATTTTGCTTTTGAGCAAAATTTTCTTTTAACAGTTTGCCAGATGACAGAGGTGGAAACAACTCAAAAAATTGTTACCTTTTTTCGTTTTTGTCTTTTTGTTGTTGTTGAGACAGAGTCTTGCTCTGTCGCCCAGGCTGGAGTGCAGTGGCGCGATCTCAGCTCACTGCAACCTCCAGCTCCCAGGTTCAAGCATTTTCCCTGCCTCAGCCTCCAGAGTAGATGGGATTACAGGTGGGCACCACCACACCTAGCTAATTTTTGTATTTTTAGTAGAGATGGGGTTTCACCATGTTGGCCAGGCTGGTCTCAAACTCCTGACCTCGGGTGATCCGCCCGTCTTGGCCTCCCAAAGTGCTGGGATTACAGGCGTGAGCCACTGCACCGAGCCTGTTTTGTTTTTTTTAGTGCAAATTAACAAACTGATTCTAAAGTTTATATAGAAATGCTAAGGATTTAGGATTGCCAAAACAATTTTGAAAAAGAATAAAATTGGAATACTTGTATTTTTTTAAGATTTTTTTCCTAAAGGTACAGTAATCAGGATGGTATGGTATCAGCATAGAGACAAATAGATCAACAGAGCAGAACAGAAAGTCCAGAAATATGAGGTTGAATTTCTTAAAGAAAAAAAAGTCCAGAAATAGATCTAGATACATACAATAGCTGATTTTTTATAAATTACTAAGGTAATTCTGCATCTAGCTAAGCTGAAAATTAGGCCGAGGATCTGTTTGTAACAGTGACAGTAATGTAAAGGAGACCAATTGTGCAGACTCGGCAGGTCCCCTGAGTCAAAGTCGTGGCTCATACAGGGAGAGGGTGGGATCCTGAGACCTGTTCTCTGTCACAGTGTAGTCCGCAGGAACTTTACCCAACCATCATGATGGTCCATATATTGATGACAAATGCTAGTAGTACCCAGTGAGCAGCAAGTGACAAGGGTCATAAATATCCTAGTAAGACTTCTTACTAAGGCAGTACAGAAACCTGAAGATATGGGCACTTATCAAATGGATGAAGTTTTGGTGGGGCCCAGTGGTTTGGGGACATCACCCAAAGGTAAAAGAAAGTTGTTCCACCTTGCACCCTCTAATCCCAAAAAAATTGGTACAGGTCCTGGTGGGCCCCTTTGGATTTGGGAGGTAGCATATTCTGCACCTGAGAAAACTGTTCCAACACATGTATTAGGTGACCTAAAAAGCTTCCACTTTTTATTTATTACTATTTTTTTTTCTTGACACGGAGTCTTGCTCTGTAGCCCAGGCTGGAGTACAGTGCCGTGATCTCGGCTCACTGCAACCTCTGCTTTCTGGATTCAAGCAATTCTCCTGCCTCAGCCTCCCTAGTAGCTGGGATTACAGGCGCCCGCCACCATGCCCAGCATTTTTGTATTTTAGTAGTGGAGGGGTTTCACCATGTTAGCCAGGCTGATCTTGAACTCCTGACCTCAAGCAATCCACCCACCTCCGCCTCCCAAAGTGCTGGGATTACAGACGTGAGCCACCATGCCTGGCCAGCTTCCACTTTTTATTGGGGCAAGAGAGCACTCTATAGTAAATCCAAGCAACAGTGCAAGCTTACTTGCAAATTCAGTGGTTCCAGAAATATCCTTGATGGATACAGGTGCTGTATGGAGTTGCTGGCAAACCCCAATAAGAGTGTGCATTCGTGTGCTAGGGCTCCTATAACAAAGTACCACAAACTGGGTGGCTTAAACAACAGAAATCTGTTGGTTCACAGTCTGGAGGCTAGAAGTCAGAAATTAAGGTGTGGTTCCTATTGAGGCTGTGAGAAGGAATCTGTCCATGCCTCTCTCCTAGTTTCTGGGGATTTGCTGGATATATTTTGCATTCCTTGGCATCGTAAGAAGCATTTTCCCAGTCTTTACCCTCATCTTCATTTGGCATTCTCCCTGTGTACTATCTCTAAACTTCCCTTTTTTATAAGGATACCAGTCATTAGATGAGGGACCCACCCTAATCCACTATGACCTCATCTTGAAGTAATTACATCTGCAATGCCTCTATTGCCAAATAATTTCACATTCTGAGGTATTAGGGGCTAGAACTTCAACCTGTTAATTGGGGATGAGGTGGAGGTACAATTCAACCCATCATAAAGAGTCACAGCACAAATACCTAAGATTCTGGAGCAAGGTCATGCCTTCTAAGGCAAAAAAACAAAACCCACGTTTCCAAACTCCCAGGTCAGTTACCTCTGCTCTACTGCCACCTCTCCCATAAACTTACTCCTATGGCCTTATAAAAGTTCCCTACAACTAACTGATGGAGACAGAAGAGCCTTGGCCTCTGCACAGATTGGGGATTGGGTCAGTTCAGCATGTTGGCATCTTCCAGAAACAGACTGTTCTTCATTACAGCCCCACTCGCGTTGCCCTGAAGCATACTGGTGAAGAAAAATTATCTCAGTGAGCAATGGTACATTTGGTCACCCATGCCATATTTTGGAGGAGGTAGCCTAAGGTAGGGATATGCATTGACTCCTAGGCAGTGATGAATGGCTTGGCTTGTTGGTTAGGGACCATCTTATTGTTTATGCAATAGGCTTATGAACAGAGACCATGGTAGCAGGGATAGAGGCTGTGCGTGGTCCCAACAATATGGGCTACCTCTTATTTTTCTTTTTTTTTTTTTTTTTTTTTTGAGACGGAGTCTCGCCCTGTTGCCCAGGCTGGAGTGCAGTGGTGTGATCTCAGCTCACTGCAGCCTCCACCTCCCAGGTTCAAGCAATTCTCCTGCCTCAGCCTCCCGAGTAGCTGGGACTACAGGCACACACCACCGTACCCAGGTAATTTCTGTATTTTTAGTTGAGACGGTGTTTCACCATGTTGCTCAGGCTGGTCTCGAACTCCTGAACTTGTGATCCACCCACCTCAGCCTCCCAAAGTGCTGACATTACAGGTGTGAGCCACCGTGCCCGGCCAATATGGTCTACCTCTTACCAAGGCTGATGTAACTCTCACCATGGTGGAGTGTCCAGCCTGCCAGCATTAGAGACCAACACTGAGTCTTAGAGATACCAGCTACCACCAGGTTGAGTGCATCAGATCCCTTTTACCTTGGAATGGGCATCAATTTGTTCTTACCAGAATTGATATATGCTCTAAATGAGCTTGTCTTCCCCAACTACTTTGCCTCCAGCAGCACCACCATCTGAGAGCTTACAGGGTGCCTTATCCATTGACATACCTGAAACTAAGGAACCCACCGATAGCCAAGGAGGTGTGACAGTGAACTCGAAGCTACAAAATTCATGGTGCATACTCATCATCCAGAAGCAGCTAGCCAGATAGGGTTTTGGAATGGCCTGTTGAAGACTGGGCTAAATT
This sequence comes from Homo sapiens, assembly GCF_000001405.40. Lineage (NCBI taxonomy): Eukaryota > Metazoa > Chordata > Mammalia > Primates > Hominidae > Homo > Homo sapiens. Next base: position 99,553,792 of record NC_000007.14, on the reverse strand, counting down.
GCGATTAAGATGTAATGCCTTGCAAAGTTGGGAGCAGTTCTTCAGAATATGGTATATGCGCTGAAATGCATTGGGCCAAAATGGATATATAGTATTGTGTCTCCAGTAGGACTATGTGCATACAGGAGTAGCCTCTATTACTATCACACCCAGCCACTCACCTGTAGAATTTGTGCCTCCTCGCTCCGAAATCTGGAGCCAGCTGGGTTATGATCCTCATTTCCAGGAAGAACATTTCCTCTAGGAAACATTAAATCGTGCCACTGAACTGAAAACAGAATACCACCAGGCCACTTTGAGTTTCTTGTGCCAGTAGGTCCGTAGGCAAAGAAAGGAGTCGTTATAGAGATGCCTACAATTCCTGCCACACACACAACATAAATACAAAATCATATACCCAGTCAACTGCATTCAGTAATCTGCCTTCCTGGACCCTTTAGGCACTTCAGTGTAGGAATGGGGACGGGTGGGGAGGAGAGACTTTAGACAAAGAAGAAAAATACAGTGTGTAGCAATGTAATGACTCTTAGCGATGACTTGGAACCCTGGAAGGAAATATGAGGATGTATCTGGAGGAATAAGTTGAGACTATGATGTCATCACGGAGGACTGTAGGTTAGAAAGCCAGCCAGTGATAAAGGAGCAAAGATTGGATTTGACGGTGCCCTAGGAGGAAAAAAAAAAAAAAAAAAATATATATATATATATATATATATATATATGTGTGTGTATATATATATATGTGTGTGTATATATATATACATGTATATATATGTGTATATATATGTGTGTGTATATATATGTGTGTATATATATATATGGAGCAAAGATGCACTTAAGTGGATTATTGAGAAGACTCGTGGGTAGGTAGAAAATGGCAACCATAGCAAGATCAAACCCCCTAAGGAATGGAGCATTAGTGAGGGTCTAGAAGGTAATTCGGGATACCACGTAATCATAGGCTCTGTATCAGGTAGCCGTTCCTTTTGTAGGCTTTTATCTTATTGGGCTGTACCACAGACTTGCCCAGAACTTTTAGAGTCATGCCCCAGCCATTCAAGGTCTCAGTTACTGTTTTATAAAAGGTGAAGTTATTCTTGATCTAATCATAGAAGCCCTAATTATTACAATAACACTTGGACAGCAAAAACGCCTCAAATTCAACTTATTTCACCGTTGCTAATCTGAAAACTCCCTGGAAACATAAGGCAAACTCAGAATTTTATAACTATCTAGTGTTGGAAAGAACGTCTGTTGCCTATAGATCAAGTATTTGAAAATACTGCCCATTCAACTGGCAATACGTACATAATCAGCGTCTCAAGAGACAATCCCTTCGATTTGTGAAACCATTTATTCTTGATCTTCCTGTCTCCACCCTCGTTTCATTCAGCTCCTCTGCCACAGACAATCACTATTTTTATTGTAACTATTACAATTATTGTCATCAAGAAAAATAGAAGGAACATATAAATATCTGAGCAGGGCGGTATAAAGGGAAATTCATCCCTTTTTCCCCGCCCTGTGCACCTCCTCGGAGCGGACAAGCTGAGGAGCAAGATCCCCAAACCCGAGATTAGAGCCCTACACAGGGATGCAAAGTCCTCCCGCGATCCTAGAGAGGACCCCGAAGCGGAGCGCAGCTCCGGAAGGCGGGTGTGACGCACTTCCGGCTTTTGTGACGCTTTCCCTGGGCTCTGAAGGCCAGGGGGCTTGGATGTGAGTCTAGTGCTCCTGGTCCCCAAAGTCACAACCCCTTCTATCCCAGCATCCCAGACTTCTCCGGGCGGGGACAGAGTTGGACGTGCATGGCTGTGTCCTGCAATCCCCTCGCCACGACCGCCCGGGACGGAGTGGAAGCGGGTCCGTGCCCCCGTTCCTCGCGCCAGCCTCGGCGGTGGCAAGCGCTGTCCCCCAGCAGAGGTGTCCCTGGATACAGGTGGGAAGGGAACGAAGTTTTGGTTTCCGGATTGGAGACACCCCTGGGACTGGAGAGAGGCGGTCTGCGTGTCCCTTCTGGACCCCCAGTCCTGGTGTTTTACCCCAAAGACGCGCGGACAAAATGACCCCAGTCAGATATCTGTGCTCCCCAGTTGTGCCCACTGGTTTTTCTTGTGGTGGGGGCTTTTCTGGTTTCCTGGGTACCCCGAGTTGTAAAATTCTGGCGATCTTACACGATACCAAGTGCCATTGGCCTTATAATTTGTTTTATTCGGATGGGCTCGTTAAGCCAGTGTCCGCGGATGATATGTTCACCCTCAAACCCAGTACCATTATGGTGGTGATTAGAGTGAAGGCCGGGCGCAGTGGCTCACGCCCATAATCCCAGCACTTTGGGAAGCCTAGGCAGGCGAATCGTTTGAGGCCAGGAGTTCTGAGATCAGCCTTGCCAACCTAGAGAAACCCTGTCTCTACTAGAAATACAGAAAATTAGACGTGGCGGCACACGCCTGTAATCCCAGCTGCTTGGGAGGCTGAGGCAGGGGAATCGCTTGAACCCGGGAGGCGGAGGTTGCAGTGAGCCAGGATCGCGTCACTGCACTCCAGCCTGGGAGACAGAGAGAGAGAGTGAGACTCTGTCTCAAAAACAAAAAAAGAGAATGTTTGAAGCCTACTGAATAAAGAAGTGATTTGGATATAATAGGAAAAGCTCATTTACACTTCACCCTTTCCTTTCAAGACTTTAGGAAGGGGTCTTTTTGTTTCTTTGGTTGGTTTTTTTGTTTTTGAGACAGAGTCGCCCAGGCTGGAGTGCAGTGGTGCGATCTCGGCTCACTGCAACCTCCAGCGCCCGAGTTCAAGCTTCTCCTGCCTCAGCTTCCTGAGTAGCTGGAATTACAGGCGCCTGCCACCATGCCCGGCTAATTTTTGTACTTTTAGTAGAGACGGGGTTTCGCCATGTTGGCCAGGCTGGGAAAATGAACTCCTGACCTCAGGTGATCCGCCCGCCTCGGCCTCCCAAAGTGCTGCAATTACAGGGGTCAGCCACCACGCCCTGCCAGGAAGGGTTTTAAATGAGCAATTTCGGACATGGGGGGTTTTCAGTTGTGGGAGGTATCTATGCTTGACATCGAGGGATAAAGGAGAGAAGGGAATTTGTGGACGGTGCAGCGGACCATTGGGGACTGGTACCAGTTCTGCCATTGATGTTCTTGGATGAAACACATAGACCCACCAAGTCTCAAATGTGTCCTAAGTAAAGTAAAATAGATTATCTCAAGGTCTCTTCCAATTTTGGAATCTGCCGATAGACTGAATTTAACATTCAGCTAAGCAAAACCTATGGCCCCACATTCATTTCCATTTGTGCCACCAACATACAGAAAGTTACTTGCATTATTGAGAGAGGCTAAGTGACACAGTACCAAAGAAAAGGGGTTCGTTGGCCAGGTGCTGTGGCTCAGGCTTGTAATCCCAGCACTTTGGGAGGCCGAGGTGGGTGGATCACGAGGTCAGGAGTTTGAGACTAGCCTGGCCAACACAGTGAAACCCCGTATCTACTAAAAAGACAAAAATTAGCTGGGCCTGGTGTTGGGCGCCTATAATCCCAGCTACTCGGGAGGCTGAGGCGGAAGAATCACTTGAACCCTGGAGGCGGAGGTTGCAGTGAGCTGAGATCGTGCCACTGCAGTCCAGCCTCAGCAACAGAGCTAGACTCCGTCTCAAAAAAAAAAGGGGGGGGTTCATTTAGTAAAGTCAGGTAATAACTTTTTTTAAGTTTTTTTTTATTATTTACTTTTTTTTATTATACTTTAAGTTCTAGGGTACATGTGCACAATGTGCAGGTTAGTTACATATGTATACATGTGCCATGTTGGTGTGCTGCACCCGTTAACTCATCATTTACATTAGGTATATCTCCTAATGCTATCCCTCCCCACTTCCCCCACCCCATGACAGGCCCCACTGTGTGATGTTCCCCACCCTGTGTCCAAGTGTTCTCATTGTTCAGTTCCCACCTGTGAATGAGAACATGCAGTGTTTGGTTTTCTGTCCTTGCGATAGTTTGCTCAGAATGATGGTTTCCAACTTCATCCATGTCCCTACAAAGGACATAAACTCATCCTTTTTTATGGCTGCATAGTATTCCATGGTGTATATGTGCCACATTTTCTTAATCCAGTCTATCATTGATGGATGTTTGGGTTGGTTCCAAGTCTTTGCTATTGTGAATAGTGCCGCAATAAACATACATGTGCATGTGTCTTTATAGCAGCATGATTTATAATCCTTTGGGTATATACCCAGTAATGGGATGGCTGGGTCAAATGGTATTTCTAGTTCTAGATCTTTGAGGAATCGCCACACTGTCTTCCACAGTGGTTGAACTAGTTTACAGTCCCACCAACAACGTAAAAGTATTCCTATTTCTCCACATCCTCTCCGGCACCTGTTGTTTCCTAAGTCAGGTAATATCTTTAAATCCACTAAACTCACATGAATGGTGAAATATTGCAGTGTACTAAAAGCAAACAAACAAATGAGGGTGTTTTGTCAATCGCATGTGTTGTGGAAATCTCATTCTCCCTCCAGAATAATTCATGGATCTATGTAACATGAACATGTTTCAATATTCATAATACTGAATAATTATGCAGCTTAATTTCTTATTTTTAAGAAATACAAGTTCTCATTTTTTTCCCTATGCCCCAGTGGATCATCTTGTGTACCCTATGTACCCTACCTGATGGTTTTTTTTGTTTTTTGTTTTTTGTTTTTTTTTTTTGAGACAGCGTCTTGCTCAGTTGCCCAGGCGTGGTGGCACATGGCCTGTAATTCCAGCTACTTGGGAGGCAGAGGCAGGAGAATCACTTTAACCTGGGAAGTGGAGGTTGCAGTGAGCCGAGATCGTGCCCTTGCACTCCAGCCTGGGCAACAAGAGCGAAACTCCATCTCAAAAAAAAAAAAAAAAAAAAGAATGACCAGATCACTTTTTAGAGTTGGCAGTGTAGCAGCATATTTAGGACACTCGCTTCAGACTTGGATTTGAGTGCTGGTTCTATACTTACTGTGGGTTGTTAGACACATTTAATCTTTCTGAACTTTTATTTTTCATCTGTAATATAAGAATAGTAATTATGTGAACCTCATTAGGTTTCCCTGGGTATTAAATGAGTGGTGTATATAGTACACCAAATCTCCCTGACACACAGCCAACATGAATGACAGTTGCTCATCATTTACCATGTCACACCACTAGATTTAGTGAATTGTTTTGTATGAGTTGTTAGCCCAGCAATACCATGTTGCTTTTTAATACTGCTGTTACGTTTTTCTACCCTGCAGGATAGCAAAACCTGATCTCATAAAACCTAGGTCACAAAGGACAGCCCTGCAAAACAGACCCTATTTGGATCAAGTGAGCCAGTTCCTGGAACCTGAATAATGACTCCTGAATCAAGGGATACTACAGATTTGTCTCCAGGGGGTACCCAGGAGATGGAAGGCATCGTGATAGTGAAGGTGGAGGAGGAAGATGAAGAAGACCATTTTCAAAAGGAAAGAAACAAAGTAGAGTCATCGCCACAAGTTCTCAGTCGCTCTACAACTATGAATGAGAGAGCCTTATTGTCATCGTATTTAGTTGCATATAGAGTGGCAAAAGAGAAAATGGCTCACACAGCGGCTGAAAAAATTATCCTTCCAGCATGTATGGACATGGTACGGACAATTTTTGATGACAAATCAGCTGATAAACTAAGAACTATACCTCTTAGTGATAATACAATATCTCGTCGAATCTGTACGATTGCAAAACATTTGGAAGCAATGCTTATTACACGGCTGCAGTCCGGTATAGACTTTGCAATCCAACTCGATGAGAGCACTGATATTGCAAGTTGTCCCACACTCTTGGTTTATGTCAGATATGTGTGGCAAGATGATTTTGTAGAGGATCTCTTATGTTGTTTAAATTTAAATTCACATATAACTGGATTAGATTTATTTACTGAATTAGAAAACTGCCTTCTTGGTCAGTATAAATTAAACTGGAAACATTGTAAAGGAATTTCAAGTGATGGAACAGCAAATATGACCGGAAAACACAGCAGACTTACTGAAAAATTGTTAGAAGCAACCCACAACAATGCTGTTTGGAATCACTGTTTTATTCATCGAGAAGCTTTGGTATCCAAAGAAATTTCACCAAGTCTGATGGATGTATTGAAAAATGCAGTGAAAACTGTTAATTTTATTAAAGGAAGCTCACTGAATAGCCGACTTCTCGAAATATTTTGTTCAGAGATTGGAGTGAACCACACCCACTTATTGTTTCATACAGAAGTTCGTTGGCTTTCTCAAGGAAAAGTATTGAGCAGAGTATATGAACTCAGGAACGAGATTTACATTTTTCTCGTTGAAAAGCAATCTCATTTGGCAAATATTTTTGAAGACGACATTTGGGTAACAAAATTGGCATATTTAAGTGATATTTTTGGCATTCTTAATGAATTAAGCCTGAAAATGCAGGGGAAAAACAATGATATATTTCAGTATCTTGAACATATTCTAGGATTCCAAAAGACGTTATTATTGTGGCAAGCAAGACTTAAAAGTAACCGCCCTAGCTACTATATGTTTCCAACATTATTGCAACACATCGAAGAGAACATTATTAATGAAGACTGCTTAAAAGAAATAAAATTAGAGATATTGTTGCATCTCACTTCTTTGTCTCAAACTTTTAATTATTACTTTCCGGAAGAGAAATTTGAATCATTAAAGGAAAATATTTGGATGAAAGATCCATTTGCTTTTCAAAACCCAGAATCAATAATTGAGTTAAACTTGGAGCCTGAAGAAGAGAATGAATTATTGCAGCTCAGTTCATCATTCACACTAAAGAATTATTATAAGATATTAAGTTTATCAGCATTTTGGATTAAGATTAAAGATGACTTTCCACTGCTAAGTAGGAAGAGTATATTGCTGTTACTACCATTCACAACTACATATTTGTGTGAACTAGGATTTTCAATCTTGACACGGTTAAAAACAAAGAAGAGAAATAGGCTCAATAGTGCACCAGATATGCGGGTAGCATTATCTTCATGTGTTCCTGACTGGAAGGAACTTATGAACAGACAAGCACACCCATCACATTAAATACAAACTTTACAAAATTCTGTGTATAGCCAGGTGTGGTGGCTTACGCCTGTAATCCCAGCAGTGGGAGACCGAGGTGGGCAGATCACTTGAGTTCAAGACCAGCCTGGCCAACATGGTGAAACCCCATCTCTACTAAAAATAGAAACCTTAGCCAGGCGTGGTGGCACATGCCTGCAGTCCCAGTTACTTGGGTGCCTGAGGCAGGAGAATCTCTTAAACCAGGAAGGCAGAGATTGCAGTGAGCTGAGATAATCCCACTGCATTCCAGCCTGGGCAACAGCGTGAGACTTCATCTCAAAAAAAAAAAATTGTATTTGTACTTTTAAAGGGATTTTGCAGTATGTTGTAGTTAAACGTTAATAAAATTATATTTGTAATTAGGATTTTATTTTTCTACATAGTATGTTTCATGAAACTCATTTCAGTTACATGAATGTGTGTATGTGTACAAGGTTATTATATAAAATATATGTCCTGTGAATTATTGTCAAGAATTTTGAAAACTAAGAGGCCAGCACAGTGGCTCACACCTGTAATCCCAGCACTTCGGGAGGCCAAGGTGGGTGGATTGCTTGTGCCCAGGAGTTTTGAGACCAGCCTGGGCAACACATTGAAATCCCGTCTCTACAAAAAATACAAAAATTTGGCCAGGCTTGGTGGTGTGCACCTGTAGTACCAGCTACTTGGGAGGCTGAGGTGGGAGGATCACTTGAGCCCAGTAGGTCGAGGCTACAGTGAGCTGTGATCGTGCAACTGCACTCTAGTCTGAGCAACAGAGCAAGACCCTGTCTTGAAAAAAAAATTTTTTTTAAATACTGCTTTTTTTTTTTTTTTTTTTTTTGAAGACAGAGTTTCACTCTTACTGCCCAAGCTGGAGTGCAGCGGCACAATCTTGGTTCACTGCAACCTCCGCCTCTGGGGTTCAAGCAATTCTTCTGCCTCAGCCTCCCAAGTAGCTGGGATTACAGGCACGTGCCACCATGCCCAGCTAATTTTTTTTGTATTTTTAGTAGAAACAGGGTTTCACCGTGTTAGCCAGGCTAGTCTCAAACTCCTGACCTCAGATGATCCACCCACCTCAGCCTCCCAAAGTGCTGGGATTGCAGGCATGAGCCACCAGGCCTGGCCTAAATAGCGCTTTTAACACTTACTTTTATACTCAAATCTGTTCCCCTGTCCACCGCCATCGCCTTGCTTCCTCTTTTCCATCAGAGCCTTGTTGATGTTCTGTTACTCCCTGTCTATGTGCTTTTCCTTTTTTGTTCTAATTCCAGGAAATGAGTCTTTTTTTTTTTTTTTTTTTTTTGAGATGGAGTTTCACTCTTGTTGCCCAGGCTGGAGTGCAGTGGTGCAACCTCGGCTTACTACAATGTCCACCTCCCGGATTCAAGGGGTTCTCCTGCCTCAGCCTCCCGAGTAGCTGGGATTACAGGTGCCCACCACCACACCCGGCTAATTTTTTGTATTTTTAGTAGAGACGGGGTTTCACCATTTTGATCAGTCTGTTCTCGAACTCCTGACCTTAGGTGATCCACCCACCTCAGCCTCCCAAAGTGCTGATATTACAGGCGTGAGCTACCACACACCACCGGAAGTGAGTCTTAATGCCAGTCTTGGTTTAACAATATGCTGGGTTTTTTTAGATGGGCATGTGTTATAATTCAGCTAATGAGACATTTAGGCCATCTATCGGGATATTTCTGTGACTTCCCCTGTTCTCAAAAAGGATACAAGAGGCCAGGTGCAGTGGCTCCCACCTGTAATCTCAGCACTTTGGGAGGCCGAAGCAGGTGGATCACTTGATGTCAGGAGTTTGAGACCAGCCTGGCCAACATGGTGAAACCCCATCTCTACTAAAAAAAAATACAAAAATTAGCTGGGTGTGGTGGTGTGTGCCTGTAATCTCAGCTACTTGGGAGGCTGAGGCAGGAAAATCGCTTGAACCTGAGAGGGAGAGGTTGCAGTGAGCAGAGATTGTGCCACTGCACTCCAGCCTGGGCAACAGAACGAGACTCTGTCTCAAAAAAAAAAAAAAAAAAAAAGGCCAGACACGGTGGCTCACACCCATAATCCCAGCACTTTGGGAGGCCAAGGCGGGCAGATCATGAGGTCAAGAGATAGAGACCATCCTGGCTAACATGGTGAAACCCTGTCTCTACTAAAAATACAAAAAAGTTAGCTGGGTGTGGTGGCGCATGCCTATAATCTCAGCTACTTGGGAGGCTGAGGCAGGAGAATTGCTTGAACCCGGGAGGCGGAGGTTGCAATGAGCGGAGATCACACCACTGCACTCCAGCCTGGCAACAGAGCGAGACTCCTCAAAAAAAAAAAAAAAAAAAAAAAAAAAATCAGGACACAAGAAAGAAGATAGTGATGATGGTGATTTGTTTGTTTGTTTGTTTGTTTCAGAGAGGGTCTAATTCCATCACTCAGCTGGAATGCACTTTGCAATCACGGCTCACTGCAGCCTCCTCCAGGCTCAAGTGATCTTCCTGCCTCATAGTTTTTATTTTTTTGTAGAGACGGGTCTCACTGTGTTGCCCAGGCTGTCCTTGAACTCCTGGCCTCAGGTGGTCCTCCTGCCTCAGCCTCCAGAAGTGCTGGAATTACAGACGTGAGCCACTGAGCCTGGCCTGAAATCCAATTTTTAATGTTGCCTCAAAGATACCGAAAACATAGTGAGGGACAAATGGCACGTCTGTTGGACACATCAGACAGTGGCCATCGATTTGCTAGTTTAGCCATTCACTGGGGTACAAGGTGAAGCCTGAAGTTTTCCAAACTTCAAACTTGAAGTTAAAGTGCTTCTATCCACTTCCAGGGGTTGGTGCCCCTGTGCCAGACAGAGCAAACGGGAGGTAGCTGCTCTTCAACCCCTTTCTCCTTTTCCTAGGCCCTCTGCAGCCCCACCACACTTGGTCCCCACGCTGACCGGCTAAGGGTGTGTTGAGCCCGCCTGAGGCCCAAGCCTTCCCTCTGCCCAGAGCTGGGGACTCCTGGCCAATGGGCACTCCAGCTCACAGACCCTCGGTATTAGGTGGCTCCTTCATAGACCACGGACAGAGCCTGGGCTGCAGAACAGAACCCACACCCGGGCGCAAACCACAACTCAGGGCTGCTTCCTGGGATAGCGAAGAAAGGCTTTGGGAGTGGGCGGACCGAGGGCGCAGGGCGCTTCTCCTCCAGGTCCTCGGCTCGGCCACCCCGGTCCGGCAAATGGCGGAACAGACCCAGCCTGCCCTTCACTGAGCGCCACTGGTTGCTGGTGCCCCTGCCTCGGCCACAGTCGCGATCTCGGAAAATCCAGAGCCAGAACTGTAGTTATACAGAAGACTCCAGTGCTCCATACCCACCCTGGGTGGCAAGGCCTGCAGGTGAGCATTGTGAGCATGCGGTTGGCGCCTGCAGTGAACACCTCCGTCCCCCATCCTGGGTGCCTCGTGCGCACGCCCTACCCAACAGCCTCGCCCAGGCGCGCGCGGAGTCTGGAGCGTGGGACACAAGCAAAAGGGACGGTGAGGCACCTGGACCCCGACCCGGAGATGCTGAAATTAGGGTTTTTGACTTGGGACAGGTGGAATTGGAGTTAGAAGGTGAGTGTTAGCAGAAAGTCCCATAGACAGGAGTCAGGAGACCCAAGTTAGTCGTGGGACTGTCACTCCCTAACCGAAGTGGCCTAAGATTTCTGTGAGGCTATACTTTTTTTTTCTTTCTTTTTTTTTTTTTTGGCGGGGCCTGGGGTGGGAGGATGGCAGACAGATCCTTTCTCTGGTGCCCAGGTTGGCATGATCACAACTCACTGCAGTCTCAACCTCCAAGGCTCAAGTGATCCTCCCACCACAGCCTCCTGGGACTATAGGCGTATGCCACCCCACTAATTTTGGTATGTTTTGTAGCAATGGGGTCTCACTGTGTTGCCCAGGCTGTTCTTGAACTCCTGGGCTCAAGCAGTCCTCCCACCTCGGCCTCCTAAAGTGCTAGGATTACAGGCCTGAGCCGCTGTGCCCAGCCCCCAGTCTTTTTCTAACACTCTTTTCTACATGGATGAAAAATACCTATTGATAAATAAACACATATATGATAGTACCTACCTAATGCAGTTACTGTGTGAAATAACTGAATTAATACATGTAATGCACTTAGGAGACTGCCTGATGTTTAGTAAGTGCTACACAAGTAATAAATAAATGTTAAAAGAGGCTTATAAATGAGTAATTTCAATTAAATGAGGGACTGTAGAGAAGACTGGCGAAGAATTAAGCACAAAGGTCTTTGTAGAGGAAGTAAATACATGGCAGGCTGTAAAATGATCATTCACAAGCAGTTCAGGCCAGGTGTGGTGGCTCACGCCTGTAATTCCAGCACTTGGGGAGGCCAAAGTGGGAGGATCAGTTGAGGTCAGGAGTTCAAGACCAGCCTGGCCAACATGGTGAAACCCCATCTCTACTGAAAATAAAAAATTAGCTGGTCATGGTGGCAGGCACCTGTAGTCCCAGCTATTTGGGAGGCTGAGGCAGGAGAATCACTTGAACCCAGGAGGCAGAGGTTTCAGTGAGCCAAAATCAAGCCCCTGCACTCTAGCCTGGGCGACAGAGCAAGACTCCATCTCAAAAAAAAAAAAGTTAGCCGAGGGCTGTGGCAGGCACCTGTAATCCCGGCTACTTGGGAGGCCGAAGTGGGAGAATCGCTTGAACCTGGGAGGCAGAGGTTGCAGTGAGCTGAGATCATGCCTCTACACTCCAGCCTGGGCAACAGAGACTCCATCTCAAAAAAAAAAAAAAAAAGAAGCAGTCCATATGAGCCTATGAAAAACACCTTGCTCGGGTTGTTTCGACAGAGTCACCCAAAGCTACCTTCCTTCTAGCTTTGCCTTTGAGCTCTGTAAATTACTTCAAAGAAACTTACACTTAATCTAATGCAATTGTTCCTGTTATTTTTTTTCCCGGTTCCACACCCTATTTTAAGTCTAACACCTTCACTTTGTACTTTTGCCTTTGGATTCTAATGTGAAGAAGGAAAAGGCCTTCAATGCAGAAAATGGTGAAAAAAAAAATACCTGCCAGGACATTATAAGGAGAAACCAAAAAATAAACTGGCCATGGTTTTGCAAGGTGGGCAAAGCCAGGAAGAGGAGATCGGGAGAGAGAGGTCCGATGTGAAGATGTGCACAGAGATGTCTGGAAAATAAGCCCAGAAAAAATAGTCTTCATAACCCATATAGGGGAAAGTGGAAAAAAACTTGGGCAGAGTTCTAACGTGGTGTGTCATCACAAGACACATGCCAGAGAGAAGCCCTACCAGTGTAAAGAATGTAGGCCAGGCGCAGTGGCATCCCAGCACTTTGGGAGGTCAAGGCAGGTGGATCACGAGGTCAGGAGATCGAAACCACCCTGGCTAACACGGTGAAACCCCCGTCTCTACTAAAAATACAAAAAAAATATCCGGGCATGGTGGCAGGTGCCTGTAGTCCTAGCTACTCGAGAGGCTGAGGCAGGAGAATGGCATGAACCTGGGAGGCGGAGCTTGCAGTGAGCCAAGATCGCACCACTGCACTCCAGCCTGGGTGACAGAGCGAGACTCCGTCTCAAAAAAAAAAAAAAAAAAGAATGTAGGAAAAGCTCCAGCCAGAGCAGAGCTGAAAGTGCATACCCAGGAGAGGCCCCAAACATGTGGCAAGTGCAAGAAGAGCTTTAGTTCTGGCTCGGACCTCACCATGAATTGCACCAGGGAGAGGTGATATCATTGCCTTGACTGTGAGAACACTTTACATGCACCACTGGGATGGTGCATGGAAGAATCCACACTGAAACAAAACTGTAACATGTAGTGAGAGTGGCAGAAGCTTCAGGCCAAGCTCAGCTCTCATCACCACCAGGTAGCTCCACTGAAGAGCAATTCCACCCTTACGGCGAGTGTGGGAAAAGCTTCACGTCAAGCTCATGCTTCACTGTGCACCAAGAATCCGCCTGGGGAGAGACCCTACAGTGTAATGGGTGTGAAAAGGCTTCCAGCCTCAGCATGACATTTGTGGTAGACAGAAGAGAAGCCCTGTAAATCCTGGAGGTGGGAAAGTTTGGGCCACAGCATTAGCTTAATTTTACATTATAGAATCTACCTGAGAGATAAACCTTACGAGTGTCATGCATGGGAGAAGAGATTTGGTGGAGACCTCATCTTTTAAGATGCCAGAAAACCCACATCTCAGGAGTGACGTGACAGAGAAAAGCTCTAAAAGACTAGGTTTCTGGCCGGGCACGGTGGCTCACGCCTGTAATCCCAGCACTTTGGGAGACCGAGGCGGGCGGATCATGAGGTCAAGAGATCGAGACCATCCTGGCTAACACAGTGAAACCCTGTCTCTACTAAAAGTACAAAAAATTAGCTGGGTGTGGTGGCGGGTGTCTGTAGTCCCAGCTACTCGGGAGGCTGAGGCAGGAGAATGGCATGAACCCAGGAGGTGGAGCTTGCAGTGAGCCAAGATCATGCCACTGCACTCCAGCCTGGGCGACAGTGCAAGACTCCGTCTCAAAAAAAAAAAAAAAAAAAAGGACTCGGTTTCTGCTGGGGTCAGTGGCTATCACATGTAATTCCAGCACTTTCAGAGGTCAAAATGGGAGGATCACTTGAGGCCAGGCGTTCAAGACTAGCCTGAGCAACATAGCAAGACCTCAACTCTACAAAAAATTTTAAAAATTAGGAAGGCTCAGTGGTGCACCCATAGTCCTTGCTATTCAGGAGGCTGAGGCAAGAGGATCACCTGAGCCCAGGAGTTCAAGGCTGCAGTGAGCTGTGATTGTGCCACTGTACTCCAGCCTGGGCAACAGGGAAAGACCCTGTCTCGGGAAAAAAAAAAAAAAAAAAAGACTAGATTTCCTTGGTCATAAGCAACAATACCCAGCAAAGGATAGAAACCACTATTCCAAAGCTGTGTGTCTTGTGAATAAAATACCACATGAGCGAAGACATGTGGTGTTTTCCTTCACCCCAGGGTTAATTACATGGTGTTGAATAGATAGCCCAGGCAGGGGAGAGAGTGTGTGTTTTCACTTCCCATGTCCTATCTTCACATGTCAGCCAGTGGAAAAAATACTGAGCAAGGGTCAGGGATGTCGAGACCAAGGGAAGATTCCCTGATAGGAAGGGACATAACCCTTGAAATATAACAGCGTTATCTAAGCCACAAATGCTGATTTTAGGGTGACCTCTGAGAGTTTTCTCTTGACCTCCACTCATCACTCTTTGGCTTTATTTGCTGGCCCTGGCTAAGCACGTGGGCTCCCTCAGGGAAATATCATCGAGGTTAACAATCATGCTTAGGTTTTTAAGAAATACAAGAGTTTTCTGTACTAGTACTGAATGATTATTATGTAGAGAATGTATATCATCAAAGCAAAAGGGAAAAAAATAAGGCCGGGCGTGGTGGCTCATGCCTGTAATTCCAGCACTTTGGGCAGCTGAGGCAGGTGGATCACCTGAGGTCAGGAGTTCAAGACCAGCCTGGCAAACATGGTGAAACCCCATCTCTACCAAAAAATACAAAAATTAGCTGGGCGTGGTGATGGGTGCCTATAGTCCCAGCTACTCGGGAGGCTGAGGCAGGAGAATTGCTTGAACCCAGGAAGTGGAGATTGCAGTGAGCTGAGATCATGCCACTGCACTCCAGCCTGGGGGACAGAGTGAGACCCTGTCTCAAAAAACAGGAAAAAAGGTAATTTTCTTCCCTCTTTTTTATTATTACTTTGAGCTGCCAAAGTACTTTTTTTTTCTTTTTGCCTACTTTCTCATTTGTAGTGCAGACTCTGTAAACCTGCCTTTTCCCCACTCTCTAACATGCCATCCATGCCTGGTAATGCTTTGGTGTTCTCTTACTTTAGGTATGATTGTTTTCACTACCCCCAGTGCTCCTAATGCAATTCCCCTCAGCCAGTTTTTCCTCTATGTCCCTTCTTTTGGAATTTTCAGATAGCCCTAGTGGGTCCACAGACATTCTGAGATTGTGCATCAGACTCAAAATATGGACTTTTCTGGGGGAAAGGCCAGTGGATTTCAACAGAGTCTAAGAAGGCTACCTTATCCCCAAAATGTTAAGACCAATTGCTTTAGGAAGTCTTTAATGTTCTTATGGGTTTTTCTTCCTAAAGAGACAGCAGTGCCAGGTGTTAGCAGCTCATGCCTGTAGTCCCAACACTTTGGGAGGCCGAAGTGGGCTGAAGTCAGAGGATCGCTTGATCTGTTGCCCAGGAGTTTGAGATGAGCCTAGGCAACATGGCAAAACCCCATCTCTACGAAAATGCAAAAATCAGCCAGGCACGATGGTGTGCGCCTATGGACCCAGCTACTCAGGAGGCTGAGGTGGAAGGATTGCTTGAGGTCAGGAGTTAAGAGACCAGCCAGGGCAACATGTGAGAGCCCGTCTCCTCACACAAAAAAATTAAAAATGATGGTGAGCACCAAGAATGATGGTGAGCACCTGTAGTCCCTGCTGCTCAGGAGGTCAAGGTGGGAGGATCACTTGAGCCCAGGAAGTCGAGGGTATAGTGAACCATAGTCACACCATTGCACTCCAGCCTGGGTGACAGTGTGAGACTCTGTCTTAACAACAACAACAAAAAAAGCAGATTTTAATCATTTCCCCCTTTTTCACTTTTAACAAATGGAAATAACTCAATGTAAAAATTAACTGTTTCATATTCCAATTGATCGCCTTAGAGCTATACTGTTCCATCGGTGTCAGGTTCACGACTACGCCAACTGTCATGCCCAGGGTCAGGTTCCAACTCATGCTGAGGTCCAAAGGGAGTGAGTGGATGAGCAGATAGCTGAAAACACTCAGGGGGCCGTAGGCAGGTGAAATGTAGTTTTATTTAGCAGCTCTCATCAGCAGCTCACTTACACTAGTTCTCTTATACTGTCCGCCTTGTCTCGGCTGCTTAGTCAGGTGGCTCCCACACACAGCTGTGCGGCTGGCTCTTCAATACCAGCTACTTAGGAGGCTGAGGCAGGAGAATCGCTTGAACTCAGGAGGCAGAGGTTGCAGTGAGCCGAGATCGCACCACTGCACTCCAGCCTGGGCGAGAGAGTAAGACTCCACCTCAAAAAAAAAAAAAAATCCTTAATTTGCTAATATTCACAAAGGAGAATACACTTGTGCATTCATTTCCCAGGTCTGCTGTAACAAAGTACCACAAACTGGGTGGTTTAAAACAATAAAAATGTATTGTCTCTCAGTACTGGAGTTTAGAAGTCAGAAACTAAGGTGTCAGCAGGTCTATCCCTGAAACTTGCAAGGGAAACCTTGGCTCTTCATAGCTTCTGGTGGTTTGCTGGCAATCTTTGGCATTCCTTGGCTTGCAGCTGCATAACCCCAGTCTCTGCCCTTGCCATCACGTGACCTTCTCTCTTGTGTGCCTGTGTCCACACAGTCAGCTTCTCATAAGGACATCAGTCACTGGATTAGGGGCTCATCCCATCCCAGTAAGATCTTGTCTTTTTTTTTTTTTTTTTTTGAGACAGAATCTCACTCTGTTGCCCAGGCTGGAGTGCAGTGGCGCGATCTCAGCTCGCTGCAACCTCCGCCTCCCAGGTTCAAGCGATTCTCCCTGCCTCAGCCTCCAGAGTAGCTGGGTTCAAGCGATTCTCCCTGCCTCAGCCTCCAGAGTAGCTGGGATTACAGGCGCCCGCCACGCCCAGCTAAGTTTTGTATTTTTAGTAGAGTCGCGGTTTCACCATATTGGCCAGGCTGGTCTCGAACTCCTGAACTCAAGTGATCCACCTGCCTCGGCCTCCCAAAGTGCTGGGATTACAGGTATGAGCCACCATGCCCGACCGAGACCTTGTCTTAACTAATTATATCTGCTATGGTTCTATCTCCAATAAGGTCACATTCTGAGGTACTAGGGGCTGGGACTTCAATAATTCCTTCTGGCTGGGGAGAAGTGGAGAACACAGTTTATGACAACTTGTAATTTGCACCTATCTAATCACACCAAACAGATCTGAAAGAGTTGTCAAAAAGAGGCTAATATCCTGATAAGGGACGGCCAATATGAATTTATACGAAACATGGTAAGAAGGGGCATAGTTTGGCTTCAAGCCAAACTTGAAGTAAAGTAGGACTTCATTTTTAAGGAGGCAAAAATTCCTGTTGAAAGTCTTTGCTTTCACCTTCACCCCAATGGTTTTTTTTTTTCTTATTTTTCTTTTTCTTTCCTTCTTTTTTTTTTTTTGACGGAGTCTTACTCTGTCGCCCCGGCTGGAGTGCAGTGGCATGATCTCGACTCACTGCAACCTCTACCTGCCAGGTTCAAGCGATCCTCCCACCTCACCCTCTTGATTAGCTGGTAATACAGGCGCCTGCCACTACACCCAGCTAATTTTTTGTATTTTTAGTAGGGATGGAGTTTCACCACGTTGGCCACACAGTCAGCTTCTCATAAGGACACCAGTCACTTTGGATTAGGGGCTCATCCCATCCCAGTAAGACCTCATCTTCTTTTTTTTTTTCATCAGTTCAAGACTGATGGTCCTCACTCTCGACCTCAAGTGATCCACATGCCTCGGCCTCCCAAAGTGCTGCGATTACAGGCATGAGCCACTGTGCCTGGCCCACCCCAATGTTTTAAAGAGACTGGGCACAATGCTGCAGAAGAATTCTGAAACACTATTCCATTATTTCATTTATTTATTTATTTATTTGCAATAGGGTCTTGCTCTGTTGCCCAGGCTAGCGTGCAGTGGTGTGATCATAGCTCACTGCAGCCTTTAATTCCTGGGCTCAAGTGATCCTCCCACCTCAGCTTCCCAAGTAACTAGGTCCAGATGCATGCAGCATCACACCCAACTAATCTATTTTATTTTTTGTAGACGGTGGGGCACTGGCAGAGTAGGGAGGATCTCACTATGTTGCCCAGGCTGATCTTGAATTCCTGGGCTCAAGCAATCCTCCTGCCTTGGCCTCTCAAGATGCTGGGATTACAGGCATGAGCCACAGTGCCTGGCCTTATTCTGCCTATTAAAGACAGCACCTTTTAATGGCTGTTGGTTTAAAGAGTGTATGAACCAAGCATGATGGCTCATGCCTATAATCCCAACATTTTTAGGAGGCAGAGACAGGAGTATTCCTTGATCCCAGGAGTTCAAGACCAGCCTGGGCAACATAGTGAGACCCCATCTCTACCAAAAATAGAAAATAAATAGCCTGGTGCTGTGGCCCATGTCTGTAATGCCAGCACTTTGGGAGGCTGAGACGGGTGGACTGCTTGAGCTCAGGAGTTTGAGACCAGTCCAGGCAACATGGCAAAACCCTGTCTCTACCAAAAATACAAAAATGAACCACGTATGGTGGCACATGCCTCTGGTCCCAGCTACTTGGGAGGCTGAGGTGGGAGGATCGCTGGCACCCGGGAAGTTGAGGCTGCAGTGAGCTGTAATCATGCCACTCCACTCCAGCCTGGGTGACAAAGCGAGACCCTGTCTCAAAAAACAAAAAACAAACAAACAATGGTCCCCATGGCCACATGCCCACTGCTGCACCTCTGGCTGTAATGTGAATGGTCTGGGGTGATGTTATATAATAACCAGCCCCTGCAAACCAGGATAGCCACTACCAAGCTTCTCAGTGATGCTGATGGCCCCCCAACCAGGGCATTCCTTGGAACCTTGGTAAACAGAATGCTCTCCAGACCCTCCTAAGGAACATAACTGAAGGTGGGTTGCTTGGTCTTATCTTCTAGTTCCATCCTAGTTTGTGTATGTATGAATCTTTGGATCCCTTTGTTAAGTCTGCCATGGTTTTGTCATCTCTACGTCATTTAATGTGGGCCACTGACTTTTCTAAGCTTTCAAGAATCACTCCAAGGCCAGGTGCAGTAGCTCATGCCTGTAATCCCAACATTTGGGAGGCCAAGGCTGGAGGATCACTTGAGCCCAGGAGTTCGAGACCACTCTGGGCAGCATAGGGAGATACCATCTCTCCAAAAAATGTTTTTTTTTTTTTTTTTTTTTTTTTTAGACACTGTCGCTCTGTCAACTGGGCTAGAGTGCAGTGGCGTGATCTCAGCTCACTGCAACCTCTGCCTCCCGGGTTCAAGCGATTCTCCTGCCTCAGCCTCTGGAGTAGCTGGGACTATAGGCATGCGCCACTATGCCCAGCTAATTTTTGTATTTTAAGTAGAGACCGGGTTTCACCATGTTGGTTGGCCAGGATGGTTTCGATCTCTTGACCTCGTGATCTGCCCGCCTCAGCCTCCCAAAGTGCTGGGTTTATAGGCATGAGCCACCGCGCCCAGCTAAAGTATGTTTTTTAAAAATTAGCCACTCATGGTGGCATGTGCCTGTAGTCCCAGCTATTCAGGAGGCTGAGGTGGCTAGACCACTTGAGCCCGGGAGGTCAAGGCTGCAGTGAGCTGTGATTGCACCACTGCACTCTAGCCTGGGCAGCAGAGCAAGACCCTGTCTATAAAAAAATTAAAAAGCTACCAAGAAGGTCCTCTGACACACACTTGGCATTAAATTGGTGGTTATTTGCCCTGTCATTTTCTTCTCTTCAAGGATTCAGTGACTTTCAGCAAGAGCCACCCAATTCCATAATCTTTATTTTCCTGTTTGTCCCAAACCTCTACAAGTCAATAGATCGCTTTCCACCTGTATCTCATCCCAGTTCCCCACAAGTGAATGACTTAGTGACTGGACAGGTACCACATGCCAGGACTATTAACAGTGATGCGGGTCTTCACTCCCTCCTGGCGAGTGACCAACTCCACAATCCACTCTCACAGCAGCTTCCTATGACCACTTGTGGCACCAAATGTCTTAGATCAGGTTCTCTAAAGCAGAGCCTGAGACAGGGATTCAGAACCATGTGATTGACAGTGTGATTTATTTGGGAAACGCCTTTGAGGGAGGGAATGAAACAGGATAGAGAAGGGAGAGAGCTTAGCACGGATGAAGGCTCAGAAAAAGTCTAGCTTGGCCTGATCCAAGGGTGCCAGAGCAGTCATAGCACCCTGGAGTTTTCTCCGCTTTAATCAAATGAACCAGGTGTTGGGGTGTAGAGAGGAAGTGACTCCTGGGTGAGGTGAGATGGCTCTCATCTCCTGAGGGCAATTCTCCAGTTTCTGGAGAACAAGAGCTGTGAGCACTTGCAGCCCAAACTCAGAGCAGCTGGGGATGGGGGTCTCAGCTTGGTAGAGGGGACTGGACAGGGCACCACAGTGTACAACACATATGGTCAACAAATATTTATTGGGCATTTATTGTAAGCCAGGCAAGTCAGCAGAAACGGCCTGAGCAGTGCCCAAGAGCACTCACTCACTCTCCCTAGCAAACAGGCTCAGAACTCTCTCACACATGTCATCCTCTTTCCCACTCAAAACTCCCACCCCAACCTTCCTGGAAGGCAGGGCTAACAGGACCTCCTGCCTGCCTGCTCACGACTGATTACTTTCAATCCCAGCTGCAATGCAAACTGAAACTCATTCTGTATATCACCACTCTACAGGAGAGGTCTATTTCTGGGGCACCCAGAAGTCAGCACACATACTGCTGGGACCAGGACTCGTAATTCGCCTTGGTCCAACTCCTTCTATGGGTTTAGCTGCCCTCATTCCTGTGGGTAATACAAGATCAAACAGTCCACAACTTTGCCTGTCTTCTCTGCTCCCCTAAGGTCCCTCTCCCTTCGCCGTAAGATGTGACTGACCAGTACAGTTTCTCCTGAATTGACAAACTGAACTACTCCTTCTACCGGCTAAACCCTGACATCAGTAGAATCAAACCAAAAACAAGGTAGAGTGTTTCACAGAGAAGTGGTGGATTGAATAAGGCAGCAGAAACACATACCATCCAGCCCCTGAACCTGAATTTTGCCAAAACAGAGATACTTTAAGTCCATTTCTTTTCAAAGGGGTTAATGCTCAAAGTGGGAATAGTGACTAGGGTATTCTAGTGGTTGGAATAATAATTTCTAGAAAAGGTTCATTGCTGAGGTACCAAAACAGACATCATGCTAAGGAATTCTTTTACTGTGCGCTTCCCTGAATAGATACGCCGTCAAACAAGGCAGAAGCTACAAATAAAGCTTACTTCTACTGAACTCATGAAGCTGTTCCTAGTGTCAGTTTTGAGTTTCAAGTGAAGACTGAATGTCAACTGCAGGCTTTCCGAATTCCTCGACCATGTCCATCCATGGATTCTCTTCTTGTCTAGATTTCCAAGCATGAAGATGCTAACTAAAGCATTTCTCAATGGGGAACACGAAAAGATTTCTATTATTGTGGGTTCTCCGGTGTTCCTAAAGGCTGAGTTATAACTAAAGGATTTCAACCTATTTGTGAGTTTGATGGTAACGCTGGAAAAATGCTTGAAGTTGTTACTTTGCTCATTATAGGAGTATGGTTTCCCTCCAGGAAGGTTTCTCTAAAATTAAGAGCTATTCTACAACAGAGACCCCTCTACACTTAAGGTATTTATGGGATCTGTCCTCTCATGGCTTCTCAGGTGTTTAAAGAGGCTACAACTCCAGCTGAAATTCATTCCACATTCTTTACATTGAAAAGGTTTCTCACCAGTATGGATTCTCTGATGTTGATTAAGATGTGACTTCAGAGTGAAGCCTCTGCCACATTCATGACATTGATGGGATTTTGTGCTGGAGTAGATTTTTTGATGTTGTTTGGTGTGGGAACACTGGCCAACATTTTCTCTACATATATCACATTGATAGGGCTTCTCTGCTGTATGAGTTCTGTAATGCTGAATGAGGTCTGAGCTATAACCAAAGGCTTTTCCACAGATATCACACTGATAAGGCTGCTCTTGTAACTCAATCTTCTTGTCTTCAATCACTGTCAAGTTCCAACTATATGCTTCCTCACAGATGCCATTTTTTTCATTTTTCTGACCCATGTGGAGCACCTGATGTTCAATTAGGCTAACGTACTGAAAAAAGATTTCCCCACATTCACGACACTGATGGGATTTCTCTCGGGAGTGGAGTCGAAGATGTCCAGCCAGGTGGGAACGCCTCCCAAAGCCTTTCCCACATTCGTTACACTTGAAGGGTCTCTCCCCACTGTGCACGCTCTGATGCTGAACAAGGTGGGACCTCACTCTGAAGGCTTTCCCACATAAGGGACAGGTGTAGGGCTTCTCACCTGTGTGGACGCGCTGATGCTGAGTTAGGTGCACGCGTTGGTTGTAGCTTTTCCCACATTCCTCACACCTGAATGGTTTCTCCCCAGTGTGTATTCTTTGATGTTGAATAAGATGTGCACTCTGAATGAAGCTTTTCCCACACTCGTTACATTTATGTGGTCTCTCTCCAGTGGAGGATTTTTTGTGGACATATGGGACTTCACTGTAGTTCATCCTCTTTGAAGATGGTTGTCCTAGTATCTCTTTCATGGGAATTCCCTGCTTTCTATCCAGCTTGCCTTGAAACTCACAGCCTTCTCCAAAATCTTGAACTTGAGAAACATTTCTTTGGGTTTTTCCAGATAGTTCCATGTCTGCTTCTGAATATTCTGAAATTTTCTTCTTAACACTTAATTTTGTGTTCTTACTTCTTTTGTCACTGCCTAAAAAAAATAAAGAGCAAGTGAAAATGTCATCAGTTCTTTTTTTTTTTTGAGATGGGGTCTTGCTCTGTCGCCCAGGCTAGAGTGCAATGATGCGATCTCGGCTCACTGCAACCTCTGCCTCCTGGGTTCAAGTGATTCTCCTGCCTCAGCCTCTCAAGTAGCTGAGACTACAGGCGTGCATGACCACACCCAGCTAATTTTTGTATGTTTAGTAGAGATGGGGTTTTGCCATGTTGGCCAGGCTGGTCTCAAACTCCTGACTTTGGGTGATCCACCCGCCTCAGCCTCCCAAAGTGCTGGGATTACAGGTTTAAGCCACCGTGCCTGGCCCATCAGTTCTTTTATAAAGGAAAAATAAACTGTCATAAAAAATGTTCATCAGATGAAACTATGATGTAACGGGAGTAACAGAGGTGGATGTGTGTGTGTACTTGATGCCAACAGGAATGTAAACAACAAACTTTTGGAATTTTCTGACGAAAAGAGCAAGACTCATCCACAGGATGGCAGAAAATATTTGCAAACTATGCATCAGACAAAGGACTAATATCCAGAATCTACAAGTAACTCTAACAAGTCAACAAGAAAAAAAAAATCCCATCAAAAAGTAGGCAAATGACATGGAGACAGTTCTCAAAATAATATATACAAATGACCAACAAACATGAAAAAAATGCTGAACATCACTAATCATCAGGAAGGTGCAAATTAAAGCCACAATAAGGTACTGCCTTACTCCTGCAAGAATGGCCATTATTAAGAAGTCAAAAGGCCGGGCGTGGTGGCTCACACCTGTAATCCCAGCACTATGGGAGGCCGAGGCGGGCAGATCACCTGAGGTCAGGAGTTCGAAACCAGCCTGGCCAACATGGTGAAACCCACATCTCTACTAAAAATACAAAAATTAGCTGGGCATGGTGGCGGGCGCCTGTAATCCCAGCTACTCAGGAGGCTGAGGCAGGAGAATCGCTTGAACCCAGGAGGCTGAGGTTGCAGTGAGCCGAGACTGCGCCATTGCACTCCAGCCTGGGCAACAGCAAGACTCCATCTCAAAAAAAAAAAAAAAAAAAGGCCGGGTGCAGGTGGCTCACGCCTGTAATCCCAGAACTTTGGGAAGCCGAGGTGGGTGGATCACGAGGTCAGGAATTCAAGACCAGCCTGACCAAGACAGTGAAACCCCATCTCTACTAAAAATACAAAAATTAGCTGGGCATGGTGGTGGGTGCCCTGTAATCACAGCTACTCCAGAGGCTGAGGCAGAGAATTGCTTGAACCCAAGAGGCAGAGGTTGCAGTGAGCCAAGATTGCGCCACTGCACTCCAGCCTGGGCAACACAGCGAGACTCCATCTCAAAAAAAACAAAGAAGTCAAAAAACAATAGATGTTGGCATGGATGTGGTGAAAAGGGAACGCTTATACATTGCTGGTGAGAGATAAATTAATACAACTTCTGTGGATAACAGTATGGAGACTTCTTCAAGAACCAGAAGTAGATCTGCCATTTGATCCAGCAATTCCACAACTGGGTATATCTACACAAAGGAAAAGACAATATACCAAAAAGACTGTAAGCGCCTGTCTTCTGCAGCACAATTCACAACTGCAAAGATATGGAGCCAATCTAAGTGCCCGTTGAGCAATGAGTTGATAAAGAAAATGTAGCAGGCTGGGTGTGGTGACTCGTGCCTATAATCCCAGCACTTTGGGAGGCTGAGGCAGGTGGATCACCTGAGGTCAGGAGTTCAAGACCAGCCTGACCAACATGGTAAAACCTCATCTCTACTAAACATACAAAAATTAGCAAGGGATCGTGGTAGGTGCCTGTAGTCCCAGCTACTCGGGAGGCTGAGGCAGAAGAATCGCCTGAACCCAGGAGGCAGAAGCTGCAGTGAGTTGAGATCACATCACTGCACTCCAGCCTGGGTGACAGAGTGAGACTCCATCTCAAAAAAGAAAAACAAAAAACAAATACATAACTGGGTGGTGAGAACTGACAAAAACTGGAAGAATGAGAGTGAAGGATGATGAAGAGGGTATGCAGTCAGGGAATATCTGACTAGGAGTCAGGAAATAAGGCAAAATGAGCCAACAAGAAGCATTGTCAGAGGGTGGGTGATACAGCAATCCCTGCCCCCTTCACCCTTAGCCAACATTCTAGCCTCAGTTTTCCTCCCCCGGCATGTCATCCTTCTCCTTTGGGAATGCTCATCACCTTTACTATCTGCTACCCCCACCAGACCATCGGCTGCATGAGAGCATGGACTGTATCTCTGTTCTGGTCACTGCAGATCCTGTGCAACTAGCAACACAGACTCTCAATAATATGGCTGGATGTGCAAAACATGTATTCCCCCTTTGATCCAGAAAAATGAGGGAGGACCGGGCATGGTGGCTCACACCTGTAACTCCTAGCACTTGTGGAGGCCAAGGCTGGAGGATCGCTTAAGCCTAGAAGTTCAAGACCAGCCTGGGCAACAGAGCCAGACCCCTTCTCTACAAAAAATACATAAATTAGCTGGGTGTGGTGGTGAACACTTGTAGTCCCAGCTATGCAGGAAGCTGAGGTGGGAGGATTAGTTCAGCCCAGGAAGTGGAGGCTGCAGTGAGCTGAGATCCCGCTACTTTACCCTAGCCTGTGTGACAGAGCAAGACCCTATCTCAAAATACAAAAACGCCCCCGCCCCACAAAAAAAATGTGGAAGGCAAGTGAGTATTCACTGGGAAACTAGCCATAGAAACAATTGCAGGGAAGGTAGAAAACAAAAGATAACTATTTTAAAGCGATTGCTTTTTCAAGTCCAAAGCGCTATTGGTGGATTTTCCAAATGAGGGAATCATCGAGTAGAACGGGAAAACACTAGCTGAGAGGATAGCTCAGCTCAAACCCAGAACTTTAAAGACACTTTACTGACTTCTGTGCCATGGTGGAAGATGCAGCGTGGCTGTAAACATCAAAGGCAGAATTAAAAAAAAAAAAAAAAAAAAGAAAAACATTTTGGCTGGTCTTAGAATCATCTGAAGAATATTAGTAAGGGCCTTTAAGTTCACAGCACAGTTTATGACGATCTCATTCACAGATAAATTTACTGTCATTTGAACAGATGTTTAAAAATACTGGCCCGGCATGGTAGCTCACACCTATAATCCCAGCACTTTGGGAGGCCAAGGCGGGTGGATCACTTGAGGTCAGGAGTTCGAGACCATCCTGGCCAATATAGTGAAACCCCATCTCTACTAAAAATACAAAAAAAAATTAGCCAGGTATGGTGGCAAATGCCTGTAATCTCAGCTACTCAGGAGGCTGAGGCACGAGAATCGCTTGAACCTGGGAGGCAGAGGTTGCAGTGAGCTGAGATCGTGCCATTGCACTCCAGCCTGGGCAACAAGAGTGAAACTCCGTCTCAAAAAAAGAAAAGAAAAGAAAAAAAGAAAAAGTCACAGGCATAAACAGTTATCGGGACAAAAGAGAAAAAAATTGAAGTTCAACAACTGGGAACACTTGAGTAAATTACAATGCCACCACACAATGGCAGACTGTCAGAAATAAAAAGGAGGGCTGAACAGCCCTGGAAAATGTGTACGCTTAATATTTAATTCTGAGTACGACTACGTGAAACAGACTTATAAAAAAAAAAGGAAACATACTAAGTAATAACAGTTCTATTAGTTAGGGTGATGTGATTATGGGTGATTTATTTTTTCTTTTTATTTTCTCCAAGCTTCCTGTACTACTGTTATTTTATTGGGTTTGTGTTTGTTTGTTATTTGAGAAGTCTCACTCTGTTAGCCAGTCTGGAGTGCAGTGGCTATTCACAGACACATTTATAGCTCACTGTAGTCTTGAACTTCTGGGCTAAGAGATCCTCCCACCTCAGCCTTCCGAGGAGCTGCAACTACAGGCACATGCCACCATGCCCAGGTAATTTTTAAATTTTTTTGTAGAGACAAGGTCTTGCTATGTTGCCCAGGGTGGTCTTGAATGCCTGGCCTCAAGTAATCCTCCTAGCTCAGCCGCCTCCCAAAGCACTGAGATTACAGGTGTGAGCCACTGTACCCAGGCTATTGTTTTAAAATAAGTAAAATAACTAAATTGGGAAAAGGGGAAAGAGAGAAAAGCATATAAGAGAGCCAAATCCTCATTTACTACCATAGAAAGTCAACAGATAACATTTAAAATTGATGAGCCAACTAATAATAGTTTTATTTTAAAATACAGAATTACCAGAAGGAACCACTAACAGCTGAGAGCACAGCCAGCACAGTGGCTCATGCCTGTAATCCCAGCACTTTGGGAGGCCAAGGCAGGCAGATCGCCTGAGGTCAGGAGTTCAAAACCAGCCTAGCCAACATGGGGAAACCCTGTGTCTACTAAAAACACAAAAATTACCCGGGCATGCTGGTGCGCGCCTGTTGTCCCAGCTACTTGGGAGGCTGAGGCAGGAGAATCGCTTGAACCGGGGAGGCAGAAGTTGCAGTGAGCTGAGATCTCGCCACTGCACTCCAGCCTGGGCGACAGAGCGAGACTGTCTCAAAAAATAAATACATAAGAACCAAATAAACGATAACCTTTGCCTCTTCCTACCCCCCCCAGTATCACCACCCATCTGTCCTGTTGTACCGTACTAATAAAACACCTTTTGCTTTTCGCCTCCATTTATCCCCCGGATATAAACTCCTCACACGTACATCTCTGGGATTTCTCCCTGAAGTGGCGTTTTAGGTGTTCGATCAGATGCGAATGGCGACCGAAGTTCTTCCCACACTCATTGCAGCCATAGGGCCTCTCTCCGCTGTGGACACTGTGGTGCTGAACCAGGTGGGAACTCACCCGGAAAGCCTTTCCGCACACCTGACATTTGTAGGGTTTCTCCCCTGTGTGGACGCGCTGGTGCTGGGTGAGGTGCACCCGCTGATTGTAGCTCTTCCCACATTCTCCGCACTTAAACGGTTTTTCTCCAGTGTGGATGCGCCGATGCTGAATAAAGTTTGAGGCTTGGAGGAAGAATTTGCCACAATCGCTGCATCTGTGCCCTCTCTCGCCATGTGTGCTTTGCTTAGGGCTGATGTCTGTGATTGCATCCAGATCCCTTTTCTGGGAAGGATTCTGCCTTGATTTCCCCACAGTGGGGTTGACCTGCCACCTTTGTACCATGCCTTTAAGGTCACTGACTTCTGCAAAGTCTGGATCCTGAGGAACGCTCCTTTCGGTGTGTTCTGGCGCCACCCAGTGTGATTCAGAGTCATCAGAAATCTGCTTCACTATGAGCTCCATATTGTCCCTGGACTCATAACCTGAAATAACAGAGGGAGAATTAAAAAATGAGCTTTTCCTTGAATTTGAAGAAATAAAATGAGGGGATAATGAAGAGAAACTGACATGTGCTAGGGATCCATGATTCTGTAAAGGGACTTTTACAGTACAGGGATGGGATGAAAAATATTCAAGCAGAAAAGTGAGGGAGGTTAGGGAAGGAAGAGCTGGCAAAAAATGTTCAGAGGAAGGAGACTGAAAATCAGTCATTCCACTGAACGAAGAGGGTCTCCTCTCAGTGTGGCACTTACAAATACCTGTATCATGTTAAATGTTCTCTTGTGTGTGTGTGTGTGCGCGCGCGCGTGTATGTGTGTGTTTTGAGACAGGGTCTCACTCTGTCACCCAGGCTGGAGTGCAGTGGGGCAATCATGGCTCACTGCATCCTCAACCTCTTGGGCTCAAGCGATCCTCCCACCTCAGCCTCCCAAGTAGCTAGGACTACAGTTGCACACCACCATGCTCAGCTAATTTTTATATTTTTGTAGAGATGAGGGTCTCATTATGTTGCCCATGCTGGTTTCAAACTCCTGAGCTCAAGTGATCCTCCCACCTCAGCTTCCCAAAGTGCTGGGATTACAGACGTGAGCCAACGCGACTGGGCAATATTCTTTTTTTTTTTTCTTTTGAGACGGAGTCTCACTCTGCCACCCAGGCTGGAGTGCAGTGGCGCGATCTCGGCTGACTGCAACCTCTGCCTCCCGGGTTCAAGTGATTCTTCTGCCTCAGCCTCCCAAGTCACTGGGACTACAGGCGCACATCACCACGCCCAGCTAATTTTTGTAATTTTAGCAGAGACAGGGTGTCACCATATTGGCCAGGTGGTCTCGAACTCCTGACCTAGTGATCTGCCCGCCTCGGCCTCCCAAAGTGCTGGGATTACAGACATGAGCCACCGCGCCCAGTCACGACTGGGCAATATTCTTAATAAAACTGGATAGCAGGTTATGCAGCTAACCCCATCTTCACCTTCCTCTTCCTGTGAATTCATAGCCTAGAAAAGAAAGGTGATCTTTCTAGGTTTCTCAATGCCCAAAGGATTTCAGTTTGGTATGAATTAATCTAAAAGAAAAAAGACATTCTTTCTATATCCTGAGAAGAACCTACTACTTTCAAGAGCTAGGTTAATGTTCAGCAGTCACTGATAGAACCGTGGATGTTTCAGTGGCTATAATTAGTTCCTTTGTTCAACTGTATCAGCAAGATACTTTACTCAAAACACTGATGTTTTAATATGGTTTGCAGAGACAAATCTTCAGTAGTTAACAAAAAATAGAGTATTGGCCAGGCACAGTGGCTCATGCCTGTAATCCCAGCACTTTGGGAAGCCAAGGCGGGCGGTTCACTTGAGGCCAGGAGTTCGAGACCAGCCTGACCAACACAGCGAAACCCCGTCTCTACAAAAAATACAAAAATTATCAGCCGGGTGTGGTGGCTCACGCCTGTAATCCCAGCACTGTGGGAGGTCGAGGTAGGCGGATCACTTGAGGTCAGGAGTTTGAAACCAGCCTGGCCAACATGATGAAAACCTGTCTCTACTAAAAATACGAAAAAAATTAGCCAGGCGTCGTGGCACACACCTGTAATCCCAGCTACTCAGGAGGCTGAGGCACGAGAATCGCTTGAACCCAGGAGGCAGAGGTTGCAGTGAGTTGAGATCACACCACTGCACTCCAGTCTGGGTGACAGAGCGAGACTCTGTCCCAAAAAAAAAAAAAAAAACCCAGGGAGTATCATGGCCTATTAAGAATGTCCCAAGATGTTTTCATGAGGAGAGTTTTCTGTATTATATTAGTAATAAGAGCTAAACATTTGCTGAGTGCTATGAGTCCAGCACTACACTAAGTACTTTACAATTTTATGGTATATTTAATCCTTACAATGACCTTTAAGGGAGCTACCATAATCCTTTTTTGATATAGTCAGAAGTTATAATTCCTAAACTATGAAGACAATTTTAATTTTAATTTACCATATAGCTACTTTTACTTACCTTCCTAAAAAGACACTGAAACAGTAAAAACAGGGATATAAACAAAAAACCCTATCACAAAACCAGACTTTTTATGTTTTTTCCTCCCTCATTTAACTATGCAGCTAATCCCAGCTACCATAGTATTTTTTTTCTCTTTTATTCATATCTACTGGTCTCACACATTGATTGATTGATTGATTGATTGATTGATTTGAGACTGGGTCTTGCTCTGTCACCCAGGCTGGAACACAGCAGCACAATCACAGCTTACTGTTACTTCTAACTCCCTGGTTGAAGCGATCCTCCCACCTCAGCCTCTACAGGCATGCACCACCACGCCTAGCTAATTTTTGTATATTTTGTAAGGGTTTGTCTCACTATGTTGCCCAGGCTGGTCTCGAACTCCTGGCCTCAAGTGATCCTCCTTCCTTGGCCTCCCAAAGTGCTGAGATTACAGGCATGAGTTCCTGCGTTCAGCAGGCAGCCTACTCACTTCCTCCTCCCCTTGTCTCTCAGTGGAGACATGTCTCTCGAGCCAAGGTCAGTCCTTCCTCCTTCCTGTACCCCAGATCTCACCATACCTTCCTGCTTTCCAGGGATCTCCCAACATCAGCTAACTGCCCCTCCATTTTTTTTTTTTTTTTTTTTTTTTTTTGAGATAGGGTCTCACATTGTCACCTAGGCTGGAGTGCAATGGCATGATCTCAGCTCACTGCAACCTTCACCTCCCGGATTCAAGCAATTCTCCTGCCTCAGCTCCTAAGTAGCTGAGAGTACAGATGCGTGCCACCATGCCCGGATAATTTTTGTATTTTTAGTAGAGACAGGTTTTTGCCATGTTGCCCAGACTGGTCTCAAACTCCTGGCCTCAAGTGATCTGCCCACCTCAGCCTCCCAAAGTGCTGGGATTACAGGCATGAGACACCACGGCCCAGCCTGTCTGCTCCTCCTTGCCTCCATATTCTACTCTACTAGTTCTTCTCCAGAAGCATTTAAATATGCTGAAAATTTCTCCCATTAACAAAACATACGAGCCAGGCATGGTGGCTCACGCCTGTAATCCCAGCACTTTGGAAGGTCGAGGTGGTTGGATCACCTGAGGTCAGGAGTTTGAGACCAGCTTGGCCAAGGTGGTGAAACCTCATCTCTACTAAAAACAGAAAAATTAGGCGGCTGTGGTGGAGGGTGCCTGTAATCCCAAAATTACTCGGGAGCTACTCGGGAGGCTGAGGTGCGAGAATAGCTTGAACCCGGGAGGCAGAGGTTGCAGTGAGCCAAGATCGTACCACTGCACTGCTCCCTGGGCAACAGAGCGAGACACTGTCTCAAAAAAAAAAAAAGGGGAAACAAAAAACAATCCACCCATCCAACCCATTACTCTTTCAGTGACCAGGACTCTCTTCCCCTTTAGAGACAAAGTCCTTACATTCATCTACAATAGCTTTTTCAAATTCCACTCCTTTGCAATCTTCAAAGAAACTATCTCTTGTTCCCCAACACCCCTGCCACTCCACGGAAACTGCTGCCTCCAAGACTCATTTACTTATGTTGTAAAAATCTCACTTCCAAATCTGATGGGTACTTTCTTTGATTTTGACCTCTGGTGATGCTGTTATTAATAGAAATCCGCAGATGTGAAAAGAATCTAACATGGCCTTCCGAGAGAAGTAAAGGAGGCAGAAACCACTGGCCATGTAATTAATGTAGAATAGTGTATTGAAGTGATAAATACAGATGTTATAATGAAGAGATAGAGAATGAGAAAAACATCAGAAACTACACATTTAAAACTGCTTAGAGAATACCATAGAAAGAACTATGCCAAGAACCTCAAACTCTGAAATCCATTAGGTACCTATAAAGTAACTGAAAAAGATAAAGCAAGAGTAACAGGCTCAAATAAACAAGCAAGCTATTGGAAATTAATTTAAAAAGAAAAGAATTTTTAAAATTTGCATTAAATATAACATTTATACTATATGAGTAATTCACTGAGCTAAAAGGCCCCATGAAAAATCAATAATCATAAAATTATTGATTTAATCAATAATTTTAAAGCATAAATTTGATTTTTTTCCACAAAAATTAAAACATCAAAATAAAAAAAGACTACCAAGATCCCAATAGATTAATGAACAGAGGCATGCACAAATAAATCAAAAAGAGGAAATAAATATAAATAATATCAATAGTAATTAAAAATTGAAAATTTAAAAGAGCAGAGTCAGCTGTATACCTGTTAAATAAAAGCTTGTGAGTGAACTAAAACGGTTAAACAATGTAAACTGACATAATGTTTTTCAAAAGAAATTTTGCATTGTGGGCGGGGCATGGTGGCTCACACCTGTTAATCCCAACACTTTGGGAGGCCAAGCTGGGCAGATCACGAGGTCAGGAGTTTGAGACCAGCCTGGCCAATATGGTGAAACCCTGTCTCTACTAAAAATACAAAAATTAGCTGGGCATGGTGGCACATGCCTGTAACCCCAGCTATTCAGGAGGCTGAGGCAGGAGAATTGCTCGAAACCAGGAGGCAGAGGTTGCAGGGAGCTGAGATTGCGCCATTGTACTCCAGCCTGGGAGACAGAGTGAGACTCCATCTCAAAAAAATAAAATAATAAAATAAATATATTTTGTAGCGTGTATGTTTGCATCTGAAGTCTTCCAGTATGCCTGATAGAGTGGTTCTTCTAAAAGAATTTACTAAAAAAAGGCTAAAAGCTATAATCTCCAAAATGTTTGCAGGAGTGCTGAGATTTTTATAACTGCTCCAGACAGTACAATTAAATATTAGCTTCCAGGATTATAACTTAGTTAGAAATAGGGCCAGAAAATTCAAGAAGCGATATGACAGGTAAAATGTAGGTGCCAAGGCGAACATAATAAAATAGGTATCAGTGACTTAAGAATGGTAATGAAGTCCTCCAAGTAGCTGGGATTATAGGCGCCCGCCACCACGCCCGGCTGATTTTTGTATTTGTAGTAGTGATGGGGTTTCACCATGTTGGCCAGGCTGGTCTTGAACTCCTGACCTCAGGTGATCCACCCGCCTCAGCCTCCGGAAGTGCTGGGATTACAGGCATGAGCTACCACACCTGGCAAAATTATCCAATCTATTAAACAGTATAGTAACTACCAAAAATTTGTTAAAGTCCAAAGGACTCAAGTGATTCTCCCACCTCGGCCTCCCAAAGTGCTAGGATCACAGGTGTGAGCCACCACAGCCAACCCACTCTTATTTTAAAGCAGTAAAAAGTTAGCATCTGCTGGATTGCAAAAACAGTCCCCCCAAGTACTATCAGTGTTTAATCATACTCTTATTAAGATGGAAATGATCAGAATAAACTGAATAAGAAAAAAAAAATGAAGGCTGATTTATTCTTTTACAAAAAATAAAAAAAAGCAAAGTCATAGCACATAAAACATAAATGCCATTATAAGATGAGCCAGAAATACTCTTTACAAGATAACAAAATAAACATGTCCTAATCCATGCAGATGAAATAATCCTTACCCATGGAAGTAATACTCCCATAGTTCTCCTTCCTGTCATCCCTATAAAGGGACTTCTGGGACTGGTCCAAATGCCCCCATTCCTCCAGGATGAAGGATACAGCCACATCAGCCACCTCTTCAATTTTCACCAACTTCTGAAACAGGAGATCTCCACTAAATTCTCATTCCCTATGTCCAAATTTGGAGTGAGGGGAAGAACTGGGCTCATTAAGAAAAGAAACAGGGGGAGGAACTGTGCCTCAAAGAGGATGGGGAAGGACTAGGCAGAAAGGAAAAAGGCCAAAGGAATGAAGGTACCAACCCAAGATGGGCCTAGTCACTGGCTAAAGAAACAGAACTCTTGGTGAAGGTTCAGGATGGGTCCTCTCTGAGGGCAAAGGGGCACCAGCTCACCTGGGACCCAGTTGAGAGAAGTGAAGCTGTCAGCTCCTGGCTGTCCTTCAGGGGAAGGGAAGGAACTTGGAGAACAGGAAGGGCTAAGGGAGGAGAAAAAGAGGTTTAAGTGAGAACATCTTTGCCCGGTTCTCATTGCCATCATGTTCCTCTTATGCTCAGGAATCCATAATGGCCCCTACTGCGCCGAGGCCAAATTCTTCTGCCTGGCTGTCAAGACCCTCTAATTTCTGGATCCTCTCACACTCTGTTTTATTCCTCCTTTACCCTAGACTTCCTACTTTGGTCAGGCTAATCCCTGCTTGCCTTTCCGCTATAAAGGATGCATTCTGTGACCAGGCACAGTGGCTCACGCCTGTAATACCAGCACTTTGGGAGGTCAAGGGGGGCAGATCACTTGAGGCCAGGATTCAAGGCCATCCTGGCCAACAAGGCAAAATCCCATCTCTACTAAAAATACAAAAATCAGCCAGATGTGGTGATGCACGCCTGTAATCCTGGCTGCTTGAGAGGATAAGGCATGATAATCGCTTGAACCTAGGATGCAGAAGTTGCAATGAGCCAAGATTGCACCACTGCACTCCAGCCTGGGCAACAGAGTCAGCCACTGTCTCAGAAAAAAAAAAAAAAAAAAAATACTGGGCGTGGTGGCTCACGCCTGTAATCCTAGTACTTTGGGAGGCCGAGGCAGGAGGATCACAAGGTCAGCAGTTCGAGACCAGCCCGGCCTGTATGGTGAAACCCCACCTCTACTAAAAATACAAAAATTAGCCGGGTGTGGTGGCAGGTGCCTGTAGTCCCAGCTACTCAAGAGGCTGAGGCAGGAGAATTGCTTGAACCTGGGAGGTGGAGGTTACAGTGAGCCAAGATCGTGCCACTGCACTCCAGCCTGGGTGACAGAGCAAGACTCCGTCTCAAAAAAAAAAAAAAGGTGGGGGCCAGGTACGGTGGCTCACGCCTGTAATCCTAGCACTTTGGGAGGCCGAGGCAGGCAGATCACAAGGTCAGGAGTTAGAGACCAGCCTGGCCAATATGGTGAAACCTCATCTCTACTAAAAATGCAAAAATTAGCTGGGCATGGTGGCGGGCGCCTGTAGTCCCAGCTGCTCAGGAGACTGAGGCAGGAGAATCACTTGAACCCAGGAGGCGGAGGTTGCAATGAGCCGAGATCACACCACTGCACTCCAGCCTGGGTGACAGAGCAAGACTCCCTCTCAAAAAAAAAAAAAAAAAAAAAAAGGATGCATTCTGCTTTGCCAAGATCAAATTTTATTATCTCAAAGAACCACCAAATTCCCACATCTTCCATGAAACTGAAGCATTCCTAACAGTCCAGGGCTGCTCGAGCTTTAATGTACAAATAAATCACCTACATCCCCTAGGGGATCTTGGTACTTGCAGATTCTGACTCAAAAGGCCTGGGGTGAGGCCTGAGAGTTTGCATTTCTTTTTCATTTTTTAATTTAATTAAAAAAAATTTTTTTTTTTGGAGACAGAGTCTCGCTCTGTGGCCCAGGCTAGAGTGCAGTGGCGCGATCTCAGCTCACTGCAACCTCCGCCTCCTGGGTTCAAGCAATTCTCCTGCCTCAGCCTCCCGAGTAGCTAGGATTACAGGTGTGCACCACCAAGCTTGGCTAATTTTTGTAGTTTTAGTAGTGACAGGGTGTCACCACGTTGTCCAGGATCGTCTCAAACTCCGGTGATTCACCTGCAATGGCCTCCCAAAGTGCTGGGATTACAGGTGTGAGCCACTGTGCCTGGCCCCTAGTTTGCACTTCTAATAAGCTCCCAGGTAATGCCAGTGCCACGGCTTCCTGGACCACTCTTGGATTACCACAGCCTCAGAAATCCCTTCCAGAATTTCCATGGTTAGTTTCTATTCAGTCAAGAAATATGTATTAAATCTATTCTCTCTCTCTCTGCCCATCTCAGGAATAGACAAAACAATTCTTACCTTGGAAAAGTACTGTCTAATGCAAGCTTGCCCAACCCACGGCCCGTGGCCCAGGATGGCTTTGAATGTGCCCCAACACAAATTTGTAAACTTTCTTTTTTTTTTTTTTGAGACAAGGTCTCACTCTGTCACCCAGGCTGGAGTACAGTGGTGCAATCTCAGCTCACTGCAACCTCCGCCTCCCAGGTTCAAGTGATTCTCCTGCCTCAGCCTCCCAAGTAGCTGGGATTACAGGCGCCCACCACCACACCCGGCTAATTTTGTTTTGTTTTTTTGAGATGGAGTCTCGCTCTGTTGCCCAGGCTGAAGTGTAGTGATACAATCTTGGCCAACTGCAACCTCCGCCTCCCAGGTTCAAGAGAGTCTCCTGCCTCAGCTTCCTGAGTAGCTGGGATTACAGGCATGTGCCACCATGCCTGACTAATTTTTGTATTTTTAGTAGAGACGGGATTTCGCCATGTTGGCCAGGCTGGTCTTGAACTCCTGGTCTCAACTGATCCACCTGGTTCGGCCTCCTAAAGTGCTGGGATTACAGGTGTGAGCCACCATGCCTGGCCCACAAATTTGTAAAGTTTCTTAAAACATTATGAAGGGCCAGGCACAGTGGCTCACGCCTGTAATCCCAGCACTTTGGGAGGCTGATGAGGGTGGATCACCCGAGGCTGGGAGTACAAGACCAGCCTGACCAACGTGGAGAAACCCCATCTCTACTAAAAATACAAAATTAGCTGAGTGTGTGGCACATGCCTATAATCCCAGCTACTTGGGAGACTGAAGCAGAAGAATCGCTTGAACCTGGGAGGCAGAGGTTGCGCTGAACTGAGATCACGCCATTGCACTCCAGCCTGGGTAACAAGAGCAAAACTCCATCTCAAAGAAATAAACATGAGGGGTTTTTTTGCAATTTTTATTTTGTTTAAGCTCATCAGCTATGGTTAGTGTTTGTGTATTTTATGTGTGGCACAAGACAATTCTTCTTCCAGTGTGGCCCAGGAAAGCCAAAAGATTGGACACCCCTTGGTCTAATGGGAAGGGCACACAGGTAAGCCTTACAGCACAGCGTGAAGAGTGCCATGACGAAAGGTGACCCAAGTTCCCGTGGGACCATAGAGGCAGGAGCACTTACAGAGTGGAGCAGGAGACGCAGCAGCAGCAGCAAAGCCTTTTCCCAGAAAGTGACTCTGGGCAGTAGGAATGGAGATCGGGGAGACAGGGTGCTTTCCCCACAGCAGGAACAGCATGCGCAACACCCGGACATCTCACCTCTGGAAGCTAGGGACCACCTGACCCCGAGGTCACCTCTGCTTGCTCTTTGTCTAAGGTCCACAGCATGTCTGGATCTCACCATCCACATGTGCCTTGACTTGCACAGACCTGCCTGGGATTAAGCTGTAACCGGATAGTTTAGACCCTGTTGGTATTTAGATCTGGAGTCCTGGAGATCTGGGGGCATCCGTGGCTTGCTGATTTCCAATGACTAGGAAATAAGGAGCAATGACACAAAAAGGACGGGACAATGGTTACAGATGAAAGCCAAAAGCAGAGAAGGGATCTGAAACCGGGAGTGGCTAAAGACTGAAAACAGAAGTTGATGAAAATGGTGAATACAGTCTATGTCCGAATGAAGAGTAATTTTGCTAAAATAAACCGGCTAGGATCTGGTTAACAGGGCAGAGAGGATGAGAAGCAGCTAGAAACAGAGGACAAGAGCCAGATGGAGAGAAACCCTGAAAGTGGACAGAACCCAAGTGACTCGAGGAGGGAGCAGTCTGTGCCTAGGAGAGAAGCTGCTGCTGAAGCAAAGACCAGATGTGGCCAGGCGTGGTGGCACATGCCTGTAAACCCAGCTACTCGGGAGGCTGAGGCAGGAGAGTCGCTTGAACCTGGGAGGCAGAGGTTGCAGTCACGCCACTACACTCCAGCCTAGGCAACAGAGTGAGACCCTGTCTCAAAAAAAAAAAAGCAAAGATGAGATGGCTCAGAAGAGGGGAGGAGGATGGATTCAGTCAGGCTGCTTGGGTTCAAATCCTAGCTCTGTTATTCCATATCTTTGTGACCTTGGACAAATCAACTTAACCTCTCGAGGACTCAGCTTAATTTCTTTCTTTTTTTTTTTTTTTTTGAGATGGAGTCTTGCTTTGTCGCCCAGGCTGGAGTGCAGTGGTACGATCTCTGCTCACTGCAACCTCCATCTCCTGGACTCAAGTGATTCTCCTGCCTCAGACTCCCAAGGAGCAGTACTACAGGCGCCTGCCACCATGCCCAGCTAATTTTGGTATTTCTTAGTAGAGATGGGGTTTCACCATGTTGGCCAGGCTGGTCTCAAACTCCTGACCTCAGGTGATCCACCCGCCTTGGCTTCCCAAAGTGCTGGGATTATAGGCATGAGCCACCAGGCCCAGCCCTGAGCTTAATTTCTAACAGAAGGATAACAGTAACAGCTATTCCACTGAGCTACTGGAAGGATTACCTGTTGGCATACCCAGGTGTCCTGCACACAATCCTAGTGGTTTCCATTTCTTTTCTGAGCAGTTTTTGTTTTTTTTTTTGAGACAGAGTCTCACTCTGTTGCCCAGGCTGGAGTGCCGTGGCACAATCTCGGTTCACAGCAACCTCTGCCTCCCGTGTTCAAGCCATTCTCCTGTCTCAGCCTCCCAAGTAGCTGGGATTACAGGCATGTACCACCACGCCTGGATAATTGTTGCATATTTTTAGTAGAGACGGGGTTTCACCACGTTGACCAGGCTGGTCTCAAACTCCTGACCTCAGGTGATCCACCCACCTCAGCCTCCCAAAGTGCTGGGATTACAAGCGTGAGCCACCACCCCTGGCTTTTCTGAGCAGCTTTAAATTTTATTTTTATTTTTATTTTTTATGGAGACAGAGTCTCAGTCTGGCTCCCAAGCTGGACTGCAGTGGCACAATCACAGCTCACTGCAGCCTCGAATTCCTGGGCTCGAGCAATCTCCCACCTCAGCCTCTGGTATAGCCGGGACCACAGGCGTGTGCCACCATGCCTAGCTAATACATTTTTTTTTTTTTTTGAGACAGAGTTTTGCTCTTGTCACCCAGGCTGGAGTGCAGTGGTGCGATCTCAGCTCACTGCAACCTCCAACTCCCGGGTTCAAGCAATTCTCCTGACTCAGCCTCCTGAGTAGCTACTAGGATTACAGGCATCTGCCACCACGCCCGGCTAATTTTTTATATTTTTAGTAGAGATGGGGTTTTGCCATGTTGGTCAGGCTGGTCTCAAATTCCTGACCTCAGGTGATCTGCCCGCCTTGGCCTCCCAAAGTGCTGGGATTACAGGCATGAGCCACTGCACACGGCCAATTTTTGTATTTTTTGTAGAGGTGAGTTTTCGCCACATTGCCCAGGATGGTATCAAACTCCTGGGCTCAAGAGATCCACCTGCTTTGGCCTCCAAAAATGCTGGAATTACAGGCATGAAGCTACTTTCTTTTATACCAAAAAGATCGCTAACACCTTTGTTTAGCTTTCATTGAACACGGTTGAGAATTCCAAATTTTTCATTTGCTGCCCACATTGGCAAAGAGAGGAAAATTTGAAGAGGATGACTATTATTAGGCAACTCAGTAGATGACACAGAAAGACAGCTGTACTCTCTAATGAGAATCATGAAACTGAAAGTGTAACAGAGATTCTAGAATGAGTTTCAAATGATAACATCCTAGATAAATTTTCTTAAACTCAAGAATCAATGATGAACAATGTATTTCTAATTTCAAAAAGGGAAATGGCATTCTTATCTTGTGAGTCATTCAACAGCAAGGACTTCATCACACAGTATTTTGTAATAATAAGATAATAAGAGATTCTGGACCATCACATTTTGCTAGAAGGACTAAATTTGCTAAAAGCATTGTGTGACAGTATTCTTTTCTTTTTTGAGACGGAGTTTTGCTCTTGTTGCCCAGGCTGGAGTCCAGTGCCACGGTCTCAGCTCACTGCAACCTTTGCCTCCTGGGTTCAAACGATTCTCATGCCTCAGCCTCCTGAGTAGCTGGGATTACAGGCACGCACCACCATGCCCAGCTAATTTTTTGTATTTTTAGTAGAGACGGTGTTTCATCATGACGGGGTTTCATCATGTTGGCCAGGCTGGTCTTGAACTCCTGACCTCAGGTGATCCACCCACCTTTGCCTCCCAAAGTGCAGGGATTACAAGTGTGAGCCACTGAGCCCGGCCTTGTTTTTTTGTTTTTTTAACATAAGCATTAAGACAAGAAAATCTATGAGGGAGGCTGAGCGCAGTGGCTCACACCTCTAATGCCAGCACTTTGGCAGGACAAGGTAGGTGATCACTTGAGGCCAGGAGTTCAAGACTAGCTTGGCTAACATGGTGAAACCCCATCTTTACTAAAAATCCAAAAATTAGCTGGGCATGGTGGCAGGCACCTGTAGTCCCAGCTACTCAGGAGGCTGAGGTGGAGGTATCACTTGAACCTGGGAGGCAGAGGCTGCAGTGAGCCAAGATCGCACCACTGCCCTCCATCCCAGGCAACAGGGTGAGACTCTGTCTCAAAAATAAAAGAAAGACAATCTATGACAGAAAGGCAAAAATCTGTGATACTTTTGTAAAAGACGTGTAGATCTTTTAACAGTCCCTGTACCCAGAGCTGTCATCATTTGCGTTGTAGGTTTTTAATGAAACTGGTGTAATTCAGCAATAAACATACGTGTGCATGTGTCTTTCCCAAATGTCCAACAATGATAGACTGGATTAAGAAAATGTGGCAGTACACCATGGAATACTGTGCAGCCATAAAAAATGATGAGTTCATGTCCTTTGTAGGGACATGGATGAAATTGGAAACCATCATTTTCAGTAAACTATCGCAAGAACAAAAAACCAAACACCGCATATTCTCACTCATAGGTGGGAACTGAACAATGAGAACACATGGACACAGGAAGGGGAACATCACACTCTGGGGACTGTTGTGGGGTGGGGGGAGGGGGGAGGGATAGCATTGGGAGATATACCTAATGCTAGATGACGAGTTAGTGGGTGCAGCACACAAGCATGGCACATGTATACATATGTAACTAACCTGCACATTGTGCACATGTACCCTACAACTTAAAGTATAATAATAATAAATAAATAAATAAATAAAAGAAAAAAAAAGAAGCTGGTGTAATTCCTAGCCATTCTAGGAATGGCTTTCATTGAACACCAGGGACTCAACTCCAGGTCCCTGGCCTTTCCCTGCTTCTAGACCCTGCAGGCTGTAGAGAGGCTGCTCAGCCTAGAGTCTCTCTCCCGCAGATAGTGCCTGCCACATGGCCAAGGCACCCACTCTTGAGCTATATCAGTTCCACTGAATCACTGAGCCTCACCATTTTCCTCCAGGAGACGAGGCTTCTGTGGCGCTTGCTCAGGCTGGGTGTCCACGGTCAGGGGATGGGGGCTGCAGGACTCCTGCACTGCTCCAGGTGTTGCCATCTTCCGAGGAAGCACATCAGGGCAGGCAACAATCTAACAACCACAACCAAAACCGATCAGTACAGTTACAGAGAAGGCCACGAAAGAAATCAGTAGAATCATGGTGGACTTTCATTCATTCCTTTGCCAAATATTTAATGTGCATCTACAATGAGCCACGCACTGATTATGCAGTTACTTAATAAACATGGTTTACTTCTAGTTGGAGAAGACGTTCATCAAACACATCAAAACACAAATAAATACATAATTACAAACTGGGCTGTATGTTGGAAAGGAGAAGAAACTAATTCCATGAGACAGAACACAGGAGACCTATTTTAGACTGGGAGGCCAGGGAAGGCTTTCTGGAGGAAGTGTCCCGTAAGCAAACACTTAAAGGTTGAGAAGGGCTGGGCGCACGGGGTGGCTCACGCCTGTAATCCCAGCACTTTGGGAGGCTGAGGCAGGTGGATCACTAGGTCAGAAGATCAAGACCAATCTGGCTAACACGGTGAAACCCCGTCTCTACTAAAAAAATACAAAAAAATTAGCCGGGTGTGGTGGTGGGCGCCTGTAGTCCCAGCTACTCAGGAGGCTGAGGCAGGAGAATGGCATGAACCTGGGAGGCGGAGCTTGCAGTGAGCCGAGATTGCGCCACTGCACTCTAGCCTGGGTGACAGAGCGAGACTCCGTCTCAAAAAAAAAAAATGGATGAGAAGAAGCCAGCCGGGAAAAACGTAGAAGTGACCCAGGCAGAGAGAACACTGAAACGGTAGCTCATGCCTATAATCTCAACACTTTCGGAGGCTGAAGCAGGAGGATCGCTTGAGCCCAGGAGTTCAAGACAAGCCTGGGCAACACAGTGAGACCCTGTCTCTCCAAAAAATTAAAAAATTAGCCAGGCATGGTGGCATGTCCCTGTGGTCCCAGCTACTTAGGAGGCTGAGGTGCGAGGATCGCTTGAGCCCAGGAGGTCAAGGCTGCAGTGAGCTATGACACACCACTGCACTCTAGCCTTGGTGACAGAGCAAGACCCTGTCTCAAAAAAGAAAGAAAGAAAGAAAGAAAACAAAATTCTCAGGCAGAAAGAGGATGTCTAGTACAGTCAGGAATCATGAGAAGGCCAGTGTGTGAAGAGGAAACAGAGGTGAGAAGGGAGATTGGAATGGTCATCATAGCACTCAGTAAGTCACACTGGACAGACCAACACTGAGACTGAGGCTACCTCACACCCCTTCTGTTTTTGGTTCTTGCTCAGCCCTAGATATACACAATTACTCTGCCACAACCACTCTCTAGAACCTGGAATTCTGGAAGGTACTAGCTCACTACTAACATATTGGAATGTAGTAAGTTCCTTTCCCCTTTTCTCCCTCCCTTACATTTCAAAGCACTTTTTTTTCGAATCCTCCTGCTACTGGCAAAATGTGGTGCAGGAGTTCCATTAAGAGACAGCTGCAGGCCGGGCATGATGGCTCATGCCTATAATCCCAACACATTGGGAGGCAGAAGCGGGTGGATGACTTGAGCTCAGGAGTTGGAGACCAGCTTGGGCAACATGGCGAGACCACACCTCTACTAAAAATATAAAAATTAGCCAGGCCTGGTAGCATACATCTATATAGTCCCAGCTACTCGGGAGGCTGAGGTGGGGAGGATCGCTTGAGCCTGGGAGGCGGAGAGTGCAGTGAGCTGAGATTGCACCAATGCTCCAGCCTGGGTGACAGAGCAAGATTCTGTCTCAAAAAAATAAATAAATAGGCCAGGCGCAGTGGCTCATGCCTGTAATCCCAGTACTTTGGGGGGCCGAGGCGGGCAGATCACCTGAGGTCAGGAGTTCGAGACCAGCCTGACCAACATGGATAAACCCCATCTCTACCAAAAATACAAAGTTAGCCTGGTGTGGTGGTACATGCCAGTAATCCCAGCTACTCGGGAGGCTGAGGCAGGAGAATCGCTTGAACCCGGGAGGTGGAGGTTGCAGTGAGCCGAGATCGTGCCATTGCACTCCAGCCTAGGCAACAAGAGTGAAACTCCATCTCAAAAAAAAATATTAAATTAAATAAATAAAAATAAAAAATAAACAAAATCCATTAACCATAAAATGAAATACTTAACTAACTGTATAAAAATTTTAAAACCTTCAGGAGACTGACGCAGGAGAATCAACCCGGAGGCAGAGGTTGCAGTAAGCCAAGATCAGGCCACTGCACTCCAGCCTGGGTGGCAGAGCCAGACTCCGTCTTAAAAAAAAAAAAAATTTAAAACCTGGCTGG
Source organism: Homo sapiens (assembly GCF_000001405.40). NCBI lineage: Eukaryota > Metazoa > Chordata > Mammalia > Primates > Hominidae > Homo > Homo sapiens. The sequence goes on along the minus strand of NC_000007.14, from coordinate 99,510,227 downwards.
GCACAGTGGCTCACACCTGTAACCCCAGCACCTTGGGAGGCCAACGCAGGAGGATCCCTTGAGCCCAGGAGTTCCAGACCAGGCTAGGCAACTAGGCAAGACCTCATCTACAAAAAAATTTTTGTTTAATTAGCTGTATGTGGTGGCAAGTGCCTGTAGTCCTAGCTACTCAAGAGGATCACTTGAGGCCAGGAGTTCGAGGCTGCAGTGAGCTATGATTGTGCCACTGCACTCCAGCCTGGACAACGGAGTGAGGCCCTATCTCTAAAAAAAGAAAACATGAAAAACAAAAACCTCCACAAGCGAACACAAACAACAAATTGGATAAATAACGCTTACAACTCCTATGACAGACACAATGCTTATTGTTTCCAAAAGGTAAAAAAATATAGATAAGGAATATAAACAGACAATTCACCACCATAAAAGGGTATACAAATAATCTTTAAAAATATATGCTGTGGCCGGGCACAGTGGCTTACACCTGTAATCCCAGCACTTTGGGAGGCCGAGGTGGGCAGATCACGAAGTCAGGATATCGAGACCATCCTGGCTAACACGGTGAAACCCCGACTCTACTAGAAATACAGGAAATTAGCCGGGCATGGTGGCGTGTGCCTGTAGTCCCAGCTACTTGGGAGGCTGAGGCAGGAGAATGGCATGAACCCGGGAGGTGGAGCTTGCAGTGAGCAGAGATCACGCCACTGCACTCCAGCCTAGGCAACAGAGTGAGACTCTGTCTCAAAAAAAAAAAAAAAGTGCTGTGGTCAAACAAAAGAAATTTAATTGAAATTTCACAGATATGGTCAGGCGTGGTGGCTCACACCTGCAATCCCAGCACTTTGGGAGGCCAAGGCAGGTGGATCACCTGAGGTCAGGAGTTTGAGAACATCCTGGCCAACATGGTGAAACACCATCTCTACTAAAAATACAAAAATTAAGCCGGGCATGTGGCTTACGCCTGTAATCCCACCACTTTGGAAGGCAGAGCCAGGAGTATCACCTGAGGTCAGGAGTTTAAGACCAGCCTGGCCAACATGGCGAAACCCTGTCTCTACTAAAAATACAAAAATTAGCTGGGCATGGTGGTGCATGTCTGTAATCCCAGCTACTCGGGAGGCTGAGGCAGGAGAATCACTTGAACCCAGGAAGCTGAGGTTGCAGTGAGACAAGATCGCACCACTGCACTCCAGCCTGGGTGACAGAGTGAGACTCCACCTCAAAAAAATAAAAATAAAAAAACTAAAAAAATTAGCCAGGCGGTAGTGGCACATGCCTGTAATCCCAGCCACTTGGGAGGCTGAAGCAAGAGAATTGCTTGAGCCTGGGAGGTGGAGGGTAAGCCAAAATTGCACCATTGCACTACAGTCTGGGTGACAGAGTAAGACCTTGTCTCCAAAAAAAAAAAAAAAGAAAGAAAGAAAGAAAGAAAGAAAAATTTCACAGAAATAAAATATTGTATCTTTTTTTTTTTTTTTGAGATGGGAGTCTCGCTCCATCGCCCAGGCTGGAGTGCAGTGGCGCAATCTCGGCTCACTGCAACCTCTGCCTCCCAAGTTCAAGCGATTCTACTGCCTCAGCCTCCCAAGTAGCTGAGACTACAGGTGCATGCCACCACACCCAGCTAATTTTTGTATTTTTAGTAGAGACGGGGTTTCACCATGTTGGCCCGGATGGTCTTGATCTGACCCCATGATCCACCCGCCTCAGCCTCCCAAAGTGCTGGGATTACAGGCGTGAGTCACCATGCCCGGCCAATATTGCATCTTATGTACTGGCAATCATGACCAATTTTGATAACATTGTTCTACCAGGCTATGGCCACAAAATTTCTCTCATACATTGTTGGTGGTACTCTAAATTGTTATACCCTCTATGAGGGAACCAACCTGTCAACAGCTATCAAAATTACAAATGTACTTTTTTTTTTGAGATGGAGTCTCGCTCTGTTGCCAGGCTGGAGTGCAGTGGCACAATCTCGGCTCACTGCAACCTCCGACTCCCAGGTTCAAGCGATTCTCCTGCCTCAGCCTCCCGAGTGCCTGGGATTACAGGTGCGTGCCACCACGCCCGGCTAATTTTTGTATTTTTTAGTAGAGATGGGGTTTCACCATGTTGGCCAGGATGGTCTCGATCTTCTGACCTCATGAACTGCCCACCTCGGCCTCCCCAAGTGCTGGGATTACAGGCATGAGCTACCGTGCCCGGCCTACACATGTATTTCTAAGCCAACAATTTTGAGTTTCAAGCATTCCTTCTACAGTTAATTTTATATACATATATTTTTTCAATTTAAATTTTTTTAACTTTTTACTTTTTTTTGAAATAGGGTATGCCTCTGTCACACAGGCTGGAATACAGTGGCAAAATCACAGCTCACTGCAGCCTCAAACTACCAGGTTCAAGGGATCCTGCTGCCTCAGCCTCTTGAGTAGCTGGAAGTATAAGTGCATGCCACCACACCCAGCTAATTTTTTGTTTGGTTTTTCTGGTAGAGATGGGGTCTCGCTATGCTACCCAGGCTGATGTGGAACTCCTGGTCTTAAGTGATCCTCCCACCTCAGGTGCCCAAAATGCTGGGATTACAGGTGTGAGCCACTGCGCCCAGCCTATATATATACATATATATATACACACACACATAAATATACACATATATATACACATATATATACATATATATACATATATATATACACATATACATATATACACACATATATATACACATATATACATATATACACATATATACACATATATACGCATATATATACATATATACGCAAACACATACATTATGTATATTACATACACACATATATACAGACATATATGTGAGATAGTCATTGCAGCAAAGTTTGTTATAATACAAATTTAGAAACAATCTCAAGGAACAATTTAAATGGAACAACTCAAACTCCTTCCATAAAAGTTAATACAATGCAATTTCAGAGAGTGAGATAGCTGCAATGGCAGTGGCGTGGAAGAAACCAAGATATAAGAAAAAAGAGGCAGAAGTGCACAGTGACTTAAAAGACATTTGCGTTTTTCCAAAGTATGAGACGTATATATGCTTATACATACAGAATATGGTACAGCTCTGTAAGAATACACAGGTGAGAACTAGGCAGTTGAGAGAAATTGGGGATGGGAGGAAAACTTACTTTTCATTACAACCTTATGTACCTCTTTGAATTTTGTATCATGTCACTCAAAAAATAAATACAGTGGCCGGGCATGGTGGCTCACGCCTGTAATCCCAGCACTTTGGGAAGCCGAGGTGGGAGGATCACGAGGTCAGGAGATCGAGACCATCCTGGCTAACACGGTGAAACCCCGTCTCTACTAAAAATACAAAAAAAAAAAAAAAAAAAATTAGCCGGGCCTGGTGGCGGACGCCTGCAGTCCCAGCTACTCCGGAGGCTGAGGCAGGAGAATGGCGTGAACCCGGGAGGCGGAGCTTGCAGTGAGCCGAGATCGCACCACTGCACTCCAGCATAGGCGACAGAGCGAGACTCCGTCTCAAAAATAAATAATTAAATAAATACAGTAATTTAAAAAATAAATAAGATCGCAGATTGTCTTCTACAGGTTAACACACTGGATATTGCTTCTCTTTGCTGGAGTGGCAGGAAGTCACAGGGTACCTAATCCCAGGAGAACAAAAGAATATGAATGAAGCAGCAGAGGACTAAGAATCTCACCCCTGCTCAGCAGATGGTTCACTCCTCTCCTTCATTGCTCATATAGCTTCTCTTTGACTCACCTGCTGTCTGCGTTCCTCAAGTTCTCGCTGTATATTTTCTATCACGGCCACCGCCTCTTCTCCACTTTCAGGGTGATGTTCCCTCACCCAGGGCTGGAACTCTTCAGGCAGGATGGTCAGGAACTGCTCCAGCACCAGCAGCTCCAGGATCTGCTCCTTCGTGTGCAGCTCGGGCCTCAGCCACTCACAGCAGAGCACCCGGAGTTGGCTGAGAGCCTCCCGGGGTCCTGAAGCCTCATGGTACTGGAAGTGCCTGAAGCGCTGGTAAAAAGTCTCAAACGTTGGCGGGTTGTACTCCTGCATCCAGGTGCAGTCTTCTTCTTCCACCTTCACTATGAAAAGGTCTTCCTGCTCCTGGGAAGTCTCAGCTGGGGGGTCTAAGTCTATAACTTCTCGGGATTCGGTCATTATCATTCCAACTCAGAGGGAAGTCTTCGAGGCTGGCTGTGTTACACTGAAACAATTGTTTTTCTGCTCTTTAATATCTTCTGAAGGACACTTTCAGTAGCATGCAACCTACTGATGTATTGGGCATCATTATTAGCAAAGACAGATGGCAAAGAGGTCATCTATACTAAAGACGACCACTCAACAAAGTAATTTACTTAAAAATAGGTACTACAAGGTAGCCATCACTTCACCCACAAAATGATAATAAGGAATAACCCCAACATTTTAAAAGTGTAAAAGAGAGCCATACAAATCTGACATCAGGCCCAACCTAAAACACAGTTTTAGAGTGAAGAACTTTACATTCCATATAAATAACGGGACGAGACTAACTAGTCCAGACGCAGCCGCTCTTTCTCTCTACCATAAGACGAACTTAAGTCGGAATAAGGGTGAAAATCATTATAATGGTCAAAACTGAGCCTGTTCTCTAAGCTACAAGAGCTTGACAGGCCAAGGGGAGACTCCATCGGTCCCAAAGAGAAGCAGCGTTTATAAGGTACAGATCTGGACCTGGATTCCTCAGAATGGCCCCTGACCCCGAGATACAGAGACTGTGGCCCGGTCAAGGTTAGGGACAGGACCCCCGTCCAGTCACGAAGCCCCTGCCCCCTCCCCTCAAGGCCCCACTCTAGGGGAGCTCTCCTGGAACATCAAGCTCCCCGCAGCCGAGGCTGGGAAGATGCGGTTCTTCCCACGGAGAGAAACCGAAGCCGACACTCCCCAACACTTCCTCGCCGGAAGTAACCAAGTCCAATCTTGCCCTGTCCAACGGGGTTAAACCGTTAGATCCCACCCCCCCCCGAAAGCACTTCCGCGTCCTCTCTAGGAATCCCGGAGGACCTCACCTCGCACGGGGGGCGGACCAATCGGCGGGGAGATGGGACGCGGGCCCCGAGTCCCAGCCCACCCTCAGTGACTCGGACGTCTCCAGGGCCCCCGAAGCCGCTCGCACAGCATCACCAAAGCGGGGAGGCAAACGGAGCCACTCTCTCCCCTGCTCCATCCCAAAGCCATTCAAACAGCCCAAGCTCCTCCCCTTTCCGTGGGGCGGGGAAGGGGGCGGGGCCTCCAGAGTTGGGCTGAGGTTGCTCGTGTCTGATTGGCCGGGGAGCTTGCGCCTTCCCCCACCCCCAACGCTCTGCGCCCCGATTTGAAGTAGGTCTGTACCTTGCTGACAGCCCGCAAACCTCGCTTATGTTGAATTTGGGGCCCTTAGGTTTTCTTCACCCGCATCCTCGCTACTCTCACCACCCACTTTCCAAACAAACCCACCTCTTGACCACCGCAGTCGGCTCAGAAGGCCGACATCTTCAACGTCACACCCGCGAGTCGCAGGGGCCAGCTGTTCCCGGAACTACATCTCCCAGGAGGTGGCGCGCGGGACTCGCCGGTTGGCCAATGGGGGGCGGCTCTCTTTGCAGCCTCGGTCTCGCGAGCCTATCAGAAGGTGGCAGGGCCCGGAGTCGTGTCCTCGGGAGCCAAGGCTGGAAGGCTGGGAGTGGGCGGAGGGAGCGGGGCATCCCTTTGAAGAGAGGGGCGTTGCTTACGCAGGGCTTCCCTGGCCAAGGGGGTCTCGTCCTTAATGATACCTCTCTTCAGCCAGGCGCGGGGTCCCACGCTTGTAAGCCTAGCTAGTGGACAGGCTGAAGAAGCAGGATCGCTTGAGCCCAAGAGTTCGAGACCAGCTCGGGCAACATAGCGAGACCCCTGTCTATTAGAAATACCCTCCCTTGGCCGGGCTCGGTGACTCACACCTGTAATGCCAGCACTTTGGGAGGCCGAGGTGGGTGGATCACCTGAGGCCAGGAGTTCGAGACCAGCCTGGCCAACATGGTGAAACCCCGTCTCTACTAAAAATACAAAAACTTAGCTGGGCGTGGTGGCGCGAGCCTGTAATCTCAGCCACTTGGGAGGCTGAGGCAGGAGAATCACTTGGACCCGGGAGGCTGAGGATGCAGTGAGCCGGGATCGCACCATTGCACTCCAGCCTGGGCAACATAGTGAGACCCCATCTCTTAGTAATAATCTCCCGTTTTTGTTTTGTTTTGTTTTGTTTTTTGAGACGGAGTCTCGTTGTCCCCCAGGCTGGAGTGCAATGGCACGATCTCGGCTCACTGTAACCTCTGCTCCCAGGTTCGGGCAATTCTCCTGCCTCAGCCTTTCGAGTAGCTGGGATTACAGGCACACTCACCACGCCCGGCTTATTTTGTATTTTTAGTAGAGACGGGGTTTCCCCATGTTGGCCAGGCTGGTCTCGAACTCCTGACCTCAGGTGATGCGCCCGCATCGACCTCCCAGTGCTCTCCTTTTCATATGGTGCTTTATAGTTTCCAGGCCCCAGCCCTCCCCTCCCCCTACGCCCCGCGCAGTTTACAAAGTTGATGGGCAGGCAGGAGAAGAGTTACTGTTGCCACTGTTTTACAGGCGCGAAGGAAGGAACTGCTGTGAAATTGCAGCATCTGCAAAAAGATGAGAAGATATTTAGAAGTTAAAGGTCTCTTTTCAGGGAGCCCAAAATCTTGCATTTTAAGTAGCTTCCTATCTAGGACCAAACCCCCGGTGAATGTTTGCAATGCCCGTATTTTGTGTGTTAGTGAGTTGGTATAGAATTTTGCACCTATGGCTTAATTTTGTTGCTCGTATAAAGTTGTTTAATGTCTATGAAAGTTGTTCCAGATGGGCATGGTGGCTCACGCCTGTAATCCCAACATTTTGGGAGGCCGAGGTGAGAGGATCACTAGAATCCAGGAGTTGAAGACCAGCCTGGCCTTTTTACCCCGTCTCTACAAAAAATAAAATAAAATTAGCTAGGCATGGTGGCACATGCCTATAGTCTCAGCTACTCAGCAGGCTGAGACTGGAGGATCACTTGAATTCAAGAGGTTGAGGCTGCAGTGAGTTATGATTGTGCCATTGCACTTCAGCACCTCAGTGACAGAGACACCCCGTCTCAAAAAAAAAAATGTTTGGTGGATACCCATTCTTTTCTAATATATTTACCTCCATTTAAATGATTTATTTATTTGTTTGTTTATCTATTTATTTTTTTGAGACGGAATCTCACTCTGTCGCCCAGGCTGGAGTGCCGTGGCATGATCTCGGCTCACTGCAACCTCCGCCTCCCGGGTTCAAGCGATTCTCCTGCCTCAGCCTCCTGAGTAGCTGGGATTACAGGTGTGTGCCACCACACCTGGATAACTTTTTGTATTTTTAGTAGAGATGGGGTTTCACCGTGTTACCCAGGATGGTCTCCATCTCCTGACCTCGTGATCTGCCTGCTTCGGCCTCCCAAAGTGCTGGGATTACAGGCGTGAGCCACCGCAACCGGTTTGAATTATTTATAAACACCTTTTGCATTTCAATAATTTATTTCTTAAATAGATAACACATTTGCATGAGTCAAAATTCAATAAGGCACTTAAGGTCTTCCTCTCATTCTCATTCTACATTCATTTTTCTCTCTAGAGATAGCCAAGATGACTAGTTTCCTTTTTTTTTTTTTTTTTTTTTTTTTTTGAGATGGTTTTGCTGGTTGCCTAGGCTGGAGTGAATGGCACGATCTTGGCTTAGTGAACCTCTGCCTCCTGGGTTCAAGTGATTCTCCTGCCTCAGCCTCCCGAGTAGCTGCGATTACAGGCATGCGCCACCATGCCCGGCTAATTTTGTATTTTTTAGTAGAGACGAAGTTTCTCCATGTTGGTCAGGCTGGTCTTGAACTCCCGACCTCAGGTGATCCCCTCGCCTCGGCCTCCCAAAGTGCTGGGATTACAGGCGTGAGCCACCGCACCTGGCTCCATAAGAGATATTTTTATGTCTAGTTATTAAACACACCTGGATTGATAAATAGTGTTCGGTTTGTTTGGGCGTGGGGTGGGGAGGGGGATTGCTTGAACCCAGGAGGCAGAGGTTGCAGTGAGCCGAGGTCAGGAAATCAAGACCATCCTGGCTAACATGGTGAAACCCCGTCTCTACTAAAAATACAAAAAATTAGCTGGGTGTGGTGGCACGCGCCTGTAATCCCAGCTACTTGGGAGGCTGAGATAGGAGAATCGCTTGAACCCGAGCGATACTCCCTCTCAAAAAAAAATTTTTTTATTTTTATATGGAGACACATCCTCTCTATGTTGCTCAGGCTGGCCTGGAACTCCTGGTCTCAAGCGATCGTCTCATTTTATGCAAGTTGCAAATCACCAGCAGCTTGACATCAACCAAGACACTTTGTTTTAGAGACAGAGTCTTGCTCTGTCACCCAGGCTGGAGTGCACTGGTGCGATCATATCTCACTGCAGTCTTTACCTCCTGGGCTCAAAGGATCCTCCCACCTCAGCCTCCCAAGTAAGTGGTGTATCCTGAGTTGGTTCCTTCCAGTGGGTTCATCCTCTCGCTGACTTCAAGAATGCAGCCTCCGACCTTCACTGTGTTACAGCTCTTAAAGATGGCACGGACCCAAAGAGTGAGTAGCAGCAAGATTTATTGTGAAGAGCGAAAGAACAAACCTTCCACAGCATGGCAGAGCACTCCAGCCGGTTGCCTCCGCTGACTGGGGTGGGAGCTTTTAGTCTCTTATTTGTCCCCTCCCATGTCCGTTTCTGTCGTATCAGAACGCCCTTTTTTCCATCCTCCCTGCGATTGGCTGCTTTTAGAATCCTGCTGATTGGTCCATTTTACAGAGCGCTGATTGGTGCATTTTACAAACCTCTTGCTAGCTACAGAGCGCTGATTGGTGCATTTTTACAAACCTCTTGTAAGACAGAAAAGTTGTCCAAGTCCCCACTGGACCCAGGAAGTCCAACTAGCTTCACCTCTCACTGGGACTACAGGTGTGCACCACCACACCCAGCTAATTTTTTATTTTTTGTAGACATTGGGGTCTCCAATTCTTGGCTTCAAGCGATCTTCCCCCCTCAGCCTCCCAAAATGCTGGGATTACAGGCATACGCCACTGAGCCAGGCCAGGACACATCTTTGAGCCTCAATTTCCTCATCTTTTTTGTTTGTTTGTTAGGATCAAAGTCGTTAACATCTGATGTACATGGAAGCACTTAGTTTTAAAAAAAAAACAAAACTTTTTCCAACTGGGCGCAGCGGCTCACGCCTGTAATCCAGCACTTTGGGAGGCCGGGGCAGGCGGATCACGAGGTCAGGAGTTCCAGACCAGCCTGACCAACATGGTGAAACCCCATCTCTACTAAAATACAGAAAGTAGCCGGGCATGGTGGCGCGCGCCTGTAGTCCAAGCTACTCAGGAGGCTAAGACAGCCTGGCGACAGAGCGAGAGTCCGCCTGAAAAAAGAAAAAAAAACAACTTTGTCCAACCTGGGCAATATAATGAAACCCCATCCCCACAGAAAAATTAATAAACCGGGCGTGGTCGCGCGCACCTGTAGTCCTAGATACTTGGGAGGCTGAAGCTGGAGAATTGCTTGAACCCGGGAGACAGAAGTTGCAGTGAGCCGAAATCGCGCCACTGCAGTCCAGCCTGGGCGACAGAGCCAGACCCTGTCTATTTAATCCTGAAGGTTCCCGCCCTTGCCGGAGCTCGGCCACCGGCTCGGACGCCCGTATTTCCTCGGGATGCGGGAAACCGTCAAGACCCTCTGCGTCGGGCGGGGCTAGGACGATAAACCAGCGAGATGCACCTCACCCCATCAGGCGCCTAGAGAGGCCCCGGAAATGCAGGGAAAGGTGCCGCAAGGCCTCGATGACGCGCTTCCGGCACGGGATGTTTTCGGTTGTTTGACCGAGAGAGTTGTAGGCGCAAAGCTGAGGAAAGGAGAGTGTGGAGAGGGGCCTGGTGTGGTGGGGCCCGGTGTTTGGGACCGGAGGGTGTTGACGGCTGATGAGTTCCTTGGGTTTGCTCTTTCTTCACCTGAAAAGAAGACTCCAGGAAGGGCAGCACATGCCGGAGAAAGATGAATTCCAGCTTGACCGCCCAGAGGCGCGGCAGTGACGCCGAGTTGGGACCCTGGGTGATGGCTGCGAGGTCCAAGGACGCGGCGCCGTCCCAACGCGACGGACTTTTGCCCGTGAAAGTGGAGGAAGACTCACCCGGAAGTTGGGAGCCCAACTATCCCGCGGCTTCGCCGGACCCCGAAACTTCTCGACTGCACTTTAGGCAGCTGCGTTACCAGGAGGTGGCTGGACCGGAAGAGGCGCTGAGCCGGCTCCGAGAACTCTGTCGTCGGTGGCTGAGACCCGAGCTGCTCTCCAAGGAGCAGATCCTGGAGCTGCTGGTGCTGGAGCAGTTCCTCACCATCCTGCCCGAGGAGCTTCAAGCCTGGGTGCGAGAGCACTGCCCAGAGAGCGGGGAGGAGGCGGTGGCCGTGGTGCGGGCTCTGCAGCGAGCGCTCGATGGAACCTCATCCCAGGTGAGAAGCGAAAGGCCTGTTCTGGAGGTGGGAGTGTGGAAAATAGGCGTTTAGGGGTGCTCTGCGTTTCGGAACTTACTTCCTTATTACATTTCGTGTGAACATTGGGGTGTGTATGGACTTCCTTTCTGTAGGCCACAGTGACAGATCCATCCAGGAAATGACTTGTTATAGACCTCAGCATAAAGCGAACACGGATTACTGGTTTTCTTTCTTTTTCTTTTCTTTTTTTTTTTTTTCTTGTTGTTCTTGCTGTTGTTTGAGATGGAGTTTCACTCTTGTTGCCCAGGCTGGAGTGCAATGGCGCGATCTCGGCTCGCTGCAACCTCTGACTCCCGGGTTCAAGCGATTCTCCTGCCTCAGTCTCCCGAGTAGCTGGGATTACAGGCGCCCGCCACCACGCCCGGCTAATTTTTGTATTTTTAGTAGAGACGGGGTTTCACTGTGTTGGCCAGGCTGGTCTCGAACTCCTGACCTCAGGTGATCCGCCCGCCTCGGCCTCCCAAAATGCTGGGATTACAGGCGTGAGCCACCGCGCCCGGCCTTGTTTACTTTTAATCTGTATCATATTTCCATTCCCATACATCACAGTGATATAAGTTAAAGAAATATTTTGCTCCTACCTACCTCCAAAATTAGTGTAAATAGTCCACAGAAAGGCTTTTCAGGATTACAAGAGAATGTCAGCCTCTATCTCTGATCTCTCCAAACTCCCTTGTCGGTACAAGACTCAAGAAGAGTGTTAGTGCTGTACAGGGACAGCAGGTACTGAATGGGGCTCTTGTGTTGTTCCAGGGGATGGTGACTTTCGAGGACACGGCTGTGTCTCTAACCTGGGAGGAGTGGGAGCGCCTGGACCCAGCACGGAGGGACTTCTGCAGAGAGAGTGCGCAGAAGGATTCCGGGAGCACAGTTCCGCCGAGTGAGTGCTGTTGCTCTGCTGGTTTATTGCGGTGTGTGGTTTGTGAAGGGCTGGTTCACTACCATCCCTGAGCCACTATGCCATTCCCAGACTTGGGCTGAGAGCCTTCAGGTGCCTTCTGTAACGCAAGCAGGAGCCTCTGTACTGCTAGGTGCTAGATTCAGCTTTTTACTTTGGTTCATTTTTAATGTTTTATACATACAGAAAACTATATAAAAAAAAGATAATGACCATCCCCTGTGTCTACCACCCAAGTTTATCAGATCTTAATACTTGGCCATATTGCCAAGGAAATAGTATGTTACAGCTGTAGGTGAGGCCCCCACATAGCCTCCCTGAAACCCTTCCCCTCTATCCTTCTCCAGAGGTAGCCAGTAAGCTGACTGTTGTGTTCATGACTTCCATGCATGTCTTATATTGTCTCTACATAGACACGTAGCTCCACGCTGTATATCATTACTGTATGGCTTTTTTTACTCAACATTACATTTTTGAGATTTACTCATGTTGATGCATGGAGCTCTACCTATTTCACGGTCCAGATACTCCAGAATTCTCTCCATTTCTGTTGATGGACATTTAGGTGTCTTAAGTTTTTAACCATTACAGCATTGCACCGAACATTCTTGTATATTCTTGCATATCTTTGTATATTTGTTTCTATGTTGGAGTTTTTGAAGAGAATATGCCTAGAGACAGGCAGTAGTCCCCCCTTCCTGGTTTTGCTTTCTGCGGTTTCACTTACCCACAGTACAATCAGATATTTTAAGACAGGGAGAGACCACATTCACATGACTTTTATTAAGTATAGCATTTGTTTTTCGTTTTTTATCTTTGGCTTTGGGGGTTTTTTTGAGATGGAGTTTTACTCTTGTTGCCCAGGGGGAGTGCAGTGGTGTGGTCTCAGCTCACTGCAACTTCTGCCTCCCAAGCCAAGCAATTCTCCTGCCTCTGTCTCCCGAGGAGCTGGAATTACAGTTATGCCCCACCATGCTCAGCTAATTTTGTGTTTTTAGTAGAGATGGGGTTTCACCATGTTGGCCAGACTGGTCTTGAACTCCTTACCTCAGGTGATCCTCCTGCCTCAGCCTCCCAAAGTGCTGGGATTACAGGTGTGAGACACCAAACCTAGCTAAGTATATTGTTATAATTAATAGTTACTGTTAATCTCTTAATGTCCCTAATTTATTAATTAAACTTGATTAAAGGGATGTACATATAAGGAAAAACATTATAGGCCAGGCACGGTGGCTCACGCCTGTAATCCCAGCACTTTGGGAGGCCGAGGCGGGCAGATCATGAGGTCAGGAGATTGAGACTATCCTGGCTAACACGGTGAAACCCTGTCTCTACTAAAAAATACAGAAAAAAGAATTAGCCAGGCGTGGTGGCAGGCGCCTGTAGTCCCAGCTACTCGGGAGGCTGAGGCGGGAGAATGGCGTGAACCTGAACCTGGGAGGCGGAGGTTGCAGTGAGCCGAGATCGTGCCACTGCACTCCAGCACTCCAGCCTGGGTGACAGAGCAAGACTCCGTCTCAAAAAAAAAAGAAAAAACATTTTATATATATATATACATATATATATATATATATACACACACACACACACACACACACACACACACACACGTATGTATGTATATACATATATATACACATATATATATAGGCTTTGGTACTATACACAATTTCAGGCATCACTGGGGGACTTGGAACGTGTCCCCACAGAGAAGAGGGAACAACTGTATGTTCATCTTGCTCTCCAAAGAGCCCATAACTAATGTATATGCCACCAGCAATACTAATAATTTTTCTTTCTCCATATTCTTGTCAACATTTGCTGTTGGCTGGGTACGGTGGCTCACACCTGTAATCCTAGCACTTTGGGAGGCCCAGATGGGAGGATTGTTTGAGGTCAGGAGCTCAAGACCAGCCTGGGCAACATAGCGAGACCCCATCTCTTTAAAAAAAAAAATTAATAAAAAAAATAGTAATACATTTTGGCCGGGCGTGATAGCTCAGGCCTGTAAATCTCAGCACTTTGGGAGGCCGAGGTGGGCAGATCATGAGGTCAGGAGTTCAAGACCAGCTTGGCCAACATAGTGAAACACCGTCTCTACTAGAAATACCAAAAATTAGCCGGACCTCTGATGCCTGATGTGCAGGGGCCCTGGCACCCTGCTCACCCACCCATCCCTTCTGCTGCCCTTTGCCTGCTCTGGCCACACTGCCTTGCTGCTCCAAAATATGCCAGGCCCCGCTGCCTCCTGGTCTTTGTGCTATGTGACCGCTCTGCCTGGAATATTCTACTCTACTCTGTAGGAAGCAAAGTTTCAGGGCTTTGCTCAAATTGCTCCCTTGTGCCGGGTGTGGTGGCTCATACCTGTAATCCCAGCACTTTGGGAGACCGAGGTAGCTCACACCTATAACCCTAGCACTTTGGGAGGCCGAGGCAGGTGAATCACTTGAGGTCAGGAGTTCGAGACCAGCCTGGCCAACATGGTAAAACCCCGTCTACTAAAACACCTACTAAAATACCTACTATAATACCTACTAAAATACCTACTATAATACCTACTAAAATACCTACTATAATACCTACTAAAATACCTACTAAAAATACAAAAATTAGCCAGGCCAGTTAATGGGCACCTGTAATTACAGCTACTCAGAAGGCTGAGGCAGGAGAATCACTTGAACCTGGGAGGTGGAGGTTGCAGTGAGCCGAGATCACGCCATTGCACTCCAACCTGGGTGACAGAGTGAGACTCTGTCTCAAAAAGATAAAATAAATAGGCTGGGTGCAGTGGCTCATGCCAGTAATCCCAACACTTTGGGAGGCCAAGGCAGGTGGATCACCTGAGGTCAGGAGTTTGAGACCAGCCTGACCAACATGGTGAAACCCCATCTCTACTAAAAATACAAAAATTAGCCGGGTGTGGTGGCACGTTGCCTGTAATCCCAGCTACTCTCAAGGCTGAGGCAGGGGAATTGCTTGAACCTGGGGGGCAGAGGTTGCAGTGAGCTGAGATCACTCCACTGCACTCCAGCCTTGGCAACAAGAGCGAAACTCCATCTCAAAAAAATAAAATAGCTGGGTGTGGTGGCTCACGCCTGTAATCGCAACACTTTGCAAGGCCGAGGGGGGTGGATAACAAGGTCAGAGGAGTTCGAGACCATCCTGGCCAAGATGGTGAAACCTCGTCCCCACTAAAAATACAAAAAAATTAGCCGGGTGTGGTGGTGGGTGCCTGTAATCCCAGCTACTTGGGAGGCTGAGGCAGGAGAATCACTTGAACCTGGGAGGCAGAGGTTGCAGTGAGCTGAGATCATGCCACTGCACTCCAGCCTAGGCAACAGAGCAAGACTCCATCTCAAAAATAAAATAAGATACGATAAAATAAAATATAGGCTGGGTGCTGTGGCTCACGCCTGTAATCCCAGAAGTCTGGGAGGCCGAGGCAGGCGGATCACGAGGTCAGGAGTTCAAGACCAGCCTGGCCAATATGGTGAAACACTGTCTCTACTAAAACTAGCAAAATTAGCACCTGTAATCCCTGCTACTTGGGAGGCTGAGGCAGGAGAATCACTTGAACCCAGGTGGCAGAGGTTGCAGTGAGCCGAGATCATGCCACTGCACTCCAGCCTGGGCAACAGAGTGAGACTCCATCTCAAAATAAATAAATAGCAACAGAGTAATACTCTGTCTCAAAATAAATAAATAGGGAGGCTGAGGCGAGCGGATCATGAGGTCAAGAGATAGAGACCATCCTGGCCAACATGGTGAAACCCCATCTCTAATAAAAATACAAAAATTAGCTGGGTGTGGTGGCGTGCACTTGTAATGCCAGCTACTTGGGAGGCTGAGGTAGGATAATCAGTTGAACTCGGGAGGCAGAGGTTGCAGTGAACTGAGATCGGACCACTGCACTCCAGCCTGGTGACAAAGCAAGACACCGTCTCAAAAAATAAATTAATTAATTAAAAAGTAAAAGGGGTTTGAGGGTTTAACATTCTGCCAGCACTTGCTTATTTCTGTGTTGCACAGGGATGCACTGGCAGGAATTTGTATTTTCACGTTTCAGGTTTGGAAAGCAGAGTGGAGAACAAAGAGTTGATTCCAATGCAACAAATTTTAGAAGAAGCGGAGCCACAGGGGCAACTACAAGAAGCGTTCCAGGGGAAGCGCCCCCTGTTTTCTAAGTGTGGCAGTACCCATGAGGACAGGGTGGAAAAGCAGTCCGGAGACCCCTTGCCCCTGAAACTTGAAAATTCTCCTGAAGCAGAAGGACTCAACAGCATCTCAGATGTCAATAAGAATGGTTCCATAGAAGGGGAAGACTCTAAAAATAATGAATTGCAGAACAGTGCCAGGTGTTCCAACCTTGTTCTATGTCAGCACATCCCGAAAGCAGAGAGGCCCACTGACAGTGAGGAACACGGGAACAAGTGCAAGCAAAGTTTCCACATGGTGACGTGGCACGTGCTGAAACCTCACAAGTCTGACAGTGGAGACAGTTTCCATCATTCCAGCCTTTTTGAGACCCAGAGGCAGCTCCATGAAGAAAGACCTTATAAATGTGGTAACTGTGGGAAGAGTTTCAAACAACGCTCTGACCTCTTTAGACACCAGAGAATCCACACAGGTGAGAAACCCTATGGCTGCCAAGAATGTGGGAAAAGCTTCAGCCAGAGTGCTGCCCTGACCAAGCACCAGAGGACACACACAGGCGAGAAGCCGTACACCTGTCTGAAATGTGGGGAGCGCTTCAGGCAGAATTCACACCTAAATCGTCATCAAAGTACCCACAGTAGAGACAAACATTTTAAATGTGAGGAATGCGGGGAAACCTGTCATATTTCCAACCTTTTTAGACATCAGAGACTACATAAAGGGGAAAGACCCTATAAGTGTGAAGAATGCGAGAAGAGCTTCAAACAGCGCTCTGACCTCTTTAAACACCACAGAATCCACACTGGGGAGAAGCCCTATGGATGTTCCGTCTGTGGGAAACGCTTCAATCAGAGTGCAACCCTCATTAAACACCAGAGAATTCACACTGGGGAAAAGCCTTACAAATGTCTTGAATGTGGGGAAAGATTTAGACAAAGTACACACCTTATCCGACACCAAAGAATTCATCAAAATAAAGTGCTGTCGGCTGGGCGTGGTGGCTCACGCCTATAATCCCAGCACTTTGGGAGGCCAAGGCAGGCAGATCATTTGAGATCAGGAGTTTGAAACCAGCCTGGCCAACATGGTAAAATCCTGTCTCTACTAAAAATACAAAAATGAGCCGGGCATGGTGGTGCATGCCTGTAAGCCCAGCTATTCGGGAGGCTGAGGTAGGAGAATCACTTGAACCCAGGAGGCGGAAGTTGCAGTGAGCTGAGATCATGCCACTGCACTCCAGCCTGGGCAACAGAGCGAGACTCCATCTCAAAAAAGAAATAAAGTGCTGTCATTTTGATATGTTTCTATGTGACTTGGCCTGTTTCTTTTCTTGTCCAGAACCACATTCCTTGCCATTTGGAGTATATCAGTCAATTATGGATCTTCCTTGAGTATCTCCTACAAGATAGGTTCAATCTGTCCTGAGCCTCATTACAGACTGATAGTTTCAGTGAGTGAGGAATGAGGAAGTAGGGGGCCTTCTGAAATGTGAGCTGATGCCAGGTAAGAGACTTCTGATGATAAGAGCCAGGCTGACATGTAACGGGGTTCTGTCCTTGTTATCTGCGCTCTACCTTTATGTATTATTTTTGAGACTGGGTCTCGTCGTAGCCCTCCAGCGGGAGCCCAGTGGTGTGATCGTGGTTCACTGTGGCCTCAACCTCCTGGGCTCAAGTGATCCTCTTGCCTTAACCTCCTGAGTAGCTGGGACCACAGGCACACACCACCACACCCAGCTTTTTTTTTTTTTTAAGAGATAGGGTCTTGCTATGTTGCCCAGGCTGGTCTCAACCTCCTGGGCTCAAGGAATCCTCCTGCCTCAGCTTCCCAAAGTGCTGGAATTACAGACACAAGCCACCACACCCAGCCTACCTTTATTTACTTTTTTTTTTTTTTTTTTTTTGAGATGGAGTCTCGCTCTGTCACCCAGGCTGGAGTGTAGTGGCATGATCTTGGCTCACTGCAACCTCCACCTCCTGGATTCAAGCAATTCTCCTGCCTCAGCCTTCCAAGTACTTGGGACTACAGGTGCACCATGCCATGCCCAGCTAATTTTTTGTATTTTAGTAGAGATGGGGTTTCACTGTGTTGCCTAGGCTGGTGGTGAACTCCTAAGCTCAGGCAGTCCGCCCACCTCAGCCTCCCAAAGTGCTGGGATTACACACGAGCCACCATGCCCGGCCTTTTTATTCACTTTTGAACCAAATCTTGCTCACTACAATTATTAATACTTGCCTAAGAATGTATTTTAGTCATTTAAAATTTGCCTTTGGCCTTAGATTGTAGAGAGGGTTTCAACTACTTCATAATCCCCAAAAGATCTGGTAAAGCTCAGTACTCAAAAGAAGCACTCTATTTTTCACTTTCCAGAAAACCTAATTTTGCATAGTCCCTCTTTCTTTCCCATTCTAGGAGCCTAGGAGTTCAGTTTTATGACTTGCTGATTTCTTTTTTTTTTTTTTTTTTTCTTGAGACGGAGTCTCGCTCTGTCGCCCAGGCTGGAGTGCAGTGGCGCAATCTCGGCTCACTACAAACTCCACCTCCCGGGTTCATGCCATTCTTCTGCCTCAGCCTCCTGAGTAGCTGGGACTACATGCACCCCCACCATGCCTTGCTAATTTTTTGTATTTTTAGTAGAGATGGGGTTTCACTGTGTTAGCCAGGATGGTCTGGATCTCCTGACCTCATGATCCGCCCGCCTTGGCCTCCCAAAGTGCTGGGATTACAGGCTGGAGCCACTGTGCCTGGCTTTTTTTTTTTTTTTTTTTTTTGAGACAGATTCTCTGTCGCCCAGGCTGGAGTGCAGTGGCATGATATCGGCTCACTGCAACCTCCGCCTCCCAGGTTCAAGCAATTCCCCTGCTTCAGCCTCCCGAGTAGCTGAGACCACAGGCACTCGCCACCACACCCGGCTGATTTTTTGTAGTGTAGTAGAGACAGGGTTTCACCATGTTGGCCAAGATGGTGTCTATCTCCTGACCTCGTGGTCCGCCCGCCTCAGCTTCCAAGTTTCTAATCATGCCTTGGTCTTTCCAGTTAGCCCCCAAGCTGAACCCATCGGAAATCCAAGAGTTGCCTTATTAGAACAAAGACATGCATCACTAAGGAAATTCCAATGGGTTTAACAGCTCTGTGTCAGGAACAAGTGTCAAAGACCAAATATGATAAGAAAAGATGCTCTTAGCACCCTTATCCCTCAGGAATTCTCCAAGGTTTGGGGAGCTCTCTGCTAGTCATTGAGGATGAAGACCAGATACATATTTATCATGATATCACAAGGCTTATTATACAAAATTTGAGTATTTCTTGCAGAAGTGAATAAAATAGAACATAAGAATCATCTCCAGTAAAGCAAGTGTGGTTGTCCTTTCCAGGTCCTGTGAAAATGAAGGGAAGAGAGTGTCTGCTCAGCTCCACTAGGGGCTCCCACCATCACGGTCAGGAGACCACTCTCTCCCTGATGTAGGTGAGCTGGGGCACGTGTAATAGAGGCCTCTGCTTGAAGGAATATCATCAGGAAACAGCAGTCAGGGCACTAGTGGCCCCTGACAAACACAGGGCAGAGCCCCGGGTCTAGTCTGGGTGTAGGTGGCTTCTGGGTGATAGTGGCTTCTCTTCCTCTAGGAACTGTTTGGAAACTGAAGAGTGTCTGGCCTGGACAGCACCTACACCTCCCTCTAAGTTTGAAGCCATCTCAGGATGGCTGCGCTTTGGATGTGACTGTTCATTTTCTATGGCTGAGTCTCTCTAGATTTGGCAGTTCCCTGTGGCTCAGTGAATTAGAAACAGTTCTCTCCTGTTTGTACCTTCTTTAAACATGAGGATTAATCTGAGTGACAAGTGCCTGAATGTCTGAACTGGTCATTGGAGAGAATCGTAAATACAAACTATCTTTTTTTTTAAAAAAAAAAAAAAAAAGGTCTCACTTTGTCGCCCAGTCTGGAGTGCAGTGGTGTGATCTTGGCTCACTTGCAGCCTCAACTTCCTGGGCTTAAGCGATCCTTCCACCTCAGCCTCCCAAGCAGCTGGGACTACAGGCATACAACCACCACACCCAGCTAATTTTTGTACTTTAAAAGTATGAGAGAGGCTGGGCACAGTGGTTCACGCCTGTAAGCCCAGCACTGGGAGGCCAAGGCTGGCAGATCACGAGGTCAGGCATTCAAGACCAGCCTGGCCAACATGGCGAACGAAACCCCATCTCTACTGAAAATACAAAAATTAGCTGGGCATGCTGACAGGCACCTGTAGTCCCAGCTACTCAGGAGGCTGATGCAGGAGAATCGCTTGAACCCAGGAGGCGGAGGTTGCAGTGAGCTGAGATCTCACCGCTGCACTCCAGCCTGGAAAACAGAGCGAGACTCGCCATCTCAAAAAAAAAAAAAAAAAAAAAAAAGATGAGGTTTTGCCATGTTGGCCAGGCTGGTCTCAAACTCCTGGGTTGAAGTGATCCACCTGCCTCAGCATCCCAAAGTGTTGGGGATTACAGGCATGACGCAGTGCACCTGGCCTGAGAGCAATATTTGTTTGTTTTTTTTGACACGGGGTCTCACTCTGTCGCCCAGGCTGGAGTGCAGTGGTGCAATCTTGGCTCCCTGCAACCTCCACCTCCCGGGTTCAAGCAATTCTCCTGTCTCAGCCTCCTGAGTAGCTGGAATTATAGGTGCCCACCACCACGCCCGGCAAATTAGAGCAATTTTTAATACAGACATAGGATGATGTTTAGGATATCCAAATAATTTAAATGGATCTCTTATATTGTTGAGCTCTAGGGAGAATACACTCAGCTCAACCTATTTAAACTGAATGTCAGAATGTGCTTAGAATAATTGTGGAAACAGAAGGGATATGGCTTCTCAGAGAACATAATTGACACTTTTTGAATACAAGTAGTTTATTTGTTGGGGAGAGGTTGCAACACTATTAGGGAAGGTGGAAGAGACAGAAGGGAAGTCACCCAATGAGGTATCTACCTTGGGTGAGTGCCTGTGTGCAATTCATGGGGAACCTCTGGAAACTAAAACACATGCTTCAGAGTTTTCCACACATGGGGAGATGGAGAATTTGGTGTTTATCAAATTCCCATCGATGATTGGTTGACAGCTGCTCCCAGAATGTGTTATTACCCCACAGGCCACAAGGTGCAGACACAGTCAGATGAAGCCCACAGAAGGTGTAAGGCCAGAGGGACTTCGGCAGGGCCCACGGCACCTATTACAAATATTGACTTACAACTCTTTTTTTTTTTTTTTCTTTTTTGAGATGGAGTCTTACTCTGTCACCGAGGCTGGAGTGCAGTGGCATGATCTCAGCTCACTGCAACCTCTACCTCCCAGGTTCAAGCGATTCTCCTGCCTCAGCCTCCTGGGTAGCTGGGACTACAGGCGCGCACCACCATGCTCGGCTAATTTTTGTATTTTTTAGTAGAGATGGGGTTTCACCATATTGGCCAGGCTGGTCTCAAACTCCTGACCTCGTGATCCACTCGCCTCAGCCTCCCAAAGTGCTGGGATTACAGGCGTGAGCCACTGCGCCGGGCTGACTTACAACTCTTATCAGAATCTAACATACTCATTTTAGATTATGGGCAACTTTTTTTTTTTTTTTTTTTTGAGATGGAGTCTTGGTCTGTCGCCCAGGCTGGAGTGCAGTGGCGCAATCTCAGCTCACTGCAACCTCTGCCTCCCGGTTGAGGTAGGTGATTCTCCTACCTCAGCCTCCCAAGCAGCTGGGATTATAGGCGCCCACCACTGTGCCTGGCTAAATTTTGTATTTTTAGTAGAGACGGGGTTTCACCATCTTGGCTAGGCTTGTCCTGAACTCCTGACCTTGTGACCCACCCGCCTTGGCCTCCCAAAGTGCTGGGATTACAGGTGTGAGCCACCATGCCCGGCCTGATTATGGGCAACTTTTAGTTCTTCATACCTCACTAGTTACTAGTGAGTAGCCCTTAGTTTTGTTTTGTTTTTTAAGTCTATACGTTAGCATGTAATAGTTGTATGTAATACAGGAAAGGCATTCTTCAATCTTTTTTTTTTTTTGAGATGGAGTCTCACTCTGTTGCTGAGGCTGGAGTGCAGTGGTGTGTTCTTGGCTCACTGCAACCTCCACCTCCCAGGTCCAAGCGATTCTCCTGCCTCAGCCTCCCAAACAGCTAATTTTTGTATTTTCAGTAGAGACGGGGTTTCACCATGTTGGCCAGGCTGGTCTTGAACTGACCTCAAGTGATTCTCCAGCCTCAGCCTCCCAAAGTGCTGGGATTACAGACATGCGACACCATACTGGCTGTCTTCAAACCTTCAATCATTCACAACCCATGCAATGGTCCCCAGCCTGGCAACCACACGGCACAGCTTCTATGGCTCCCTTCTGCCTTAACTAGGCTGGAGGGAATGAGGGCATAGAGGGTGCAAGAGAGTGGACACAACAGCCTAATAACCTTTTCTCTGTTTTTTTTTTTTTTTTTTTTTTGAGACGGAGTCTCGCTCTGTCGCCCAGGCTGGAGTGCAGTGGCACGATCTCAGCTCACTGCAAGCTCCGCCTCCTGGGTTCACGCCATTCTCCTGCCTCAGCCTCCCGCATAGCTGGGACTACAGGCGCCTGCCACCACACCCGGCTAATTTTTTGATTTTTTAGTGGAAACGGGGTTTCACTGTGTTAGCCAGGATGGTCTTGATCTCCTGACCTCGTGATCCGCCCACCTCGGCCTCCCAAAGTGCTGGGATTACAGGCGTGAGCCACCGCGCCCAGCCCTTTCTTTTTTTTTTTTGAGACAGCCTCACTCTGTCACCCAGCCTTCTTAGTAGCTGGGACTGGAGGTGTGAGCCACCACACCTGGCTTTGTTATTTTTTGTAGAGATGGGATCTCACTGTGTTGCCCAAGCTAACATTTCCTTTTAAGCGTTTCTTCACTACAGATTGGCTACACAAAGATGGCTCCCATAGAAAAACCCTTTGTTACATTTATTGCTTTTCATGGAAACAATTACGTGATACACACTTGAAGTAGAGGTTTATAAGTTCTAGTTCTCCAATGACTGCTTTCCAATTAACATCATGTGGATATCTGTCCTTTGTGAGTGCCCTGGTGCTTAATAAAGCTTGTGTGCCACTTGAAAGATTTTCCACATATGACACATTGGTAGGGTTGGCTTCCAGTGTGAATGACCTGATGTCGAAAAAGATTCCTCTTAAAACTAAACGTTTTCCCACATTCTCCACATTGAAAGAATTCCTCCTTTGTATGGATTCTTTGATGCTGAATGAGATCCACATTCCTACCAAAGGACTGTCCACATTCACTGCATTTATGGGTGTTCGGTTTACTGTGAATCTGTTGATGACATAGAAGGGTTGAATGCCGGCCAAAGGCTTTTCCACACTCAAGGCATTTATGGCGTTTTTCTCCACTATGGATCACCTGATGTCGAATAAGGGTTGAATTCTGACTAAACGTTTTTTCACATTTGCTACATTTATAAGGTTTTTCTTTGGTGTGAATCCTCTTATGTTCAACAAGATACGCGAGCTGCCGAAAACACTTTCCACAGTCATGACATCTGTATGGCTTGTTTTGCAGGTGACACTGTTTATGGACCGTAAGAGCTGACCGCTGTCTGAAGGCTTGCCCACAGACCTTACACTCAAAAGGATTCTCTAAAAAGTGAATTCTTTGATGTTGATCAAACCATGCCTTACGCCTAATGACTTTTCCACATTCACTGCATTCATAAGACTTTGCTCTTGTGAGAATTCGCTCATGCCCCAAAAGCAAAGATCTTTGATTGAAGGGTTTGCCATCCTCATCATATCTGCCCTGCTTCCACCTTGTTTGCGCATTCTGATCTTGAATAAGGTTAAGGTTTTGAAGGAAGCCCCTGCTGTATTCATCACCACTAGTAGGGAAAGTAAGCCTGCAACTGTCCACAAATTCTTTACACTTATGTAACTTTTCTGAAAGTTTCTCAGCTGATTCCTGCATTACCACTGATATCTTATATGACTCTAAATCTTCAGAAAATTTCTGTTTTGGAGTTAGCTTTTTCATCTTGTGTCTGGCTTCAGAACCTAGCCAAATAACAAGAAAAGATGTAAATGACCTATCCACTGCAGAAGAAAAAAAGGAAGAGAAGGCAACTGTTAGGGGTCTAGGACAATCAAATGAAGCTAAGAAGTGATCTCGTTTACATCATCAGACTCAAGAGGCCAAAACTCTGAAATTTTTTTTTGAGACGGAGTCTCTCTCTGTTGCCCAGGCTAGAGTGCAGTGGCATGATAGCTTACTGCACCCTCCGCCTCCTGGGTTCAAGTGATTCCCCTGCCTCAGCCTCCCGAGTAGCTGGGATTACAGATGCCAGCCATCATGCTCAGCTGATTTTTGTATTTTTAGTAGAGACGGGGTTTCACCATGTTGGTCAGGCTGGTCTCGAACCCCTGACCTCAGGTGATCCACCCACCTCGGCCTCCCAAAGTGCTGGGATTACAGGCGTGAGCCACCGCACCCAGCCCAAAATTCTGAATTTCATTGGACTCTTCACTTTCATAACAAAAACAGCTCTCGGCACCAACAAACTCACTATAAATGTATAGGAGTGTGTATGCCAGAGAATGTGAGAGCAGAGCCCATCATCGTTATTAGAAAAACAACTTACTCTAGGTACTCAGTGGTGCCAAATAAATATCAAAGAGGTAGCATGTTATGCTTCAAGATACATGCTTTTTGTTTGAGACAAGCCCAGGCTGGAGTGCAGTGGCATGATCTCAACTCATTGCAACCTCCACTTCCTGGGTTCAAGAGATTCTCGTGCCTTAGCCTCCTGAGTAGCTGGGATTACAGGCATACACCACCACGCCCGGCTAGTTTTTGTATTTTTAGTAGAGATGATATTTCGCCATGTTGGCCAGGCTGGTCTCAAACTCCTGGCCTCAAGCGATCTGCCCATCTCGGCCTCCAAAAGTGTTGGGATTACAGGTGTGAGCCACGGCACCCGGCCTAGATACACGTTTTTAATAACTCTAGGTGAAACATCTGCTTAAAAATGGACAAAGTATAGGATAGCATAGAAAAGGAACCAGAGGGAAGTAGGGACAAAAGCCAACTGAATAGAGCAATGGGTCTCAACTAGGGGTGAACAGGGTTTGGACAATGTCTGGAGACATTTCTGGTTGTCACACCTGGGGAGGTTCAACTGGCATCTAGTGGATGCAGGCCAGGGCTGCTACTCAACATCCTAAAATGCACAGGACATGCCCCATCCTGTCCCCAAAGAATTCGTCAGCCCAAAACGTCAGTAGTGCCATGGAGGAGAAACCTTGGATGTGAAAAACAGGAGCAGCTGCATCGGGACACAGTAAGTAGAAAAATGCAGATATGTCAGGAAATACGGGAGTAATATGAAAACAAAACAAAGCAAGGGAACAAGAGGCAGCACCGAGAGAGGACAAGTAATGAGGGTGGAATCAAGGGGCATCCAGGGTGCCCTAAGAGCTGTCACTTAGAAAACACTAGAGCATCTGCGTCAGAGCAGCACTTTTTCCTGCAGGAGAGAGAGGATAAGCATTCTAGACTTGAAGTCAAACCCCAGTGTCCACCTCCCAACTGTGAGAGTTCTTTTTTCAGACAGTCTTGCTCTGTCACCCAGGCTGGAGTACAGTCATGTAATCTCAGCTCACTGCAACCTCTGCCTCCCAGGCTCAAGCAGTCCTCACACCTCAGCCTCCTGAGTAGCTGGGACTACAGGCATGCGCCACCACACCCGGCTTAAATTTGTATTTTTTGTAGAGATGGGGTTTCACCATATCACCCAGGGTGATCCTGAACGCCTGGGCTCAAGTGATCCTCCTGCCTCTGCCTCCCAAAGTGCTGGGATTACCGGCGTGAGCCCCCATACCAGGCCTGTGTGATATATATATATATTTTTTAATTGAGACAGTCTTGCTCTGTCACCCAGGCTGGAGTGCAGTGACGCGATCTCGGCTCACTGCAGCCTCTGCCTCCCAGGTTCCGGTGATTCTCCTGCCTCAGCCTCCCAGGTAGCTGGGATTACAGGCACACGCCACTACGCGGGGCTAATTTTTATATTTTCAGTAGAGACGGGGTTTCACCATGTTGGCCAGGCTGGTCTAGTCCTGGCCTCAGGTGATCCGCCCAACTTGGCCTCCCAAAGTAGGATTACAGGAATGCGCCACCGCGTCCAGCCAAGATTTCTTAATCTTAGTTTCTTCATCTGGGAAATGGGGACGCCGATCTTCCTCCCACTTCACAGGGCAGTAGGGATGAAGAAGTGGGATAATATATGCCCAGCACCTGGCTCAGCGTCTGGCACACAGAAGGGGCTTCACTAACATGCCTTCCCTTCCTCTTCCTGATTCCACTCGCCTGGGTCTCTTCCTCACCCACCTGGGCAAGCACTACCGGAAGCCTTCCTATTCCCAGTTCTCGGTAGATCCAGGATCCACTGCTCGTCCCAGTTCTCCAGCTGACAGATCATCTCAGGTTTGGGAAACTGAAATCCTACTCATGGGGAAGTAAATGGGATGTGGCCGTTAGTGAGTTACAGAGACATGGCCCGGGGCTCAGTGGCAAGCAGAGATAAGGACAATAATCAAAAGCGGTGGTGAGAATAGAGATTGGCACAATCTTTGTAAATATCTGGCAGTCTTTATTGAAAGCCTGAACAATGTTCATACCTTTGGCTGTGGTCATTTCACTCTTAGAAATATAGCCTAAAGTACAATTGCAACCAAGATGAATGTGCCAGAGACGTTCAGCACAGTGGTATTGCAGCATCAAACTGGAAATAAACTGAATATCAAAAGGGAACAATTAAATCAAGCGTAGCACATTAATGCGATGAAGGCATAAGTATTAGGCAGATATTAAAAATCCTTGTATTCAATTGTTTATTTTTTTTATTTTTGAGACAGAGTCTTGCTCTGTCACCCAGGCTGGAGTGACAGTCTTGGCGCACTGCAACCTCTGCCTCCCAGGATCAAGTAATTCTTCTGCCTCAGCCTCCCAAGTAGCTGGAACTACAGGCACAGCGCCCCCACGCTTTGCTAAGTTTTGTATTTTTATTAGAGATGGGGTTTCACCATGTTGGCCAGGCTGGTCTCGAACTCCTGACCTCAGGTGATCCACCCGCCTTGGCCTCCCAAAGTGCTGGGATTATAGGCTTGAGCCACTGTACTTAGCCAACTATTTATTTATTTATAAATTTATTTATTTATTTATTTTGAGATGGAGTCTCTGCTCTGTCGCCCCCACCCGGCTAATTTTTGTATTTTTATTTTTATTTATTTATTTATTTTTGAGACGGAGTTTCACTCCTGTCATCCAGGCTGGAGTACACTGGCACCATCTCTGCTCACTGCAACCTCCGCCTCCCGGGTTCAAGTGATTCTCTTGCCTCGGCCTCCCAAGTAGCTGGAATTACAGGCATGTGGCCACCACGCCCAGCTAATTTTTACATTTTTAATAGAGACGAGGTTTCACCATGTTGGCCAACTGGTCTCGAACTCCTGACCTCAGGTGATCCACCTGTCTCGGCCTCCCAAAGTGCTGGGATTACAGGCGTGAGCCACCGTGCCCAGCCCAACTATTTATTAAAATAGGAAAACACTGCCTATGTATTTTAAAGCAGAATACAAAACTCATATATAGCATGATCCAAATTTTTTTTATTTTTGAGACAGAGTTTTGCTCTTGTTGCCCAGGCTGGAGGGCAATGGCACAATCTTGGCTCACCACAACCTCCGCCTCCCGGGTTCAAGTGTTCTCTCCTGCCTCAGCCTCCGGAATAGCTGAGATTACAGGCATGTGCCACCACGCCTGACTAATTTTGAATTTTTAGTAGAGACAGGGTTTCTCCATGTTGCTCAGGCTGGTCTCGAACTCCCGACCTCAGGTGATCCGCCCACCTTGACCTCCCTCCCAAAGTGCTGGGATTACAGGCATGAGCCACCATGCCTGACCCCAAATTTTGTTTTAAAAAACTATGTAGTGTGTATGTTATGTGTGTGTGTGTATAAGTAATTAATACAGTTTGAACATCCCTAATCCAAAATGCTCCCAAATCCGAAACTTTCTGAGCACTAACCTGATAAAAGTGGAGAGTTCCACACCTGACCTCACGTGACCAGTGGCAGTCAAAACGCAGGTGCACAACACACAGTTAATTCAGCCTTCCCCAGGGAAAAACAGAGATTGGCACAATCTTTGTAAATATCTGGCAGTCTTTATTGAAAGCCTGAACAATGTTCATACCTTTGGCTGTGGTCATTTCGCTCTTAGAAATATAGCCTAAAGTACAATTGCAACCAAGATGAATGTGCCAGAGACGTTCAGCACAGTGGTATTGCAGCATCAAACTGGAAATAAACTGAATATCAAAAGGGAACAATTAAATCAAGCGTAGCTTGAAGAAGCTACATGTCTAAGGTGTATATGAAACATAAGTGAATTTCTTGTCAGATCCTCAAATTATCTTATTATATATTTATGAGTATTCCAAAATCCAAAAAAGAAAAATCCGAAATCCAAAACACTTTTGGTCCCCAGCATTTTGGATAAGGGATTCTTTCCCTGTAATAGACACATAGACGGACTGGGAAAAAGTAAACCAAAATGTTAATAACAAGAGTTACTTCTGGAAAGTAGGCCTGCAGGTGATTTTTATTATCTACTCTATTTACTGATGTATTTTCCAAAATTTCTGTAATGAAAATTATTTTTAGAACTAGTAAAATCCATAAAAGAAGGCAGTGATATAGTAAAGAAGCACTCTCAGCTGGGTGCAGTGGCTCACACCTGTAATCCCAGCACTTTGGGAGGCTGAGGTGGGCGGGTCACCCGAGATCGGGAGTTTGAGACCAGCCTGACCAACATGGCGAAACCCCGTCTCTACTAAAAATACAAAATTAGCTAGGTGTGGTGGCACATGCCTGTAATCCCAGCTACTCAGGAGTCTGAGGCAGGAGAATCACTTGAACCGGGGAGGCAGAGGTTGTGGTGAGCTGAGATCCTGCCATTGTACTCCTGCCTGGGCAACAAGAGCGAAACTCTGTCTCAAAAAAAAAAAGAAGCACTCTAAAATGTTACTATTGGATATGCAAAACAGTACAAAGTTTGTTGAAGAATCATTCAGTAATCAATAAAGATTAAAGTGCCATCTCATTTAACTTCAAAATTCTGATTTTGGGAAAGTATCTTGGGAAATGATCAAAAATTCATGCAAAGATTTATACTCAAACATCTATTCAAACATTATAAATACACAAGCAAACCAACGAACAAACAAAGGCAAGCTCAATGTCCCCACATGGGAAAACAATGAAATATTTTTATGGACCACACAATGGAATTATATTATGCTCGTTTACTGATTATGTGGGGAAATGCTGATACAATAATGTTACATTTAAAACAGATTACAGGATTGCACATAGAATATGCTCAGCTACTTTTGTAAAGGCATAGGAAAAAAAGACTGGCAGGAAACCTTCCAAAATATTAACAGTGTTACCCATGAACACTTTCCTCTTCTCCTCCTTTTCTATGCCTTCCATGTACTTATGTATGCTCCTGTAATGCTTTTAAAGGGAAAATTAAAATTATAAAAATCCAGAGGTGGGTGGACAGTCCCACAGAGGTGGTCAAGACTCTGTGCTAAGAGTGTCAGTGCAAGGGTTAAACATGTGACCCCGGAAAGAAAACTATTTAGCAAGGCAACTCCCACAGTGGGAGACTACAGTGGACTAGGACAGGGTAGGCTCCTGAAAAGAATGGAAGCAGTGAAGGTTCAGAAATGAAGTTGGTTGAAAATCATTTCCTGAGCACCCACTAATGTTACACACCAAGAAGTTACCCATTTCCAGAGAAAAGAAAGAAAAAGACTTTCAAGAGCATAAGAAGTGAGCCTTTGGAATGTAAATCTACCATAATTCTCAACTCCTGGAGGTCTTACAGATGAGGAACACGAGGTGAGAGTGAAGAATGCATGAAGTGTCTCGGTCTGAGCCCTAACACAACACGACTATTCACTGTCCCCAGTCCCTTATGTGAAACCCTTAGGACCAGATGTGTTTCAGGAGTCAGAATTTTTCCCATTTCAGAAAGGTGACCTGGTGTAAATATTTTACATAACGTATCATCCCCAGTAGGGTTTGGAGTGGTGCCCTCAAATACACTGTTATTTTTGTTGTTGTTTTGTTTTGTTTTGAGACGGAGTCTCGCTCTGTCACCCAGGCTGGAATGCAGCGGCATGATCTCGGCTCAATGCAACCTCTGCCTCCCGGGTTCAAGCGATTCTCCTGCCTCAGCCTCCCAAGTAACTGGGACTACAAGCGTGCACCACCACACCAGGCTAATTTTCGCATCTTAAGTAGAGCTGGGTTTCACCATATTGGCCAGGCTGGTCTCAAACTACTGACCTCATGTGATCCACCCGCCTCGGAATCCCAAAGTGCTGGGATTACAGGTGTGAGCCACCGCACCTGGCCTACACTGTTATTTCTGAAGTTGGGTATACAGATATGCACACCAAGTTGGAAAAATAAAGACAATAAATGGTTTCCTATAGGATGAAGTCAGGTTTCACTGTGGTGATGTCTGGTCAGGGCTTGTAGCCACACGAGTTATAAAAAAACCTTTCGGTTTTCACCGCTTTTTCTGATTCTGGAATTGCAGATAAGGGACTAAGGGCTTGCACAGACACTCAGAACACAGACAAAGCCCAATCTTCAAGCCGTGTCCTACCCAGCAAGACCATGTTCCTGTAGTTCTCCAACATCACATCTCGGTAGAGGTCCTTCTGACCCCAGTTGAGGTGGCCCCACTCCTCTCTGGTGAAGTACATCGCCACATCCTCAAACGAGAGCAGCTCCTGGAAAAGTAGCTGATAAAGGTAACTGCAATTCTTAAAATAACTTACGCTCAATGATTATTCCACAGCTGAGGAAACCAAGGTTTGGGAGGTAGAGTGTGGGCCAAGGGCACCCAATTCATAAGGAATATATTCAGGGCTCCTTTCAGGCCTGATGGCCCTCAGGCCAGACATGTGCTGGCTTCCATACCACGGGGTCGACACAATTAATCTCTAAAGGGCCAGATGGTAAATATTTTAGGCTTTTCAGGCCCTCTGGTCTCTGTTCCAGTTCCTCAAATCTGCTGTTGATTAGAGGAACAGCAAATCAACAATCTGAGGAACAGCCTTTGTGTTGGAGCACAAAAGCAGCCGTGGACAAGTAAGCGAATGGGCACAGCTGTGTTTCAGGGAAACTTTACCAAGCGGTCCAGGGCAGTTTGCTGACCGCTGCTCTATAAAAATAACCTATTGCTTCTGCCCCAGGTTCCTTAGGAAAGAGATGAGGTCACTGGGGGGTTGGTTAATGTGCAGACTATTTACAAAGGGATGAATAGTCTCAATGAACATGAACAAGAAATGTGGAAGCTCGCAGGTCCTGGCCACCCTGGGGAACCAGGGCCTGCTAGGTCTGAAGGGGTAAGGTGGGGAGGGCTGCTGGAGCCCAGAAGGCTGCTGGAAGGGGAGCAAGACCAGCTGCGGCTGAACAGGATGCAGCCACACCCATCCCACAGCCCAGTGGGGAGGGAGCCGTGGGAAGAGAAACCCAACCTCAGTTTTCCCCAGGCCTCCGGCGCCCTGTCCCCTGTCCTCCAACCCTCTTCATCCCATTGCCACAAGCCAAGCAGATGCCAGAGACCAGGGGAGCCCGTTGCTGGAGAATATAAAAGGTACAGACCAAGGCGCAGACGCCTGGGGAGCATATCCAGAGTGGGCAACAGTGGACACAGCACAGTGAGCACAGGGGACATTACATCTGCAAGTGACTGCCCCCTCCAGTGGGCTGAGCACTGAAGCTGCCACACTCTCCCTCCCACACCACTGCAGCCCTCTGGGCAAAGGGGCCCAGCGGCTGTCTACACACTCCTTGCTCTCACAAGACACTGCATGGGTTCAGAGGGGATGTGTGCAGGGAAAGGGCAAACGTTCGCTGTCCTATAAGTGGTCAGTAACAGGAAATGCCCACCCCCATCCTGAGACCATCCTGAGAAGCTTCACGTAGCTCCCCTCTGCAGGCAGGCACCAGAACCTCCCAAATTATACGGACTTTCTTTCCTGCCTATCAAACCTGAGTTCCACTGCTACGGTTGCAGGCCCTTTCTCACCATTATCCAGAGTGTCACTCTTTTACCAGAGCTGCGCTGCCATGTCCTCAATCTGACCTACTCAGCCATCTGCATTCCCGCACCTGCACAAGGTTAACAAGCATGGGAATAAAATGGCTTCATCTCCCAGAGTCATTGTGGCATGGTAACTCCTCTCCTAACATCCACAATAGGTTCTTGGAAACTGATTTTTAGCAAAAGTATGTACAGCAGCAGGTCCTTGAATAACTTTGTTTCACTGTAACACTGATGGAAAAAAAACGGTTTTGATATACATAGTTTCCCTTAAAGTTGCAGTTTCCAAGAACCCATCAACAGCTAGGACTTGTACATTGACAGATGGGCACCAAATGTTGCTTAAAAGTTCCATTTTTTGTTTGTTTGGGTTTTTGTTTTCGTTTTTGTTTTTTGAGACAGTTTCGCTCTTGTTGCCCAGGCTAGAGTGCAATGGCGCGATCTCGGCTCACTGCAACCTCCACCTCCTCGGTTCAAGCAATTCTCCTGCCTCAGCTTCCCAAGTAGATGGGATTATAGGCATGCGCCACTATACCCAGCTAATTTTTGTATTTTTAGTAGAGATGGAGTTTCACTATATGTTGGCCAGGCTGGTCTCAAACTCCTGACCTCAGGCAATCCACCCCCCTCAGCCTCCCAAAGTGCTGGGATTCCAGGCATGAGCCACTGGTCCTCTCCTTTCTTTCAAACTCAGTCTCTTCTAGGCTGGGCGCGGTGGCTCACACCTGGATTCCCAGCACTTTGGGAGGCTGAGGCTGGTGGATGGCTCAAGCCAAGAGTTCAAGAACAACCTGGGCAACATGGTGTAACCCTGTCTCTACAAAAAATACAAAAGTAACCAGGCGTGGTGGCATGTACCTGTGGTCCCAACTACTTGGGAGGCTGAGGTGGGAGGATCACCTGAGCCTGGGAAGGTCAAGGCTGCCATGAGCCATGATCATGCCACTGCATTCCAGCCTGGGCAACAGTGTGAGACTCCGTCTAAAAAAAGACAAAACACAGGCTGGGCACAGTGGCTCACGCCTGTAATGCCAGTACTCTGGGAGGCTGAGGTGGGTGGATCACGAGGTCAAGAGATGGAGACCATTCTGGCCAACATGGTGAAACCCCGTCTCTACTAAAAGTACAAAAATTAGCTGGGCGTGGTGGCACTCGCCTGTAGTCCCAGCTACTTGGGAGGCTGAGGCAGGATAATCACTTGAACCCGGGAGGCAGAGGATGCAGTGAGCTGAGATCGCGCCACTACACTCCAGCCTGGCAACAGAGTGAGACTCCGTCAAAAAAAAAAAAAGACAAAACAACTCAGTCTCTTCTAATCACCCTCCATAATGCTACAAATTCAATAACTGACCTTCCATTATACCCGTTCATAGGAACAGTTCAGAATTTATTATGAGAAGTTCCTTACACAACTATCTCTCTAATCAGGTTGTAATCTCCTACAGGTAAGAGTTGATCTCCCAGCACAGAAAACAGCACCTGGAGTGTACAGCAGTAGGTGCACAATAATGCTCACAGACAGAAACAATGGGCAACTACTACGGTAATAAGAGCAACAACTTAACACAGTGCTAAACGAGTAACCAGATACTGCACAAAGGACTTCACAGGGTGTTTTTCATTGAATCTTCACAACTCGCTGTGATAGGCACTCTCACTGACCCATTTTACAGAAAAGAAAACTGGAGCCAGAGTGTTTATGTAACTGAAGGAAGCCCATGTGACTCCAGAGGCTAAGCTCTCTACATTGCACTGTCTAAGAAGGAAAACTCCCCACATTGATCAAGAGGGCTCAGTCTGAGGAAGGAGCTGCTGGTGGCAGTGACTATGCTGATGAAGCAGAGGGGGAGGCACAGCTCACCTTCC